>NC_000018.10:76948373-77249728 GCF_000001405.40 Homo sapiens
AGTTTGACCTGAGTAACCAGAGCTGTCTCACTGAATTTCAGTTTGTATAACTTTAGCACATTTGTGTCTGGGGTCCCCAAGACTGCCTTCAGGTTTGACGATTCACTACAAGGTCTCACTGGATTCAGAAAAATCTGATCTACTGGTGGTTGTGGTTTATACTTGTGGTTACAATGGAAGGGTGCAGGTGAGAACCAGCGGAAGGAAAAGGCACGTGGGGTGGAGTCCAGAGAACCCAGGCACGAGCTTCCCAGTGTCTGCTCCAGTGAGGTCACACGGACACTGCTGATTCTCCCAGGAAAGTTGTGTGACACCGCCTGCCAAGTGTCGCCCACTTGGGAAGCTCAGCTAAGCTCTGGTATCCAGAATTGTTTTACAATCAGTCATGTGGCCATGGAATGCCCGCGTGGTTGGGCTTAGCTATGCGGTCTCCAGGCCCCTGCCCCTCCAGGTCAAACGGATGCAGTGGTCCAGGTCCCCAGATGAAACAAAAACAGGCCTTCACCATAAGTCACATCATCAGCACAAACTATGTGGCATTGCCCAAGGTTCTGGGTATGAAATACACTCTTACCTACTAATAGCAGGATGTTCCAGGGGCTTATGGGTGATGCTCGGGAGCTGATCAGGGGCACTGTGGAGTGTGCAGGGTTTGAGCACCTCAGGCCTGGTGAGGTAACTGTTGACCACACACATTCATTGAGACAGAAAAAGCATTGGCAGCTTGGTCATATTTTTAAGCTCTCTTTCTCATGATGCTTTTGTAGTGAAACCTTATTAGTCTGGTATGTTTCAGAGTTCCTAAATCAGTTCCAAGGCACACCTTACCTAATTCCTATATTTTATGTGACTAGTAAATGAAACTACTTTGCTATTTTTTAACATTATGATTTTAGCATTTGGTTTAATATAGGTAGAAGAATAATGTTTGTAGAGTAATCCTATGTTAAGATTAGTTTGAAATGTCTCCACTGAAGTGATATATTCCGTTTTAACTTCCATATTCCATTAGATGGAAATGAGAGAAACCAAATATTAAAACTTGGTCTAGCTTGTAATTTTTTTCAAAATTTGACAGATTAAATATAAAAATGAGGTAGATAACCAATCTGTATGAGTGAATACAGGCATACCTCAGAGATAACATGCATTCAGTTCTAGAGCACTGCAATAAAGCGATTATCACAACAAAGTCATACATTAACATTATGATTTAGTTTTCTGGTTTCCCAGGGCATATGATGTTTATACTATACTGTAATAATAGTGTTCAGCAGCATTATTTCTCTTTTTTTTTTTTTTTGAGACAGAGTCTTGCTCTGTTGCCCAGGCTAGAGTGCAGTGGTGCAATCTCAGCTCACTGCAACCTCCGCCTCCTGGGTTCAAGTGATTCTCCTGCCTCAGCCTCCCAAGTAGCTGGAATCACAGGTGTGCACCACCACACCTGGCTAATTTTTGTATTTTTAGTAGAGATGGGATTTTGCCATGTTGCCAGGCTGGTCTCAAACTCCTGAGCTCAAGTGATCGCCCACCTCAGCCTCCCACAGTGCTGGGATTACAGGCATGAGCCACTGTGCCTGACCAGCATTACGTTTTTTTTTTAAATGTACATACCTTAATTTAAAAATACCTTATTGCTAAAAATGCTAACGATCACCTGAGCCTTCAGTGAGTTGTAATCTTTTTGCTGGTTGAGGGTCTTGCCTTGATGTTGATGGCTGCTGACTGATCAAGGTGGTGGTTGTTGAAGTTTGGGGTGGCCGTGACGATTTCTTAAAATAAGACAACAGTGAAGTTTGCTGCGTTGATTCTTCCTTTCATGAAAGATTTCCCCATAGCATGCAATGATGTTTGATAGCATTTTACGCAAAGTAGAACCTCTTTCAAAATTGGAGTCCATCTCTCAAAGCCCACTGCTGCTTTACTAAGTTTCTGTAATCTTTTAAATCTTTTGTTGTAATTTCAACAATGTTCACCGCATCATCACCAGGAGTAGATTCCGTCTCAAGTAACTGCTTTCTTTGCTCATCCATAAGAAGCAACTCCTTGTCTGCTCAAGTTATATATACCTTTAGATCCCTATCTGCTCAGTTATATATACCATGAGATCCTTATCTGCTCAGTTATATATACCATGAGATCCTTATCTGCTGAGTTATATATACCATGAGATTGCAGCAATTCAGTCATCTTCAGGCTCCATTTCTAATTCTGTTGCCCATTCCTCCACATCTGTAGTTACTTCTTCTGCTGAAGTCTTGAACCTCTCAAAGTCATCCATGAGGGCTGGAATCAACTTCTTCCAAACTCCTGTTAATGTTGATATTTTGACTTCCTCCCATGAATCACAAATGTTCTTAATGGCATATAGAGTGGTGAATCCTTTCCACAGATTTTCACTTTACTTTGCCCAGATCCATCATAGGAATCACTATCTATGTCGGCTACAGCCTTATGAGATGTATTTCTTAGTAAGACTTGAAAGTTGAAATTACTCCTTCATCCATGGGCTACAGTGTGGATGTCATGTTAGCAGACATGAAAGCAACATTCATCTCTTTGTACATCTCCATCACAGCTCTTGGGTGACCAGGTGCATTGTCAATGAGCAGGAATATTTTGAAAGGAATCATTTTTTCTGACCAGTAGGTCTCAGCAGTGGGCTTAAAATATTCAGCAAATCATGCTGTAAACAGACGTGCTGTCATTCAGGCTTTATTGTTTCATTTGTAGAGCACAGAAAGAATGGATTTAGCATCATTCTTAAGGGCCTTAGGATTTTTGGAATGGTAAATGAGCATTGGCTTCAACTTAAAGTCACTAGCTGCACTAGCCCCTCACAAGAGAGTCAGCCTGTCCTTTGAAGCCAGACACTGACTTTTCTGTAGCTATGAAAGTCCTAGAGCCATCTTCTTCCACTATAAAGCTGTTCTGTTTACACTGAAAATCTGTTGTTTAATGGAGTGACCTTCATCGATGCTCTTGGCTAGATGTTCTGGAGAACTTGCTGCAGCTTCTCCAGCAACACTTGCTGCTTCACCTTGCACTGCTATGTTATGGAGGGTGGCTTCTTTCCTTAGTTCTCATGGATTGACCTCTGCTAGTTTCCAGCTTTTCTTCTGCAGCTCCCTCACCTCTCGGCCTTCATAACATGGAAGAGAGTTAGAGTCTTGCTCTGGATTAGGCTTTGGCTTAAGCGAGGATTGTGGCTGTTTTGATCTGTCTAGGCCATTAAAACTTTCTGCTTATCAGCAACAGTGCAGTTTCACTTTCTTATCATTCATGGGCTCACTGGATAACACTTTTAATTTCCTTCAAGAACCTTTCCTTCATTTCACAAGTTGGCTAATAGTTTGACACAAGAGGCTGAGCTTTCAGCCTGTCTCAGCTCTCTGCGTGCCTTCCTCATTAAGCTTAATCATTTCTAGGTTTTGAAGTGAGGGATGTGTGACTCTTCGTTTCACTTGAACACTTACAGGCATTGTGGGATCATTAATTGGCCTCATTTTAGTATTGTTGTGTCTCAGAGAATAGGGAGGCCCAAGGAGAGGTGGGATGGCCAGTTGGTGAAGCAGTCAGACACAAACATTTATAGGTTAAGTTTGCCATTTTATGTGGGTGGGGTTTGTGGTGCCTCAACACAATTACAATAGTAACATCAAAGATCGCTAATCACAGATCACTGTAATAGATACGCTGTAATGAAAAAGTTTGAAATATTGCGAGAATTACCAAAATGTGACACACACACGAACTGAGCATGTGCCGTTGGAAAAATGGCACCAGTAGACTTGCTCGAAGCAGCCTCGCCACAAACTTTCAATTTGTAAAAACGACAGGATATCTATGGAGGACAAAAAAAGCAAAGTTCAATGAAAACAAGGTATGCCTATAATTAGTAAGAGAAATTCTCTTAGATGTTTTCTGTAAATTTCCCTTGTTAGGTTGTAGCACTGTTTGCCAACATTAATTGGTTTTAATCATGGTCTAATTTCATCCTAATGCTTTCTTGTCACAGATGGAATGCACATTGACGCTTCCAGGCTCTGACCTGGGCTCTGACCAGGGACTTGAGACACATGCCTGGGTCTGCCTCTGGCCTGTGCTTCTGGGAGGAAGCTGGGACCATTTGAAGCACCCTGGGTTTATCTGAACCCACGACAGAGTGGCTGGGAGTGCTGGCTGTAGCCTCTGGTGATGTCTGTGCATCCCTGCTCCCATGCTTTCTGGCCAGGAGCCCTCAGGCAATCCTACATCTGTGTGATGGCCTGTTTTTAAGACAGAGGTGGCCAGGCACAGTAGCTCACACCTGTAATCCCAGCATTTTGGGAGGCTGAGGCAGGAGGACTGCTTGAGCCCAGGAGTTCGAGACTGCTGTGAGCTATGATCACCACTGTACTCCAACCTGGGTAACAGAGCAAGTTGGTGTTTCAAAGAAAACAAAAAAACAAAACAAAACCCAAACCCCCAAACAGGGGTGTAGTTAGGACTACCTCATAGTGGTCAGAGATTGGGCATGTAATGTTCCCTGGCACAGAGCACAGGTCCTGGTCCAAAGTAAGCACTCAGGTAAGGACCCTGCTGGTGGCGTTGGAGCAGCTACTACGGCCTGGGGCTCACTTCGCTCTCTGGTGAAGTCCCTAGAGCAACAGCCTTTGCTTTTTAAAAATCCTTTTCTTCATGGTTCATCTGAAGAGAAATCCATACTGATCTGACAAGATGTGTACTCACAATGGAAAAACGTCTTTATCCTAAGAGAGCCATTGACAGACTGCCCCCTTACTCAGCCTGTCTTTACTAAAACGAATGAACTAATTTCTGCCTGACCCTTCCCATAAGGATCAAGAGACCTGACCTAACTTTGTTAGCAACTTCAAGCTATTAAATCAGAGGGGAGCCGCTGCAGCAAACTGCCTTTCTTCCTTCACTCACTGCTTAAGGGGCCATGGCCTTCTTTTGAAACTGGTTTTGCAGGAGAAAAGAGCCGACACTTGCTGGCCAGGTGCCTAAGGCCAGGCTCCCACTAGGCATGTGGTCTTATGTAGCCGAGCCCTTCCCACAGCCTGTGAGGTGTCTAAGTGTCACGGCCCCGTTTTACTCACAAGGATTCTATCATTTAAGGGTAGCTTTGAATAACTTAAAGTCACCCTGCCAATAGAGACAGAGCTGGCATTTGAATCCAGATCTGTCTTATCTCACTCTTCATGTCTGAATAGAAGAATATCGTTCTGAGCATTTACACCTGGATTTCCTGTTACTTGAGATCAGCTGGTCTCAGCTGGGAACTTTTTAGTAAGGGGCAGGTTTTTAGAGGGAGGTTTGGGGTCAGAAGGGTGATCATGTGCCCAGGTGTGTGTTGTGGGCAGCATTTCTTTGAAATATTGACCTTGTTTCAGTTCAGCAAACATTTAAGTTCCTGCCAGTGCCGGCCGCTGGACGCAGAGGATGTTGGATCCGCGCCCGTTCTTTCCGGGCTCATTAGGAGGTGGATGGAGAGGCCGCTTTCCTCCTTCTGCTTTCCAACAGCCACACTCCTCATGCTTGGGAGGGGGTGGACATACACGCTCCTACCCTCCCACCCCCATGCAGAATAACCTGCTGTGGGAAGCACATTATTTCTAGCTGTGGCCAAGTTTATGCCTCAGGCTTAAAAATCATCTCACACTCATTCTGTAACCGATTTCCCCTTCTCCTTTGGGCAAGTATGATTTTAGCAAGATTCTATTAATATAATTCAGTCTCTAGATATGTAGTTATGAAATTCAGCAGAACATTGGAGATTTGTTTCACAGTAGTAGCAATAATTCAGAAGCTTTGCTTCTGATGCGATTATGCTGAAAAATATTTTACAGAAATAGTTTTTAAAGTTTCGTGTGTTTGTTTGTCTTTCCTTGAATGATGTGGACCAGATATTGAATTCTCACATCTCATGAGTAAAATGTTTGGTTCAGAAACAATTTTCTGTGTGTTCATTGCCATGACTACTGGTAGATGCTTCGTAATACTGATGGAGGACATTAGGTCGCTCCATAACTACAGGTTTTTGTTTGAGTTGATGTTCTTCAGCATGCATTTATCTGCAGTTACACAACCAGCCTTTAGTGTCATTTATTCCTGTGCTTTTCAGACTTTTTTGACTCACATGGAATATATTTTATGCAGTGACCTCAACAGGCATGTGTTTCTGTCATTTTTCTTTACACTCACAGATATTCACATGTAGACACACACCTGACACAGGTGTCATTTTCTAGAATAACACCTATAGATACTCACCTGTAGACACACACCCGACACAGGTGTCCTATTGTAGAATAACACCTGCAGATACTCACGTGTAAACTCACACACCTGACACAGGTATCATATTATAGAATAACACCTACAGATATGTGTAGACAGACACCTGACACACAGGTGTCATATTCTAGAATGACACCAGTCCCTGCACATCTCACGAGGCTGCAATGTCTTTTCTGATCTTTTCCTTTGTTCCTTTTTTTCCCCATTCCATTTTTTAAATTATAGCACAGATTAATAATATAGCACCCTGTATAAATCTTTTTTGTTGTTTAAGTATTTTTCTTTAATGTTTACTTATTTCTTATATTCCAGAATTAATGAAAAAGTATTTGATAAATTAGGAATAATAAAAATGTGGACAGATCTCATTAATTTTCATTATAATTGTTTTGTTAAGCCATCACATAGAAATTTGCAAAACTGGAATCTGTTGTTTATAAAAGCTGAGTCAGCCAGGTACAGTGTCTCACACTGTAATCCCAGCACTTGGGAGACTGAGGCAGGAGGATCCTTTGAGTTCAGGAGTTCTAAGACCAACCTAGGCAACATAGGGAGACCCTGTCTCTACAAAAAATAAAAAAGTTAGCTGGGCATGATGGTGAGGTGGTGCGTACCTGTGGACGCAGGCGTGCGGGAGGGCTGGGGTGGGAGGATTGCTTGAGCCCAGGAGTTTGAGGCTGTCCTGAGCTGCGATTGTGCCACTGAACTCCAGCCTGGGCAAGAGAGCAAGACTTCATCTCAAAAAATTTTTTCAAAAATTTTAAAAATGATTTTTTCAAGTGGTGGTGGCATCCCATTAAGATGATTTGAAAACCGAATTGGTTGTGATCCACGGTTTGGAAAAAATGGTTTAATTCCATTAAAAGCTAGAAACACTTTTTGTTGTTACGAATTGTTTATCTAAAGCTACTACCAGTAGCGAGCATTTAGTGAAAGCTTGCCGTATGCAGCCCTTGGTAGGCAGGTGTTCTCCCATGAGGACGCGACCACGGACTGGTTAAGTACTTAGCCCAGAGTAGCCCGGATAGTCACATTGGAGCTGGAATTTGCACCTGGTCAGTGCGGCGCCAGAGCTCATTCCTTAGCTGCTGTTGTGTGGTCTCAATCTTGCAGGACACAGTGTGCATTCTGGTCTCATATTGTGTGGAAGGCGCCTCTGGCTAAATTATCCTGATGATAGGACATGCAGTGTGGGCTTGGCGTGTCCGTGCTAGGAATGTCCCTCTTATCACCACGGTGTGTGTCAGTTCACAAACTGCACAAATCAAGCCAAGTGAGTGGAAAGTCACAATTTCTGGCTCTTTCCAGGTAGCTGGCGTCTCTGGGAACCTGGCCCCGGGCAACCAGCCAGAGAAGGAGGGCCGGGCGCACCAGTGCCTGGAGTGTGACCGCGCCTTCTCATCGGCGGCGGTGCTCATGCACCACAGCAAGGAGGTGCATGGCCGGGAGCGCATCCACGGCTGCCCCGTGTGCAGGAAGGCCTTCAAGCGCGCCACGCACCTCAAGGTAGGCCCACTGTGCCAGGGCACAGCTGTGTGCCCCCCAGGCGGCTAGAGATGCGGAGTCCAAGATTTAACACTGGCCGGGAATCTGGCATGTGTTTTTGAGGAAAAGGCCGGTTTTTGAGGAAAAGGTCACTAGATGTAGATGTATTGTTCCGGTTGTAAGAGGTCTGCTTGCTGTACAGATGAATTGCATGTTCACCTGCAACTCACAATCAATTTGCAAGACAAACTGAAATAACATTGAAATGCCCTCTCTCCCTTGTCAGACTGGCAAAAATGTAAAAGTCTGTCAGCACCTGTTGTTGAGGCTGTGGGGAAACAGAGGCTCGCTCACGTAATTGCTAGTGAGACTGTGACTTGGTTGGACTTTCTGTAGGGGCATTGGGCAGCCCTAACAAATGCATGTGTGCTCACCCTGGGGACCAGCCCTGAAGATGCCCCTCCAGCCTCCCAAGGTTTAGCTGCCCACGCTTTCCACTGCAGCAGAGCCATCATTGCACAGTGGAGACCTGAGTGCCCGCATGTGGGAAGCAGAGGATGAGTTCTGGGACATCCCCACAGAGGGTGCTGTGCTACAGTGGGCAGGAGGCAGAATTCCAGCAGGGTGCTCTGATATCCAGCCCAGGGCGCCGTCTTCCGTGTGAAGGGAATGGGGTGTGGAAGGGGTGGAACACAGAGGAGCGTGCAGCACGGATGCCTAGCCAGCACCACTCCAGCCCAGCGGCCGTGGGCAGCATCAGCACCCACACATCAAGACTGCTTCTGTCCTTGGCAGTGTGGGATGAAAGTGGCACTTTTCCCAAAAACCCCGTAACATGAGAAAAACAGACAAATTCCAAGTGAGGGATAGCCTGCGAAATTTCTGACCAGCCATGGCCAGGCCACGCAGAGGGCAGAGGCGTGCCACGCTGGCCGGGAAGGAAAGCTGCACTAAGATGGCTGGACCCTTGGGGTTCCTGTGTATGTTGGGGGGGTGGGGATTGTTTTTGGCCTTTGTGTGTCTGTTGTCTTTTAATGAGTGTAGGACTAGAAGAAGGGAGAGTCCTACTCAAGGAGGAATTCCTGTCCCAGAAACTGGAATCCTTGGATCCCTGTGACCAGGATGGCTTTTTTGGAGTGTGGAGTAGAGCACATGGGCTTTGGATGTATTGCAGGCCAGTGGTGTCAGCAGTGACGGCCCTGTCCGGGCCAGGAAGCCCAGGGCCCCACCTGTGGTGCTTGCGGTGGCTCCTCTCCCAGGTCCCTCCAGGGGCTGGTGAGCCCCGAGACCCTCAGTCCTCCCTCTCTGTCCTGAAGGGAGCCTGTCGCTTGGCTGCTTGGGTTCTTTTTCATTTTTAAATTTCTTTTACTTTCACTTTAGGTTCGGAGGTGCATGTGCAGGGTTTGTTATACAGGTAAACTCAGGTCACAGGGGATTGTTGTACAGATTATTTCATCACCCTGGTACTAAGCTAAGTAGCCAATAATTTTTCCTGCTCCTCTCCCTCCTCCCTCAAGGAGGCCCCAGTGTGTGTGATTTGCTCCTCTCTACGGGTCCATGTGTTCTCACCATTTAGCTCCCACTTATCAGTGAGAACATGTGGTATTTGGTTTTCTGTTTCAAGATGGATTGAAGACTGAAATGTAAAACCCACAACTCTAAAAACCCTGGAAGACAACCTAGACAATACCATTCTGGACAGAGGAACAGCAAAGATGTCATGACGAAGACGCCAAAAGCAATTGCAACACAAGCCAAAGTTGATAAATGGGATCCAGTTAAACTTAAGAGCTTCTGCACAGCAAAATAAACTATCAGCAGGATTCTTTCTTTTGAAACCTTCTGATGAATCTCCCTGCCCCAGGGCTGCATTAGCGTCCTCTGGTGCAGTGAGCTGACGGCCATGTTGGGGGGCTCTGCTGAGTCCCCACCAACTTCAGGGCACAACACCGCCCCTTCTTAGAAATTCACACCTCACTTGTCGCTTGTAGCAGAGCCAGGCCGACAGGTGTGTTGCAGTAAGAACGGTATTAACTACAGCTGATCGCAAACTTATTTGATGATGAAATTCTTTCTTGAGGAACATTTGCCATTGTCTCAGAGAGCACTTTCTAGGGAGAACTAGGTTTACGTAACCTCTGCCACAGGGTAAGCCTAACTGCACCCTTCGAGGAGTGCAGCTCGTCGGTATTTCTTTTAAAGTCATCAGCATAGAGTGGCAGCTGCGTGCACTGTTCCCACCGCAGGAGATTTCTCTGGAGGTCAGAGAAACAGAAGCCAAGGTTATAAAAGCTTTCCTTTCAGCCCACTGGACAGTCTGTTCCCCCGTGGACTCTCTGTCCTCCTTTCAGCTTAGCAAACAGTGAGTGCCTGCTGTATGCACAGAAGGTGGTCCCAGAAACAGGCGGCTCCATCCTCAGGAAGCTTAGCACTCAGTGTGACCGCAGTTACATCCAACACAGACCGGGTGGGAACCCCAGACGGAGTGGGGGAGGAATGCACTCTAGCTGTTGATGGTGATTGGTGTCATCAGGAGTGGTGGTGTCACTGGTCAGGCCTCACCTGCAGTCCTGGCTCTGCCTGGTCTGCAGTGCTGGGAAGGCTCCCCCACTCACCTCCCGAGTTTGTTTTTCCCACCCTGCTGCTTTCATTACACCCACCTCCCAGACTGTGCTGGGCCTTGAGCAGTGCGACATACGCAGCTGGAACACAGGCGGTCACATGGAACACACACAGGAAACGTGTACTTTTCCCTGACTCCTGCCTTACAGGGTAGAGGTTAGCTCTAAAGACTGAGATTCTATTAGGATAATTATTATGCTTCTGCAATTTTGGAAAATAACCACATTGCACATCCTCAGGTGCCTGCAAGGGCAGCAGCTATCAGATCTTTGAGAAATTTGCAGTCACGTGAATGCAGTATCTCTGGCAAGTTGCCAATCACAACAGGAGAAGGGAACAGTTTCCTCTTGGCTTTAAAAGCCTCTGTCGTATCACCGGGAGAACGCACTTCAGAATCATGGGCATTCCGTGAGGACTTGTGGGTGAGAGTCACTGAACGGGTCCCAGCTGGGTGCCGCAGGGCCTCAGGCCACAACCTATGGGTGGCCTCAGGCCACGACATATGGGTGGACTCGTGTGTGAAACGGGGACAGGATCCCCCACAGCCAACGGAGAGAGCTCACCTGGACTCCTGCACTAGGCTCATGGCATGACGCCCTTGGTCTCGGTTAAAGCTGATGAAGGAGATATTTCTACCCCTATTTGGGACACAGATGTGGCCAAGCCATATAGCTAGCAGGCAGTAAAGCTCAGATGGGGACCGGAGTCTCCCCGAGAAGCCCCAGTGTTGTCACTCTGTTGTCACTACCGATGCATTGAAGTCCTTAAGAACACAAATCACAGATTAGCCTTTGATTTTGTCCTTGCCACTGACTTGAACTTTGCAGTGATTTGCTTCCTCTTGTTTCTAGTCTCGAAAGCTGTTTTGATCTTGTTTCTTGGTTTCTGTGTGTTGTCTCCCAGGAGCACATGCAGACACACCAGGCCGGCCCCTCTTTGAGCTCCCAGAAGCCAAGAGTGTTTAAATGTGACACTTGTGAGAAGGCATTTGCCAAACCAAGCCAGCTGGAGCGCCACAGCCGCATACATACAGGTAACGGGGAAGGACGTGCTTTTGTTTCCTTACTCTTTGAAGTAGACATCATGGGTGAGAAAACATAATTCCACCTGTGCAATATTCACGAGCGATGGAATGCTTTATTTATAAAGCAAGGTCCACATGTTCCATTTCTCCTGAGTTTTGACCTATTTATTGTCATAACTAACTTTTCACATGGAAGATTTTGCTGCTTACATTATGACCATATGAAACAGAAGCATCAGGCAAGCCTCCCGTGCCGTGTCTGGGATGTTGACCATGTCACGTCCCTCCTTCCCTTCTGCTGGAGCAAACAGGCGGCCCCCAGTGCCTGGGTCCCATGTCCTCAATGTCACCGGGGAACTTAATTTTTAATCTTCCTCTTCTGTCTTAAAACTTTTTTTCTCTGCTGGCTTTTCCTACACCACCTAAATCTGCTCAAACCTTTTGTCTTAGAGAAAAAAAACACACGGAACAAAGAAACAAGCTCTTCCATCTTCTGCCTCTTGACTGTACATGATAGCTCGTGTCAGCCCTTCCGTCTCCGCCCTGCCCTAACAGGACATCATCCCGGGCTCATTTCTGTTGTGATCATCTGACGACTCACTGTGGGCCTGGGGTTCCACAGGCTGCATCCACCGTGGCCCTTCCATGGCTCTCTGATCCCTCCGCCCCATCTGCTGGGGGTCGTTAGGACCTGGCCAGGCTCCCTCTGGTCTCCCTATGGCTCCTCCAGCCCTTTGTTCAGATGACAGCCAGGCTGAAAGCCTAAAAGAAAAGAGGAACATTCAGTCCCTCTTGTTCATACCTCAGGGTAGAGCCCAGGCATCCACTATACTTTTCTTAGAGACATTGACATATGCCATTTTCTGTACAGGGGAGCGGCCGTTCCATTGCACGCTTTGTGAGAAAGCCTTCAACCAGAAGAGTGCGCTGCAGGTGCACATGAAGAAGCACACGGGGGAGCGGCCCTACAAGTGTGCCTACTGCGTCATGGGCTTCACGCAGAAGAGCAACATGAAGCTGCACATGAAGCGGGCGCACAGCTATGCTGGTGAGAATGCTGCACCCGGGAGTGCGTGCTGTTCGGTGGCCTGCGAGGCACCCTGTGTTTCGCATACATTGTTTCCTTTAGTTCACACAGTGATTTTGCATTGCACGTGGTACAGCCTCAGTTGTGTGGACTGGAAGCTTGTGCTTTATTTTATTTTTTGATTTCCATAGGTTATTGGGGAACAGATAGTGTTTGGTTACATGAGTAAGTTCTGTAGTGGTGATTTGTGAGATTTTCGTGCACCCATCACCTGAGCAGTGTACACTGCACCCTATTTATAGTCTTTTATCCCTCACCCCCTTCCCATTCTTTCCCCCCGAGTCCCCAAAGTCCATTGTGTCATTCTTATGCCTTTGTATCCTCATAGCTTAGCTCCCACTTATGAGTGAGAACATGCGATGTTTGGTTTTCCATTCCTGTGTTACTTCACTTAGAATAATGGCCTTCAATTTCATCCAGGTGGTTGCAGATGCTATTAATTCATTCCTTTTTATGGCTGAGTAGTATTCCATTGTGTGTGTGTGTGTGTGTGTGTGTGTGTGTGTGTGTGTATTTATGTATATAAATACCACAGTTTCTTTATCCACTCGTCGATTTATGGACATTTGGTTTGGTTCCCTGTTTTTGCAGTTGCGAATTGTGCTGCCATAAACATGCGTGTGCAAGTGTCTTTTTCATACAATGAAAAAGATTCTACTTATTTTCCTCTGGGTAGAGATACCCAGTAGTGGGACTGCTGGATCAAATGGTAGTTCTATTTTTAGTTCTTTAAGGAATCTCTACACTGTTTTCCATAGTGGCTGTACTAGTTTACATTCCCACTAGCAGTGTGGAAGTATTCCCTGTTCACCACATCCATGCTAGCATGTACTATTTTTTTTTTTATTTTTTGATTATGGCCATTCTTGCGTGAGTAAAATGGTATCACATTGTGGTTTTGATTTGCATTTTCCTGATCATTAGTGATGTTGAGCATTTTTTCATACGTTTGCTGGCCATTTATATATCTTCTTTTGAGAATTGTCTGTTCATGTCCTTAGCTCACTTTTTGATGGGATTGTTTGTTTTTTTTCTTACTGATTAGTTTGAATTCGTTGTAGATTCTGGATATTAGTCCTTTTCAGATGTATAGATAGTGAAGATTTTCTCCCACTCTGTGGGTTGTCTGTTTAGTCTGCTGACTGTTCCTTTTGCCATTAAAAAGCTCTTTAGTGTAATGAAGTCCCAGCTATTTATCTTTGTTTTTATTGCATTCACTTTTGTGCTCTTGGTCCTCGCCGAAGCCAATGTCTAGAAGGGTTTTTCCAATTTTATCTTCTAGAATTTTTATAGTTTCAGGTCTTAGTTTTTTTAATCCATCTTGAGTTGATTTTTGTATGAGATGAGATATGAAGATCCAGTTTCATTCTCCTAACGTGTGGCTAGCCAATTATCCCAGCACTGTTTGTTGAAAAGGGTGTCCTTTCCCCATTTTATGTTTTTGTTTTCCTTATTGAGGATCAGTTGGCTATAAGTATTTGGGTTTATTTCTGGGTTCTCTATTCAGTTCCATTGGTCTGTATGCCTATTTTTATACCAGTACCATGCTGTTTTGGTGACTATGACCTTATAGTATAGTTTGAAATCAGGTAATGTGATGCCTCCAGATTTGTTCTTTTTGCTTAGTCTTACTTTGGCTATGTGAGCTCTTTTTTGATTCCATATCAATTTTAGAATTGTTTTTTCTAATTCTGTGAAGAATGATGTTGGTATTTTGATGGGAATTGCGATGAATTTGTAGATTGCTTTTGGCAGTATGGCCATTTTCACAATATTGATTCTACCCAACCATGAGCATGGGATGTGTTTCCATTTGTTTGGGTCATCTGTGATTTCTTTCAGCAGTGTTTTGTAGTTTTCCTTGTGGAGGTCTTTTACCTCCTTGGTTAGGTGTATTCCTAAGTTTTTTTTTGTTTGTTTGTTTTTGTTTTGTTTTTTCCAGCTATTGTAAAAGGGGTTGACTCCTTGATTTGATTCTCAGCTTGGTTGCTGTTGGTGTATAGAAGAGCTACTGATTTCTTTACATCAATTTTTTATCTGGAAACTGCTGAATTCTTTCATCAGTTCTAGGAGCTTTCTGGAAGAGTCTTTTGGGTTTTCTAGGTAAACAATCATATCATCAGCAAACAGTGATAGTTTGACTTCCTCTTTACTGATTTGGATGCTCTTGATTTTCTTCTCTTTTCTGATTGCTCTGGCTAGGACTGCCACTGCTATGTTGAAGAGGAGTAGTGAGAGTGGGCATCTTTGTCTTGTTTCAGTTCTCAGAGGGAAAGCTTTTAACTTTTCATCATTCGATATTATGTTGGCTGTGGGTTTGTCATAGATGGCTTTTATTATTGAGGTATGTCCCTTGTATGCCGATTTTCCTGGGAGTTTTAATCATAAAGTGATGCTGGATTTTGTCTGATGTTTTTTCTGCATCTGTAGAAATGATCATGTGGTTTTTGTTTTTAATTCTGTTTATGTGGTGTATCACATTTATCGACTTGCATATGTTAAACCATTCCTGCATCCCTGGTATGAAACCCACTTGATCATATGGTGGAGTATCTTTTTGATATGTGCTGGATTCGGTTAGCTAGTATTTTGTTAAGGATTTTAGCATCTATGTTCATCAGGGATAATGGTCTGTAGTTTTGTTTTTGGTTATGTCCTGTCTTGGTTTTGGTTTTGGGTGATACTGGCTCCATAGAATGATTTAGGGAGGGTTCTCTTTTTCTCTGTCTTGTGGAATAGTGTCAAAAGGATTGGTACCAATTCTCCTTTGAATGCCTGGTAGAATTCTGCTGTGAATCCATCTGGTTGTGGACTTTGTTTTGTTGGTAATTTTTAAATTACTATTTCAATCTTGCTGCTTGTTATTGGTCTGATCAGGGTATCTAATTCTTCCTGATTTAAGCTAGGAGGGTTGTATCTTTCCAGGAATTTATCCATCTTTCTAGGTTTTCTAGTTTATATGTGTAAAGGTGTTCATAGTAGCCTTGAATGATCTTTTATATTTCTGTGGTGTCAGTTGTGATAGCTCCCATTTCGCTTCTTATTGAGCTTATTTGGATTTCCTCTCTTCTTGGTTAATCTTGCTAGTAGTCTATCAATTTTATTTATGTTTTCAGAGAACCAGCTTTTTGTTTCAGTTATCTTTTGTTTGTTTGTTTCAATTTCATTTAGTTCTGCTCTAATCTTGGTTATTTCCTTTCTTCTGCTGAGTTTGGTTTTGGTTTGTTCTTGTTTCTCTAGTTCCTTGAGGTGTGACCTTAGATTGTCTGTGTGTGCTCTTTCAGGCTTGATGTAGACATTTAGGGCTACGAACTTTCCTCCTAGCACTGCCTTTGCTGTATCCCAGAGGTTATGATAGGTTATGTCACTATGGTTGTTCAGTTCGAATAATTTTTTAATTTCTATCTTGATTTCATTTTTCACCCAATGATCATTCAGGAGCAGGTTATTGAATTTTCATGTATTTGCATGGTTTTGAAGGTTCCTTTTGGAATTTATTTGCAGTTTTATTCCACTGTGGTCTGAGAGAGAGCTTGATATAATTTCAATTTTCTTAAATTTATTGAGGCTCATTTTGTGACCTATCATATGGTCTGTCTTGGAGAAAGTTCCATCTGCTGTTAAATATAATGTATATTCTGCAGTTGTTGGATGGAATGTTAGGTATATATCTATTAAGTCCTTTTGTTCCAAGGTATAGTTTAAATCCATTTTTTCTTTTTTGACTTTCTGTCTTGATGACCTGTCTAGTGCTGTCAGTGGAGTATTGAAGTCTCCCACTATTATTATGTTGCTGTCTATCTCATTTTTTAGATCTATTAGTAATTGTTTTATAAATTTGGGAGCTCCAGTGTTAGGTGCATGTATGTTTAGGATTGTGGTATTTTCCTGTTGGACAACGCCTTTTATCATTATATAATGCCCCTCTGTCTTTTTTAGCTGCTGTTGCTGATGACAATGCGACTAAGCAATGATATTTTTGCAGTGAATTTCCCAGGTGTTCTTTGTGCTTCTTGTATTTGGATGTCTAGGTCTCTAGCAAGGCCAGGGAAGTTTTCCTCGATTATTCCCCCAGATATGTTTTCCAAACTTTTAGATTTCTCTTCTTCCTCAGGAATGCCGATTATTCTTAGGTTTGGTCGTTTAACATAATCCCCAGACTTCTTGGAGGCTTTGTTCATATTTTCTTATTCTTTTTTCTTTGCCTTTGTTAGATTGGGTTAATTCGAAGACCTTGTCTTCGAGCTCTGAATTTCTTTCTTGTACTTGTTCTATTCTATTGCTGAGACTTTTCAGAGCATTTTGCATTTCTATAAGTATGTCTATTGTTTCCTGAAGTTTTCCTTGTTTTTTATTTATGCTATCAATTTCATTGAATATTTCTCCCTTCACTTCTTATATCATTTTTTTGATTTCCTTACCTTTGGCTACACCTTTCTCTGGTACCTTCCTGATTAGCTTAATAACTAACTTCCTGAATTCTTTTTCAGGTAAATCAGGGACTTCTTCTGGGTTTGGATCCATTGCTGGTGAGCTTGTGTGATTTTTGGGAGCTGTTAAAGAGCCTTGTTTTGTCATATTACCAGAGTTGGTTTTTCTGGTTCCTTTTCATTTGAGTAGGCTCTGTCAGAGGGAAGGTCTAGGGCCGAAGGCTGTTGTTCAGATTCTTTGGTCCTACGGGGTTCTCTTGATATAGTACTCCCCGCCTTTTCCTATGGCTGTGGCTCCCTGAGAACAGAGCTATAGTGATTGTTACCTTTATTCTTGGTCTAGCCGCCCAGCAAGTCCACCTGGCTCCGGGCTGGTACTAGGGGTTGTCTGCACAGAGTCCTGTGATGTGAACCATTCATGGTCTCTCAGCCATGGGTACCGGTGCCTGTTCCGGTGGAGATGGCAGGGGGGTGAAATGGACTCTGTGAAGGTTCTTAGCTTTGGTGGTTTAATGCTCTATTTTTGTGCTGGTTGGCCTCCTGCCGGGAGGTGGTGCTTTCCAGAGAGCATCAGCTGTGGTAGTATAGGGAGGAACAGGTGGTGGGCGGGGCCCTAGACCTCCCAAGAGTATATGCCCTTTGTCTTCCGCTTCCAGGGTGGGTAGAGAAGGAGCATTGGGTGGGGGCTGGGCTAGGCGTGTCTGAGCTCAGACTCTCCTTGGGCGGGTCTTGCTGTGGCTGAGTATTTGGGGTGTCTCCTGGGTCCTGCAGGAGCAATCCACTTCCTTCAGAGAGTCTGTGGGTCCTCTCAGGTTTCCTGATTTATTCCCCTAGTTGTTTGGGAGCAAAAATTCACAATGTGAGCCTCCTCATGCTGCTCTGTCCCTTTGAGTCGGAGGTGCAGTCTAGTCCTGCCTCCCATCCGCCATGATCTCTGGAAGCCTGTGCTTTTGTTACTTTAATAGTTAGTGTTTGCAGTTGTTGAAGTTGGCTATGGACTGCCCCCCTTCACACACACACACACACACACACAGAGACACACACACAGAATTTGATTAGATTAAATTTATATTTTGGCAAGGGCACAGAAATTTATTGGAGTAAAATGGCAGCCCAGAACCTGAGCAAGCGCAGCATTTCTGAGCAGCTCGTTTCTCACTGGACAGAGCTTTCTGTAGGGGCCTTCAGCACCTGGCCAGTCAGAGGCCCAGAATAGCATCTCTGTCTGTCTTCACATCATGTCTGGAAGCCCCTTTTCCTGCAGCATGCAGTTCAGGTGCTGTCTCGGTGCTCAGGGGCACAGAGCAAACAGAATCTGCACCAACTGCTCCTGTCTGCATCCTGTTGACCTGGCACAGACAACACGTGGGCCTTGGTTTCTCTCTTGATTCGCTAACGTTCATGCCCTTCAGAGTATGGATATTGGGGTGTGATCCTACTGCTTGTCTGTCCCTTGTTCACCTTTGTTTCCTACACAGAATCTAGCAGTGGCATCCATCTCTGAGGAAGGAATGATAATAGATGGCCTAGACTAGGTTTCAGAGGGTGGCAGTAGCTATGCAAGGAACTAGAAATGTTAAAGTCTGAGTAGACCCCTTGGTGTGCTCCATGCATTTTGCGGGTGTGATTTGATTGTTCGAGGTGGTATGCTCTGTGAGATCTGTGGTTTGTTTGGTTGTTGGAGGTGATGTGATTCGTGAAATGTGTTATTTGGTTGTTGGAGGTGATGTGATTCGTGAGATGTGTTATTTGGTTGTTGGAGGTGATGTGATTCGTGAGATGTGTTATTTGGTTGTTGGAGGTGATGTGATTCGTGAGATGTGTTATTTGGTTGTTGGAGGTGATGTGATTCGTGAGATGTGTTATTTGGTTGTTGGAGGTGATGTGATTCGTGAGATGTGTTATTTGGTTGTTGGAGGTGATGTGATTCGTGAGATGTGTTATTTGTGATTTGGTGTTAGGGGTGGTGATGTGATCTGTGAGATTTTTGTTTTGTTGTTGGAGGTGGTGTGATCTGTGACATTTGTGATTTGTTGTTGGAGGTGGTGTGATCTGTGAGATTTGTGATTTGGTTGTTGGAGGTGGTGTGATCTGTGAGGTTTGTGATTTGTTGTTGGAGGTGGTGTGCTCTGTGAGATTTGTGATTTGGTGTTAGGGGTGGTGATGTGATCTGTGAGATTTGTGATTTGGTGTTGGAGGTGGTGGTGTGATCTGTGAGATTTGTGATTTGGTGTTGGAGGTGGTGTGATCTGTGAGATTTGTGATTTGGTTGTTGGAGGTGGTGTGATCTGTGAGGTTTGTGATTTGTTGTTGGAGGTGGTGTGATCTCTGAGATTTGTGATTTGGTGTTGGAGGTGGTGTGATCTGTGAGATTTGTGATTTGGTGTTGGAGGTGGTGGTGTGCTCTGTGAGGCTTGCAGGTGTTCTTTGGTTGTTTGAGGTGCGGTACTTTGTGAGGGGAGCTCGACGGCTTTCAGTGTAGGGAACCCGAGGGCAGAACACTATATTGTGGGGAGTTTTTGAGGAAGGAAAAAGGGGTAATTTTTTCTCTTTAACGTCTACACTGTAGTGCTTCCTGCTTTCCTTTTTATTATGGAAATCATGTGTGTTGGTTATTGCTCATTCCTGATGCTGTGTTAATGTAGCTGTCATAGGAGTGCACTCATATCACCAGTGCTGTGTGTGCGTTCATACTCCTAACAGTAACTACTGTCCTGCCGGCAGAGGTGTTTCACCTGCAGCTCAAATTACTCTTTTTTCACTGGAATGAAAAGCAAATTACTTTAGAAATTCCTTGTCTCTTTCTACCAGAAAGTCTTTATTTAAATAGGAATCATTTTGTGCTCTGGAAGGTCTGAGGCTGCTTGTGTTTTCTTTGTCTGCATAACAGGAGCTCTGCAGGAGTCTGCAGGTCACCCGGAGCAGGACGGGGAGGAGCTGAGCCGGACCCTCCACCTGGAGGAGGTGGTGCAGGAGGCCGCCGGCGAGTGGCAGGCCCTCACCCACGTCTTCTGATGCGAGTTGGAAGTACACCTTTAAGAATGTTTCTGAAGTTACGTTTTGTGAAGAGCAAAGCACTTGGAATCTCCGTTTTAAAGCTTCAAGTGTTAAAAATGCTACAATAGTTTTTTATCTATAAAATTATCTAAAGAATCATTGTCTTTCAGAGACTCATAGGAAAAAAAAACTAGGAAAAGTGTCACCGCATTGTTCTCTTTTGTCTACAAATCACTGAACTCAGGTACTACTGTAGGCAGTTTCCTCCTCAGTCTCCTCCGTGGCTAGTGTGTCTAGTTCACGAAGCAATTAACTGGGTCTTACTATCATTGTAGTGTGATTTCTTTGTATTAGCAAAGACAAAAACGCTAACATTGAAAAAGTATGTCAGATTTTCCTTCATGTTTCTGGTTATAAGAAGCATAGCTTACAAAGCAAGCGTAAGATTGAGGCATGAAGTTCAGAAAAAAAAGTGTTACAACACACAGGGAAGTTTTTTCCACTCTTTTCTCTGTGCATTTTGAAAATTAGTCAAAATGGACTCTTTTCAGTCTACCATAAGTTAATATAACTGATACCTTGAGAGATGGCTGGACCAATTCTCTCCATGACAAATGTTTAATCATTAGTTACAAGAATGCAGTATCTGGGGCGTCAACATGGGGACTCGAGTAAACCTGACCCACCAATAAGGATTCAGCTGTCCACACGGGCTGGCGACACACTTACCGCATCAATCTGTGTTCAGGTCCAGGGTTACATAATTGCAGAAGCACAAGCCATACATCGCAGGTAGGAAACCACAGAACCGTCTGCAAGGAGCAAGCAACGGTGGCCCTGTCCACCCCAGCAAATAAGAAGCATATCTGTAGCTTAAGGCCACGAATCCGTAAAAACCCCATGACTTTCTCTTCGTGCATAAACAGATGTATTTTTGATTTCAGGGAATTCTTTAGTATCGTCAATGGTGCCACATAAAACATGTCCCAAACCAAATCCCACCCGTGCTGGGCAGAGTGCGTGCACGCCATTCCTACAGCATTCCAAAGATGGAAGGTTCTTTACTTCATGTTAATTTTTCCTTTGAAATTATTTATATGTTCTATATATAAATACATATGTACATAGATATATGGGCCTCTGTGTGGCTGAACAGTATATTTTGTAAATATAAGTACTAGTCCTAATTGCAGAAAGAGCGTCAGTTTCACCTCCCCACGAGCACTTCAGATCAGTATTGTATTCATTTTATTCATAAATGGATATCTTTTTCATTGTCATATAAAGCTGGGTTTTATTTTTTTTTCCTGAAAAATAATTGCCTTTATTTTCTCTCGTTGCCTCCTTGGTTTCAGAAGAGAGTAGTTTTATTATAAATATTGTATGGACTTTGTATATTAAGAGAGGAGCTCATTTCAGATTCCTAAAGAAATAGACATTTTACTGTTATTTTGAAAGGGCATCTTTTGATTTTTTTGTTGTTGTTGTTCACTTTTGGCATATGTATATAAGTAATATTGACGGTGATATGAAAACTTTTGTTATGTGAAGATATTTAAGTCAGAAAATTGTTAAATAATATTACTTCTTTTCCAAACTGCTTTGTGTATTGTATATTTTTTTAAGAAAAAGAAAAGCCTTATTTGACTTATGCTTGTGATACTGGACTTCTTACCAATCCGGAGGTTTCCTTCCTTGAATGTCAGTGTGTAAACCTGGCTGTAGCCGCATATGCAGAATAACTGTAATTGTGCTAGAGTTTTAAAGGTTCTGCTTTTAATGCACTTTTTATTTTATAATTTTGTATTGAAATATTTTAGAAATGTTGATTAATTTTGGTGAAAAAATATCCCCAAAGTGGAAATTATTGGAATTTTAAACTTTTGTTCTTGCTGGGTTATTTATTTTGATTTTAGCATTAAATGTCATCTCAGGACATCTCTAAAAGGGGTTGTTTAATTCCTAATTGTATAGAAAGCTAGTTTGGTGAATTGTATTGGTTAATTGACTGTTTAAGGCCTTAACAGGTGAATCTAGAGCCTACTTTTATTTTGGTTAAAGAAAAAGAAAATATCAATAATTCAATTTTGTGTCTTTTCTCAATTTATTAGCAAACACAAGACATTTTATGTATTATTTCGATTTACTTCCTAATTATAAAAGCTGCTTTTTTGCAGAACATTCCTTGAAAATATAAGGTTTTGAAAAGACATAATTTTACTTGAATCTTTGTGGGGTACAGGTTGATCTTTATATTTTACTGGTTGTTTTAAAAATTCTAGAAAAGAGATTTCTAGGCCTCATGTATAACCAGGGTTTTGAGGATAAAGAACTGTATTTTTAGAACTATCTCATCATAGCATATCTGCTTTGGAATAACTATAAATAAAAGATGAAGTTAGGAAATGTGATTAATTTTTTTCGTTTGAAAATATTTAAGATAAAACAGTTTGGCATGTAAATTAATTTCAAGTTCAGATATTTTTAAGAGAAAACTTTAGTGGTATTTTCCTTTACCTCTGTGAAGTTCAGAGGCGTTTACCCCTGCAGTGTCCACTGGAAAGGCTTCAGACTTTCAAAATCAGGGCATGGCTCCGCGACAGCGAGCCGTGGGCGTCAGCACAGTGCCCTGTGCATGTGTCAGAACTGTTCCTGTTCCCTTTCATTTGCTGCTTTATTCAACGGCACCCAGTCATTGAGGAACCTTTTGAAAGTTCCTAAGTGTTTTGATCCTGCTTGTGTGCTCAAGTAACCATGAAGCACTGAAGCTGAAAGAATGAATTGCCTTTGCAAAGATACCAAACGTGAAGGTGGGGTGCAGGTACTGAGGAAGCAGGAGGCATGTAGCATGTGTGGAGTCCCACCTGCTAGATAATGCCCAAGCGGCTGCGTTTCCATAGAATGGCAATAGATGAAAATGAAGACATGTTTTCAAACATGCAGATTGAAATGCTACCCCACCCCCATCAAGCTCTACTTTTTCCCCTTTGAAAAACTTGAGGCACTTAGAAAGTATCTAAATAGAGGAAATGCTATGACATGGCATCTGACAGCTTGCAGCCAGGTCAGTGGGAGGCTCATCAAATGCCACTCTCCTCTTCCTGACAGTGTTCTGCTGGTGGGACATGAACATCAGTGCTTGTCTGGCACTTAACTAGGGGATGTTTCCTTCGTGCATATTTTCTACTCCCCTGTTGTAATATTTTAAGGAAACTTGATCTTTGAAATTATAGCTAGTGTTCTGTGTCTTCCTTTGAACTCATATCACATTTATTACAAGAGACGCATGTGTTAGCACAGCTACACAATTTTTAGAAGTAGAAGTGGATTTCTTGTCTTGCTGTGGGTTTTCCTCATTTTAGAAGAATATTTGTAACTCATTAAGATACACATTTTAACATGAAATGACCATCACACAGATTTATGTTTGGAAATATTCAAGATAAAATAGTTTGGCATGTAAATCAATTTCAAGATTTATGTACATAAGATTTTTAAAGGAAATAGGTAAGATATATAGAACTGCTTTCTAGTGTATATTAAGGCTATCTCATGCCTGCTTCTTACATTTTTTTCTGAAGCTTATTTCAGAATTAATACCGTGCCCTTCCCTGACTAAAAAAAGTTAATCCAAGGATTGATCGTTGCGAATGTATCCCTTTTCCAAGACCTACTGCATAGGAAGTAAGTGAGGCAGAGATGAGATTATGCGGCGGATACTTCTGAAGGAAGCGTTCTTTTTGTGTCACTTAATCTGTGTTCACGTAACTTAGGCACTTTGGATTTTTTAGAATGAAATTTCAAAAGCGCCTACACGCACCACCCAATTTAATGTCGTATCTGTACTTGGGGCCTCTACACCTTTCCCATATTCTAATGAAAAGATCGTACGCCAAAGGCCACTGAGCTGGCATCTTCTTCATTGTGGAGAAAGTGGGAACCACAGAGCTTTTCGTGGGCCAGATGCCCACATATTCCTAGCAGAGACATGTTCTTTGTCATGGTGTGGCTTGCCACAACATGTCCTGTTTGGTGGCTGGCCCTCTCCGAACGGATTCCCCTCCTCAGACCCCCATGCACGGATGAGCACATAGCTCACCCTCACCCTCACACACTCACCCACACACTCACCCTCACACTCACCCACACACCCTCACACTCACCCTCCCTACACAGGCATCGGGGCAGTTCTTTATATGGATGACTAACAACTAAGAAAAAATGAAGATTAGTATGAATGGCAGGAGCAACAGGCAGTCAGAAGAGATTTTTCTATTTAATCTTTTATGTGTAACACTTTACAGCATGAAGACGTATTCTATCAATATTTGTATCATAATTGACAAATTCTCAAGTGACATAGGGATTTGTTCTTGATTCACCACTAAAGAAAATTTTTAAAGTTAATTTTTTTTAATTACAGAAGAATTCTCTTTTTATCTTCACAATTGTTTCATGATCTATTTATACATTGGATGATATTTATTTAATCCAGTTTTGTATTAGAAATGGATAGTGATGCCAAAAGCCACCGTGCTGGCTTTAAAAATAATAAAAATAGTTTTTGTATTATTTTAAAACTCCTGTATATTTACTTCTTTGGGTTTTGGGTGAGTTGTCACTGTTTAAAGGCGGACACTTCCTCTAGGTCACGTTTGCCATGGCTTAACACAATAGAGCAATGCTGAGTTGGCAACATATTCAAGCCCAGAGCATTTAAATCCTGGAGGATGTCCCAGATTCCTGCTCTCTGCTTTCTCTCGTTTGAAAGGTATTAAAGTGACTTGAAATGCCGTGCGCATCCATCATAATATCAGTGTGTCTGTTTATGAGAGATGCCAGATCCTGGACTTCCCAGAAGCATCCATGGAGTTATTTTATGTCGTCGGGCTCTTTGTAAAGATATATTCATCTATTTTACTATGCCTTACATTTCCAAACTGTTAGAGAAGTTGGTAATTGAGAGAGTCATCATCCTGTTGAAACAAGAGATTTCAATATACGTTTTCTTGGCACTGAGTAGGGACTCCACGTAGTTTTGGACTGAAAAAATTAAAGTGATGTTGACTTCCTGAATTTGGCTAAGAGGGAATGGTTAAGAAATTGCTTTACTGTTCTTTTCGCTTCTTTCTTTCGTTGTAGGAGGCATATTGCTCTGATAGATTTTGAAATAGAGTGGGTGAGGGAAGCGCTTTGGATCCCACTACGATGGATCATCTCAACTATTGGCAGTGCTTTTCCAGGTGAGTTTTGCCCAGAGGCTGGACTCCCTGTGATAGCGAATAGAGTGCTGTCCCTTAAGCACAAGCAAAGGCTTGTACCTGCAAGTGTGCTGTGCGCTCTCAATGCTGCGAGGGAGGTGGCGTGGGCCCCACTCAGACGAACTCTGCCTCTGACGGCTGCCTGTCCCTGGGCCAGCCAGTCACATTCTCTAGACCTGGCTCCTCGTCCCTGGGGTTAGTTGATTGAATTTCTTTCTTTCCAGCTCTGCCTTCTACTTCTATTCTCAGTTAACCGACCACATGGTATTGGGAATCACTCTCCATGGGCCCCTTGCATTTCTTTGTGTTATATCCACATGCTCTTGTTGGGCTGTTTGTACAGAGCGCAGCCTGGGGAGATGGCGATGGCCTCTTTCTCCAGCACGAAGGGACGTTTGCTTACTGATCAGTGTAATCAAGACACTGTTGCCCTCCGTACCAAAGGCCAGGCAGGTGCACTTCAAGTGACCCCCCTGTCTTGGCCTCCTGAGCAGCTGAAAGTCCGCTCCTCAAGCTCAGGCCCCTCCGCCACCACACCACCCACTGTGTGTGCAGGCATCTCCTGGCCCACTTTGCGTCCCACTTCGGGGCTGGGGGCTCAGATGTTCAAACAAATGCTGACCCTCTGGCTACTGCTCCTGTTACTGTGACTGAAATCCCCTTTGTCACCCCGGAGCCCACGTCCTCTGCCAGCAGCCAGGAGGCTGGCAGGCTGTCCTGAAAGGAAAGTGGGGAGAACCTGCGATGCTTCATGGCTGCTGACACCGTGGTCAGCCCTGGCTCAGCCTACAATATGCCTGGAAGTTGTTAAAATAAATGTTACTGATTATTCCTCACTGCCCACAGTGCTGCCCCCATCATTGAGGACCTTCTCTTGTGACCTGGCACCTTTGAAACATTCAATCCCTTAAGGCACTACAGAAAGAATGACAGATGACACAGTGCACATCCACGGAGACGCCTCACACGCCCCTTCTACCAATTAACAGATGCTTCCCCAGTGTTGTTATTCTGGGCCAATGAAGAGAGTTTTACGTTACTATTTTAGTAATTAGAACAAAGAGATCATTGGTTACCTTGGTAACCAAGCTCTATAAGAAAAATTCTTACATTTAACGTGAGACAGCTCACTTTGATGTTATCTCAGCCAGTTTTTTAGTAGTTCTGGGTAGAGATGGACAACAACTGGCCATCTACCTTGAGATGCTCCTTTTATTTTTGAGTTAGGCTCTTACTTTGTCACCCAGGCTGGAGTGCAGATCATGGCTCACTGCAGCCTCGACCTCCTGGATTCAGTGATCCTCCTACCTCAGCCTGCCGAGTAGCTGGGACTACCGGTGCACACCCCATACCCAGCTAATTTTCATTATTTTGTTAGAGACAGTGTCTTGCTATGTTAGCCAGGCTGGTTTCAATGTCCTGACTTCAAGTGATCTCCCCGCCTTGGCCTCCTGAGCAGCTGAAAGTACAGGTGGGAGCCACTGCTCCTGGCTGAAGATACTCTTCACCATGCGCATTTTCTAGTTACCTTTCAATCATGCTTCTCAACTTTAGTAACGCTAAGTCTTTGTCCTTTCCTTTTCTTTTCTTTTCTTTTCTTCTTTTCTTTTCTTTTCTTTTCTTTTCTTTTCTTTTCTTTCTTTTCTTTTCTTTGAGACAGAGTCTTGCTCTGTTGCCCAGGCTGGAGTGCAATGGCGTCCTCTCGGCTCACTGCAACCTCCGCCTCCCGGGTTCAAGTGATTCTCCTGCCTCAGCCTCCTGAGTAGCTGGGATTACAGAACGCATCACTGCACCTGGCTAATTTTTGTATTTTTAGTACAGACGGGGTTTCACCATGTTGGCCAGGCTGGTCTTGAACTCCTGACCTCGGGTGATCTGCCCACCTCGGTCTCCCAAAGTACTGGGATTACAGGCATGAGCCGCTGTGCTCAGCCTTTTTTTTTTTTTTTAAGCAGTTTCAAGCTTACAGAAAAGCTGTAAGGCAAGAACTGAGAACTCTTCATGTGCAGGCCTCCATAGACCCCAGTCACGCGCTGCCCATGTCTGAGTGACGGTGTCTTCCTAGCACACCACACTTGCCATAGCCCGGTACTGCTTATAGCTCTGAAGTTTGCTTGCCACGGTACAGATGAAACTGTCTCCCAGGAGACCTGAAAGCTGCCCAACCTGTGTGGCGGGGACATGATCTTAAGGGCTTTTGCCACAACCTGTGGTAAAGCAGGCAGGCAGGCCGCTGACCCCTGGTGAGCTAACAGCCTGGCCACCACGTTGGAAGGTAGATTCCGACTCAGGATCATCTCTAGTTTTCACATGAACTTTAAATCAGAAGCGGGAACTTAGCTGAGAGGTGGAGGGGCCCTGGCTGGTGCTGGCGGTAGTGGAAGGAGTCACTGTTTTATGGATGCCCTCGAGTCTTGACCTGTTAGTGAGCTCCAGGAACTTGTAAGATTCTGGAGCTGGATAAACAAGCCATTTCCCGGTGGTGGGAAGTCGAGGTGAGGGGCTGTAGAAGGAGGAGCCCTGGCCTGCATCACTGAGACGAGGTTGGAGGTGCCTAGAAGGTGGATGAGTGCCGGTTGCAATCAGGCTGTTTCTGAAAAACCAGACCACTCATTTTCCTTCTACGCAGGTGCGGTCACACGAAGTTGCTCCGGCATCTTGTGCTGGAGTGAGCTGTGGTGGTTAACAAGCCACACAGCCTTGCCTGTGCTGTTGGGTCAACCTTGCCTTCATATCCTATCGTTTAGGATTTCAGTGACTATTTACTATTTACAATAGAGGAATCACAATAGAGAAATATGCCAGCGTGCTTCACTTCATATTATGTTTTTTTGGCAAAGAGGCAAGAGTACTGCAGAGTCTTGGATTTAATTATAACATCTTGCCAAATGGTGGCTTAGAAAATATTTGTTGTTGCATGAGGGAAAATATATTTCTGTTATGGATGGAACTGTGTCCTCCCACAATGTGTGTTTTGAAGCTCTCACTCCCAATGCCATTGTGTTTGGAGATGAGATAGATAGGTAGGGGCTTTAGGGAGGGAATTCAGGTTGGAGATAGGGGCTTTAAGGAGGGAATTCAGGTTCAATGAGGTCGTAAGGCCAGGGCTCTTATCCAGTAAGACTGGGGTCCTTAGATGAGAAAGAGACACCCGAGGTCCTTCTCTCTGCCGTGTGAGGATGCATCAAGAAGGCGGCCGTCTGCAAGCGAAGGAGAGGCCGCACCAGAAACCGACACCTTCATCTTGGACTTGCAGCCTCTAGAACTGAGAAAATAACTGTCTGTTGGTTAAGCCACCCAGTTTGTAGTATTCTCTTATGGCTTCCTAAGCAGACTAACAAACAAACACCCAAAATTAACTGATGGCTTCGCTGTCTTCTGTAAAAATTGCTATGAGAGAACTTTTCACTCACTGTTTTGCAGTTTCTCCCTCAGTCCCTGGTTCTTTCTTCTCACATAATCCCAATTTCAATTTATAGTTCATGGCCCAGGCAGAGTCATTCATCACGGCATCTCCTGAGCTAAACCAGCACCTGCTCTGCTCACTTCTTGACTGGCTGCTCATCATCAGCCCTCTGCAGAGATTTCATTTCCTCCGTGCCAGGTACTTCACGCACCAAGCTCAGAGGCTGCCCTATCAATTTCATACGCGTTCCCTGCCCCTACAGACGGGCAGGCCAGCTCTGAATGGCAGGGTGTGGCTGGCAGTTGGAAGCGTGATCACTACGGCTTTCTATGTTCAGTTCCACAGACCCTCACGGCCCCTCTAGCCTCTACTGACTGTGGTCCTGACAGCCTGCGCAGGCCATGGGGAAGGTCCTGACAGGCTGCGCGGGTGGTGGGGAAGGGCATCTGCGTCCATGAGGCTGGGGCTCCAGCAGCCCCTCCTCTTGGCTCTCAGCCTGGTAAGTTAATTTCCAGTCACCTTCAGGAGAAAGTAGGCGGGCCTCTTCAGGCAAGCGTTCAGTGAGCACACAAGCTCCCTGGCTCAGTTCCTATCTTGCTGTGTTTTATTTTAAAATACTCACCCAAGTATTGTACTGTCATGGTGAATGCTAGCTTATGATGTACCCTTGGTTTGCCTTTTAATGCATTTTCCACATATGTTACATTTAGACTTGCCAATGAAAAGAATACAATTTTTAAAATGTAATTATCTTTGCATGATTTTCCAAATTCCTCAGTTGGAAGGGGTCTGGGCAGAGAAGTGTAGCCAGTGAACGTGGGCTTTCTGTCTGCCACGCCTGCCAGGCGAGCTCAGGTGGCCATGCCTCCAGCCTCGGCAGTTTTTCCTGCTATTGCAATGAATGCAATCATATTCTCAAGCTTCTCACCCTGCTTATCATGCTGGAGTCTGAGGCTCTCTGACCCCCGGGAAACAGGAGCATGTAATCCTACCCTCATTCAGCATGGAAGTTCCCCTTCATAAAGGTCACAGATGCAAAGCATTTCTCACAGCTGCTGCTGAGACACGGAGGGGAACTGGTGATTCCATTAAAAGCAAAACAAAGGCTGGGTGCGGTGGCTCACGCCTGTAATCCTAGCACGTTGGGAGGCTGAGGTGGGCAGATCTGCTTGAGGTCAGGATGGGACCAGCCTGGGCAACATGGCGAGATCCCGTCTCTACAAAAAATACAAAAATTTTAGCTGGGTGTGGTGGCGTGTACCTGTAGTCCCAGCTATGTGGAAGGCTTTGGCAGGAGGATAGCTTGAGCCTGGGAGGTTAAGGCTGCAGTGAGCCAAGATTGCAGCACTGCACTCCAACCTGGGTGGCAAAGTAAGATCCTGTCTCAAAAGAAAAAGAAAAAACAAAAGAGACTTTCGTCTATCTTTTTGAAGAAAAATTCTTGTAACCAAAGGTAACTATAAGTAAAACATTGCTTCACGCTCTTTCATGCTTTCAGAGAAAAAGGTGGCAAGGGGAACACGTCCAAGACTCCTGGGTTCACATCTGCAGGGTGTGTACACTAGCCACACAGCAGAACACAGACAGACTTGGAAGCTTGTCTTCAGAGACACTAAATATTTTTTTCCTGGTGAGAGAATCAGTGCCCTAACAACTACCTCTGTTCCACTTTCTTCAGTAGCCATCGACCCTCTGATGAGGATGCCCCCTCCAACAGGCACCGCCAGGCAGCCCTGCCTGGAGACCCAGAGGCACCGAGTCACATTTGCTCTGCACACCTGGCTCTCGCTTGATGTGGGCCTGTGTGCTACAGCCCGGAACACAAAAGAAGACACCCATGCAAATACCATTAAAAGTTTATTGTTTTATTTCAATATTCAGGAACAGTGTACACTTTCCGTTCAGCCATCGTCACAGCACGTGCTGTGTGGGTGCGGCCACGTATGGATCGCAGAGCCGACCTCAGCTCAGCGACGCAGAGTGCTTCTGCTGAAAAATTTGGAGGTTTGTGTCTGGAGTTTTGTTCTTTGTAACTCTCTCATCATCGAGGCTATATATTAATAGACATGGTATTAAGCCCACACGAAACATTCAGAATTAGAATTGGATTAAGAAGACGCGTTTTGGCATCACGCTGACTACTCCTCATCTCCGTCCTCGGGGAGGGTGATGCCAGCGTGGGACTCTTTGGAAGGCCTATCAATCACAGGTGCGCTAAAATCAAAAGGTGGGTCAGTAGGTTAGGGAGGGAGGCGCGAAAGGAGATGCCAGCGGGTGTTAAGAAGGATATGGTCAGAAGAGCTCTTTGTCTCCATCCACGGGGCCGTCTGCTCAGCCCGTGTGTCTCGGTGAGTAATTCGGGAGCAGGTGCACGCCTGTGCCTACTCGCTACCACGCGTCTTCTGGGAGGAAGTGAATGAGCCGGTTATCTTCTCAGGGAGGGTTAGTGCTGGCCACTGTGCACTGCCGCTGCCAGCACGCCCGGTCACAGCCAGTGTCTATGGGCGACTGGCGCGGCTGCGAGGCTGTCTAGAGGACTCCTACCCTTCTGCTCTGAGTGCGCAAGTCTTCCTGGACTCTCCGGCTGTGGGCTGTGGTTTGGAAACGAGGTTGTTCATAGAGGCTGCTCTGGGGCCACCATGCAGGGCAACGGTGACGTCCAGAGGCCACCTGCTTGACATCTCCATCACCAAATCTCCAGGAAGACCCTGTTTCCTATGTGAGGCCATTGCCCAGCCCACGTTTGCCTCCTTTTCCTCCCTCTGCCACACGCGAATTCAGCTAATTGGGGTGTGTGGGCAGCCACGGCCTGGGGAGGTGGCCCCCTCTCTGTGCTGCCCCACGTTGGACTCTAACAGCTGCCCAGCCCGCATGTCACATACCAAAAGCTCCCACATGTAGTAAGCCACTCCTTGACTGTCTAATCCTGTTAGGAAAAATGAAGTCTACTTTAGGAGGTGAGAGAAGGACAGGAAAAAAAAACAAAGGAAGCTTGGATGTCAACAGTCCTCTCTGCCGCCCACGTCCTCTCTGTCTCTGCAGCTGTGTGCCTCCATGGCAGTGACCAGCAAAAGCGCAAGGGTGCCGCAGCCACGGCGAAAAGAAAGTCCAAGGGTGGAGGGGTGAACGTGGAGGGACGTCTGTGCACCTGGCCCCCTGAAGACCCACGTGCGTCTGGGGGCACATTGCGGGGGAAGGAACGTGATCTTCACACAGAAAGGGACAGTTTTAACCGTTTTCTGTTTTCATGTTCTCATTTAACTGTTGGCCGGAAATTGCCGGTAGGCTGCCGTGGCCTGACCCTACTACGTGCACAACTCCGCAGGCATTAGGGGAGGGGTCATCTGCTCTAATTAGGTAACAGGGGCAAGTGGGATTAAAGTTTTAAGGCAGTTATATTAAGAAGCTGAGGACAGGATTCCGGAACCAGGTGGGTTTTCAGCGTCTAGCCATGGGTGATCCAGAGCGACTATCTCTTCCTCCCTGAAAAGGAAGAGAGAGGAGTTAGGACGAGAGTGCCGCAGGGTCCTCCCACACCAGCATCCCCTCTTCTGTGGTCCCGGGTGGATGCTGAGCCATTGGGTGTCTCTCTCATCTGCTAATAGAAATGGCACCCCGGAGAGCTGGTCTTTTCATTCCATTTCTCCCGACCTCCCTCAGCAAATGCTAATTGAATTTCCAGTTCTGTGAGAGAGAACTGGAATCGGATTCCCAGGCCCCAGGGAGTGGTGCCTGGCATAACCACTGCTCTGCAAAACAACGCTGCACTTCTGTGGGTGAAAGTGCAGCCGCTCCATTGCTTTGCTTTGAATGAGCACTTTTTCTCGTCAGCTAGAGGTGCCAGGGCAGCCGAGGGGAACTGCCAGCGACAACAGGAGCAACTTCTTTTTCGGCGGGACCCTAGCACACCCCTTGCTACACGCGCCAGCAAAGAGCAAAGCCACGTGTCCATCCCTGGGGACGTCCCTCCTATGTGCCATCTCATCTGCCACACCAGACAAATCAAATGCACAGAGAGCTTTGTCTGCAAACTTTGACTTGAAGGGGTCTTAAAACCATGCATTTACACGTTTGGGGGACAAATAATTTCGATGTTTAAAAGAGAGTTGGCAGCTAATTGAGATGGTGCACAGGTGTGCTGTGGCCCACGGTGTGGAGGTAGCCAGGCGTGGCCATCCCTCTAGAAAGAGGAATGCGTTGGTCACTCAGAATGTCACTTAGATCGACGAAGCAGAACTGCACTTTTTTTGCATTCAAATTTTTATTCAAAGTTTAGTCTCTCTCCTTGGGTTTCCCCTCTTTTATGAAATGATCAATTTTGGCGAAGAGCCCCCAGAAAGCAAGATAGAAAAGAAATATGCTCTTTACCGTGGCCGATCAGCAACGAACCAACACTGTCCTCATCTAATTCTACGTCTTCCACACTGCCCAGTAACACAAATAACCAGAGCGCAGACGCCAAGAATCCTTCCAAGTAACGCAGCTAACAGACCAAGGTGACAGTTCTGACTTCTTGGGGGGTTTTCCAAGTACATACGTAGCATTATAAACAAGCCTCTATGTTGTGCTTACACAACTCACTCAAGGGATTTTTGTTTTCACAAGTGAAAACGTTTATGAAATGCTAGCCTGCGAAGCCGCTTCAGGAACCATCTAGTGAGATTTCCCTCCCAAGACAGGCAGCTTTCTCACATACCGTGGAGGCCTCCTGCCGGCCTGGGGACTGACAGGTGCAGGGCCCTGCCCCTCGAGGGCCAGCCTCTCCCTCGGGAGCGTGGGTTTTTCCTGTTTGATCCTGGCTTAACTTGAACATCTCTGGCATTGGAGCTGCCCTCTGGAGTAGCCCAGAAGTTGGCACTCACCTCACCTTTTGCTGCATTTCCAAGAGATCAGCCTTTGGACTTCCTGGAAAGTGGTAGAACCACTGTCCTATGAAACAAAGTGCTTCTGTGCTGAAATGGAGTAAGTTCCCTGCAGCCTCTGGCAAGGTAACCTACCGAGGTACAATCTTAACTTTCTTGATGCCCCCTTTTGACATTGAAAATGGTGGGTGTATTGGTTTTACTTTTTATCATTGAAACTACAATTTGTTGAGCACTGACCATGCAGGAAACCCGTTTTTCCCCGTTTTCTCTTTTGTGCTCACAGCACCTCCTGGAGTAGGTGTTCCTATCATCCTCTCTTTATAGCTCAGGAGCCAAAGCTCAGCCAGCCCGAAGGAGCCAGGATTAGAGCCTGCATGGATGCAACAGTCACGCTTCTCTCTATTACGTGTCTTGCAACTTGGAGTCACATGATCTCAGCATCTGATCCACCCTGGGCTCAGGTCAGTATAAGGCTGAACTCACAAGGTGAGGGTTAGACTGACCTCCTCTCTCAGGACAGGAAAAGAACAGAGCCTACTGCAAAAGGCAGATACTCTTGCCTCCACTTTGACATCTCACAACTCCACAGCAACACTACAGGTGGGAAAACATTCACATGTATGTTCGTGGAAACTAATGCACATGGAAACAGGATGCTCCTATGATGTTCTGATGTAGTTTCCGAGTGATGGGGGGACATGCATAGTTTTTTCTACCCAGTTCCTACCGACAGCGCTAGACTTCCAGATTTGAGTGTTTTCCTCTCACTACTGATTTCCAACAGCACCAAAAAGAACAGGAAGGAAAGATGGTAAAATGATGTTAAATGCTATGAAGTCCCTGTCCTCTCCATCTGCCTGCCTCTAGACCCCCTCATTTCTGGGGGAGCTGATTTATTAATCTATTGGAAGTGCTCCAAGTCAACTAATTCAGCCATATGGCCATAGTAGGCCAGTTATGAACTTTTTATGCAGTAAAATTTAATTACAACCATATGATTTGAAATTTGCTTTGATACATAGAAGCTTCCCTTGAACTCTACAGAAATTAAATAATTTTTAAAAGCTTCTTACAAAAAAGTTCAGGGAAAATACTGAACTTATTTCAGGAAACACATGTGTATAGTACACTGGTTATATTTGCACACAGTAAATGTGCAGATCTAAATGCAGCTTTCTGTTCCTCAGGGTGGTCTTGGTAAGCTCTGGCCTTGCAAGCATCTTTGAGTGACTGGTTGTAAGCCTTGCATATATTGCAAGGACAATATTTGCTAAATGGGGCCCCTCACTCATCTGGGCCCTCCCATCAACTCTGAGCCAGCACTCAGCTCTCCCGGTGTGTCTAACAGTCCTTAAGCTGGTAGTGGAGTAATTAGTTTTCCAGATGGGATGAATCCGTGTTTCCCAGGTGAGCACGGTGTCTGCAAAATCATCACAACTAGCAACACCTAGTTCGCCCTTGGACATTCTGACTCAGTGAGGCTGTGGCGGAGCGCAGATAGGGGTCTGGGCGTGCATCCCAGGCGATTCAGAGGCAGGTGACGTGCTGGCCAGGTGGGGCGGGGCCGTCCTGACTGCAGTGCTGGGTTCAGACACTGCTCCCCGGGGAGCCTCATCTCCGCCCTCTTGTGGCCACATCCCAGAACTGCGGCAATGTACAGCATGATGGCCCTGAGACTTGAATATTTGGAGAATTTTTTTCTTAACTCAGAATTTACGTTGAGGAGTGGATCCTGCCTACCACTTCATCTGACATAAAGCTGCTTACTTAGCAGCTCAGTTACTCCCTGCTCACTTCACATATTAAAAGCTTCTCCTAAGACCGGCTATCCTTAAGAGCAGGGGCTGTGCCCTGAATTGCCTGTTGTCCACAGAACCTCCCAGAACCTCCCAGAATCGAGGCTCACGGCAGAGGTTCTGCACTCACCAAGGACGCGGGGGGACCATGTCTGTGCTCATGTGGATCCCCGCTGCTGGGCAGAGCACACCACACATCCAGACTCAACAAAATACATGGAGTCAAAGGTCAGGTGACTGAATCAATGAGTATGTTACACACCAAGAAAGACCCCTCCTCTCTGCACCCCGGGGAGCAGCCCCAGAAGCCTGGTCTCCTCCAGGATGAAAATGCAAACGCAGGTGCCTGGGGGCTCCCAGAGCCTTTGGCTTCACGGTTCCCTCCCGGCCCTGCCTGGAGCTTCATGTGCCTCCCCTTTTGCTTAATGAGAGCCGCTGTCTAAGAGTTAAGGGTTTTCTGGGTGACGTTTAACAATAATAAAGGTGACTGCTTATCTAAGGAATCCGAGCCGCGCACCTGCCAGCCGCGTTTTGTGTTTGTCACTACCTTTTACTTTCACAGCGATTTTGTGAGCTGAGTGGGCGGGTTACCTCCATTTTACAGATGAGAAAACCAAGTCTCAGAGACAGAGCTTATAAACAGCGGGCCTGGCATTCGTCCTGGGTCTGGTTCCAGGTCCTCATGAGCCGACGGGACACTCCCCACTCCCTGGAGGTCTCCTGGGCATTCCCTCCCGTGGCTCCAGGGATCTCCCCCCGACACCCACGTCTGCTTGACTCCTGCTTTAGCTCCCTGAGGGCCCCAACCCCTGGGCATGAGCAAGTTGGACTCCAGCTGGGCCCTGCCCCAGAGTCAAGGTCAGTCGCCTGCTCCAGGGCCCCTGAACCAGCCCAGGCGCAGCCCTTCCTCAAGCACCTCCGGCTTCACATGCATCTCGGAGGAAATCCACGCGTAAATGCGGGTGGGCAATGCCACCTGAGCCCCTGCACGCCTGCTGGGACAGAGCACGTCCAGGGTACAGTGCGGCTGAGCCAGAGGCGGCAGCCACCCTTGTACTCAGCTTAGTTGGGGATTCTGGGAGCCCTTAGTCCCCGCTCAGTGGAGCTGAGCAGAGGGTACCTTACCAGCTTAAAAATTTTGGAAAGCGTGCCCTGGGCATCGACTCCCTTGAATCCCTTGTGAGCCGATTTATAGTCGGACGCTCTGCCTCCGTAGCCAAATCCTGGTCTCTGGCCTTCGGCCCCCTGCAAGAGAAGACCACGGAGCTCAACCTCCACCCGCGGTGCTGGGCACGCTGCTTGAGCCACTGGGAGCTGCCACCAGGGCCCCGGGGAAGGGCCCAGGCCCCGGACTGGACTGGTGAGTGGTTCAGGAGCCACGGGCCAGCACCACGCTGAGGGGGTGGGGGCGGGAGAGGCTGCTCCCCCAGGTCTACCAGGGTGTTGGCCGCAGAGAGAGGAGGGCTCTGGTTTGGGCGGAGGCTCTCTCATGAGATATGCGGCCCAACCACACATATTTTAAGGATCTAAGTCGTTTAGGGAACAGTTGCTTACCTTCACGCTGTGGGGTGTTCAAGAGAAGATTAGCAAACATCAAGCAAATCAAGGTAAGGAGGCTCCTGCCTACACGGGTTTGGAGGACTCGGACCCTGGGGGGCTGTGCGCTGTGTAGGTGCCGGTCCCCGGAGGCCCCGGCCTGCGCCTTTGCTGGGGGCTCCTTTTGCTGATTGATTTGCACAGATTGGATTCTGGTCACATGTGCCCTGTGGTTCTAGGATCTGTCTGGGAGATCAAGAGTCCTCGGCCTTAGTAAAATGTCGAGCCTCGTATCTTTTATAAGGTTTTGAGACAAAATCCTGAGCTCTCTCCCAGGGTGAGCAGGAATCAGTCTCCCTTGGCCATAGCTCGGACTGGGAGCAACAGGAGGCCGGGGCTGCTGAGCCGGACAGAGGGAGGAGGCAGGCCTGGCTGGCACGGGGGGCGGCCGCATCCTGGCAGCAGCGGGACAGCGTCTCAGCTCCCCCACCTCCCAGTCCCCTAGCACCTTTCTAGCTCATCCGGCTGTGTGGCCTTGGGCAAGGGCAGGAACCTCTCTGAGCTTCAGTTTCCTCATCTACGCAATGGGGCTGTGCGAGAACACAAGCCGTTCATGGAGATGCCACTCCTCAGGTGGAGGCTGCCAGCTCTGGGCTTTGGTGCCAGCTGTCATTTATGGAAGAGCAGGCCGCCCTGCCCTGGCCTCATCAGCCCCAGCAGCCCCTCTGGCTTCCTCATGGGCCGTGTGACCGCAGGGGCTTCCTGACACACATGGGTGCGAGTGTCCCAGGACCAGCCTCTACTTGCTACTGTGCTGTCTTCTCGAGTGGGAACTCCACTGCAAACATGGGGAGGAAGGGAAGGAGCTCGCTGTGGGAGTCTGGGCGCGGTGGACGTTAACAATGGGGGGCGAAGTGTCCTCCCACGGTGGGTGCACTGTCTGTGGGAAGGCTGACCACGCTGTTAGCTTTTCAGGGATCTTGGTTGGCCTCCTGAGTCTCTACTCAATGGACAGGGTCCAGACTGCACTTTACATTTTGCCAACAAGAAATGGGAGACTGTCCTTGAGCCCTCTCCTGAAGACTTGAGGGAACCAAACCAGACTGTCCCTCCTCTATCAGCCTGCAGCCTTTCTTCCATTTCATTAAAGTGTTTTAGGACAGGGAGGACCTTGACCAACCTAGCCCATCTCTTATTTAGAGGTGAGGAAGATGACACCAGAGGCCTCAAGGCTTCCAGAGCACCTGGCTGCACCCTCAGCCTCTGCTGGGGGCTTCCCACCATACAAGCTACTTGCACAGTTTTCTTTTCATTCAGCCTGTGCTTGGGAGTGAGCATGGCCACTCAGAACCAGGCAGCTGCTTTCGTGTGAACAGTTGATTCGGGGGCTATCCAGTGAGGTGAGGGACGGGATGTGTGGCAAGAAGGTCTAAGCACTGCACACGAGGGGACAGCCAGCCTCGCTCTTGCGTCCTAGAGGTTTCCAGGTTCATGCTCACTCCCTGATGGCAGAGGGCAGGTTGCCAGCCTGGCTCTACATGGCAGAAAGCCACTTCCCTGCAAGCGTTAAGTCCTTCTGTCTTACTCTATTGCTTTTCTCCAAAAATAAAGCATTTTTGAGAGCTAAATCCGGGGATTGACTTTCAGATTAACAATCTGCGCGGCCTTTCCTCCTTTCCAATCCTTAGTCATGTTTATCTTTGGGGAACCTAGAATGTACCAGGAAACACACAACACAGCTTAGAAAGAGAAAGTGGGGGCTCTCTGGAACTCCAGACAAGGAGAGAGTCCTGCGGCTCTGGGAAACAGACAAGCAGACAAAATGCAGAGAAGGATTTTGCTTTGGAAAAAAGAGAAATTCAACAGACATTAGTAGGACCCAAAAGGGAGAGATGCAGGGAGGAATGCAAGGGTCTTTCTTGTTAGCTGCTGGGGCAGAACGGCCTGTGTGCAACCCCCCATCGCTCCACATTCAGGGAGGATCCGGCACGACGGCCCCAAAGTCCACTCCTAGAAAATTAAGAGCAGATAAAGCAGTAGCTAAAATAAGATTTCTGGGTCAAAAATGAATTTCATTCTTCTATCATCTTTGTCTCCTGCTGGCATAGAAAATAAAAAATTAATTGTGAGTACTAGTCCATGTACATTTGCTACATGATTGTCATCGTTTTGCAAATTCATTAGGTCAGAAAAAGCAAGTCAAATATGCATTAATGGAAAACGTTTCGGTAAATATCTTAGTTCATAATTCAGTGTAATCATGTGTGGGACTGATCTGGGATCCTCATGGTCTCTCAAGTACCCTGCCCCTTCCTCCCTCTCTTCCTTCCTCTTCCCCACCTTCTGTTTTCTTTCCCTGTTCTTTCTTCCTGTTCTTTCTCCTTGTTGTTTTTCTTTTAAAATGTATTCATTCATTTATATGATGCTTATTAATTGAGCAGAAAGTGTAGGTAGGCTCTGTTCTAGCGTATGAGAGCATTGCAGTTTCGGAGACAGACACAACCTATCTACAATACGTTGGTGGTTATTCCTCCATTTTATTCTAAAATTATAACTTTTATACAGTAAGAATCATATCTGGTATTTGCTAGTAACTAAAGTCTGTAAGTTTGGTTAGAATATAATGATTGGCATTTTAATTTGGCTCAGACACCAAATTTTTTCACTAGAAAGTTCAAATTGGCCATTTTAAACCTTCCTTGAAAGTTTGCTTTCAGTATTAACCAGCCTAAAATTCCTAAGGAAGATTTTCTGGATGGCTTGATATCTATGTTTTAATTATTATTTAAACACATACAAAACAAAAATCTTTGGATTAATGAGGTTATTATAAATCGAGCAACTCTATTTAGCCTCTTTTTCTGTTCATCAGCAGAATCATTTTCCCAGTGTCAGCATCTGGGGTCACTGAGACGGGCCAGCCAGTCCCACTTCCACATGCGGGTTCCTGGGGCTTCTCGCACTGGTTGTGTTGGAGGAAGTTAAACATTTTCTCGGACGTGGTGTTGCTCCCTCCCTGGGAGGGAGACCAGTCACGTCGCCTGGGAACCCTCTGGGAGAAGAGGATCTGGCCTTGCAGGGCTGGGTCCCCGGCACAGAAGCAAGAGACCAGACCTTCCGGAAGGGAAGACCACGTTTCATTTCCCCAGTGGAAGACAAGGCGGCCCGATCCCAGCTGTGGGCAGAGAGGTCTCGAGAGGAGAGAAAAGGAGGCCAGGAAGCAACCGAAACAGAGCAGAACACAAAAGTTGCGGGGCTGTGAGGACTGGGACGGAAGAGGAAGCCGATGGAAGTGCGTTCGTCACCTACCCAGCTAAATCTGCTCAGGGACAGTCCTCTCCCCTGCATGAGGAAGACAGAGAAATAATGACATGGTGGTCAGTGAAGGGAAAGTCCTTTCAATCAACAGGAAACACAGTCAAAGCACAGTGGAGCTGAGGTGGTAAAAACAGGTTCCACCCGGAGCTCCGAGGGGGGCCGCAGGCTCAGGGCCACAGCGGCTGTGCAGGTGCGGGAGGGACAGGAGGGGTGCATGGATCTGCCGACCTGTTCTACTTGGGAGCTGCCTGGCAACACGTTTTGGGATGGATTCTGGTAGCTCGGAGCCTAACTCTCTCTTTGGTACATTATGGGATTTTAGAGAAGGTCTATCAGAAAAGTGATGATCAATCAAAACATTCCAAGGTCTTACCTTTCCCTGCGACGGGGGTGGTGTGCGAGGCGTCACCTGGAAAGACACAGAGAACCGTGGGCTGCACTGGGAGCCCTGTGCCGCCGTCCATTTCCTAACGGGCTCCTGCCTGCTGAGGGTGGCTAGCATCCATCAGCTGCCAGAAGCACCCGGGTGCCCAGCCTCCCCACTTCTGTCCTAGTTGGTGAAGAAGTATAGACCTGAGATTGAAAATATTCTAGATGATGCAGATCTCCCAGAGCACTCAGGAAGTGTTTCAGAGGATGGAAAACACCTCCCAGAGGCTCCGTAGCTGGGGAATGGGCCCATCTTGGGACACTGAGGGAGGCGGCGGACTTTGCTTCACCGTGAGCCCTTTCCGGGGCTAGGAGTAGCGGGCCCTCTGACATTCAGAGCTTCCAAGGGGATGTCCCCAGGTCTGCAGCTCCTAAGTGCACTTATCGAATACGAGCATAAAATGTCTGCTGCACTGAGATCTTGGAATTAGAAGCCTGTGGTTTTGTTCTTGTTTTTAATCGTCTTCGTTTTGCATGGCACTTTTCGGTTTACAGAAAAACTGTGCAGAAATTAGTTTCCACATACCCCGAACAGTTTCCCTTATTAGCAACACTGCCTTAGGGCTCTCTCGGTGCTGTGCACGCTGTGGGTTTGGACAAGTGCGTGGTCTTCAGTCACCATGGCAGCCTCGACAGAGCGGTTTCGCTGCCCGAAAAATGCCCTAAAAATGCCCTGTGCTCTCTCTGCTGCCCCCTCCGCTCCCAGCCCATGGCAAGCACTCTCCATAGGTTGCAAAGCCTGTGTTTTTAGGCTAAGCGTTACATGGGAGCCTAATCTCAAGAGAAGTGAGCTCTCTGGAGAACGCACGGAGCGCACGGTGCAATCCGTGGCAGATACAGTCGGGAAGCGCTTGCCTGGAACTCGCGATCAGGTGCGAGGGGGGAGTTCCCCGGCCGGCCTCACCCTGATGATGACCCCGGTGCCACCCCCGAGCGTACGAACGTCCTGTGTGGATGACAGCAGTGGCCAGCACCCCTCCTCCCCCTCACAGTTGCTACCTCTTCCCATCGATCGTCACTTACAATGTTCTTGAAGAAGTGGACTACGGGGTTTTCATCTTGGGTCCGGCCGTGTGACTTCTGGGGCAGGGAGCCGTAGTGAGCAGTTCTTGCCGGGTGGTGTGAGTCCTGAAACACAGAGGCGCGGTGACCTCAGGACAAGTCCACAGTCCCTGCGGCTTGTCCTCCTCAGGGAAGCTGGATCTCTCCTCCTTTGTAATCTGGATTTTTTTTTTTTTTAACAGTCAGGAATACTTTATTAAGGACTATTGTGATAGATGGTATCTAGACTATCACAATGGGGAGAGAGATGGGCTTCAACTCCACGAACAGTAAGAACAAGTGGAGATTTGTAGCAAAGCAGCAGGTGAGGATGGGGTTGGGAGGTGAAGAGTTAGAGGGGTAGGAAGGTGGGATGGTGTGCATTGCTCGGTGGGTGGAAAATTACTAAGAAGAGACATAAAGGGTAGGGAGGATTCTTGCTAAACTGGCCTAATATGATTCTTGCAGAAGGCAGGCCAAGATGATCCTATATCACTCAGGGGATGGTGAGGGATGAGGGATTTGATCAGATTTGGAGGGTGATCATATATCAAGATTGGGAAGATCCTGTCTAAACTAGCTTAGCAGGATTCTTGGTAAAACTGGACTAGGCAGGCTTGAGGACAAGGCCCATGGAGGAGGCTTAGTTGAAAAGAGGGCTTAGAAGAGCCTGTCTAAAGTTCAGTCAAGGAGAGTGTCTTTGTCACCTTTTAAACTTTGTCTATGCAAATTAGGGTGTGTGTGTGCTTGTTTGTGTGTGCGTGTAGGATGGTAGGTTGACAGGTGTACAACTAGTGATCTGGATTTTTTAAGGGCTTCTACTAGGAAGCCACAGATGAGCCACCAGACACACCTGGGGCAGCTACGGGCTGGCAGCAGCGGGTTTGGGTGTGCGACTTGCTGGGGAGAGATTTCTATCACCGACTCAGTGTGCGGCTCTCCTGAAGGTGAACAAGCAAATAGAGGGGAAGTGACGGTAATTCAAGGGGGATTCCATCTGAGATAGGGTCAGGTTGGGCAAAGCACTGAGAGAAAAATATTACTTATCCCCAGGCTTCTGGGCTGAATACAGGAAAATGCTCGGGAAATACACACAGAAAAACACACAACAGCATGAGGCAGGCAGCTCATGGGCTTTGACGCGGCTGCATAACATGAGCTGGTCTCTGCTTCTCAAAGTAAGTGTCTCACGCCACACTGACACCGGGCTGATTTGGGAATATCACTTCCACATCTCGAGTAAGAGGAAGCGGAGAGGGAAGAATGGCTGGGCATGAGTGCCCAGGGCCAGCTGGTAATCAACAGAACCAGAACACTCCAGGTCACTAGAGATCGCACAGAAGATACAGAGTGGTAAGCACTGCGAGAGGTTAGCTCACAGTGGAGGGAAGGGAAAAGCCATGAGCGCCCGGGGGCAGGGGAACACAGGGGACATGGGGGCAGGTGACACAGGGGACATAGGCGACGCAGGGGATGCTGCGGCTTTTGCAGACTTCATGCATTGTCTGCTCGGCTCTCAGCTCAACTGCAAAGGCCCAACAGCGGTGAATGCGCACCAGGCAAGAGGGCTGATTGTGAGTTCTCAGAAAAGCAAAGGAAAGGGACTCGGGGGAGCTTGCGAGATTGATTTTGTCAGTTTTCCCCTCGCTTTCTCACTGCTGCTCCCAGATGCTACTTGTTCAGAAATAGCCTGCATGTAAAGAGCCCACACCTCAGGCAGGAATGAATTTCTGGAGGTCAGAGGAGCTCTGGCCCCAGGCATGCTGGCTGCGCCCCGTCGACACAGAACGCAGCGGAAGCAAATCAGTTAAATGCACGGAAGTCAATTGAAGTATTTCCCTCCAGTCTGTCAGCTCTATGCACATTGATTGGGAGGACCCCTTGTTGTTCAGAAGACAGTTTTGCCACCAAAGGCCTAACTCGCCCTGAAAAGTGCGCTTTTCTGGGATTTATGGTAGTGCACGGAATGGTGGAATTCAGTGGGTGACAACTGCATGCTGCAGCCACAAAGGACAATGTTTGCAGAGTGTGCTGCGTTTCGCCCAGCACCGACATTGTTCACCTCTGTGTCTGAGCCCAGACGGGGGTCTCCACACGGCACACATCAGGTCTGAAGTTTTGCTGGCACTGGACTCTTTCCTCTGCCCTCCTTCCCTACTCGATCCTCTTCAAAGCAGCGGTTCCCAACCTTTTTGGCACCAGGGATGGGTTTTGTGGAAGACAGTTTTTCCATGGATGGGGGTGGGTAGGGGAACGTTTTTGGGATGAAACTGTTCCACCTCAGATCATCAGGCATTAGATTCCCATAAGGAGTGCACAACCTCGATCCCTCGAACATGCCATTCCCAGTAGGGTTTGCTCTCCTATAGGAATCTGGTGCCGCTGGCCTGACAGGAGGCAGAGCTCAGGAGATAATCTCACTCGCCCGCTGCTCACCTCCTGCTGTGCACCTCGGTTTCTAACAGGCCACAGAGCGGTACCGGTCCAGGGCCTGGGGGCTGGGGACCCCTTCTTTAAACGTTTCTTGCCCTCACCCCCAGACTACTAACAGCTCCCCTGCTGCCTGTGAGGCTCCCTGCCCTGCCCACCCTTCAGGGTGAAGCCAAAGCTCTTTGTCCCCTGGGCCCTAACGTGGTGAGGCTTCCTGTCCACCTTCCCAGCATTCAGCACCCAGAGCAGAGCAAGCTTCGGGAAACAGAAGCAACATGGATGTCCCTCTCCTTCCAGTGTCCTGTGGCCGCCCTTGCCTGCAGCAGGAGCCCTGTTATTCTGGGTGCTTCTGAGGGCCCTTCCCTCTGGCTGCAGCCCTGCCAGGAGCCAGAGCCCCAGCCCCAGCTCTCCTCCCACTTGCCCTGGCTGCTGAGCATCCATCCCCTGCCCTGGGCTGTGCCCCTATGCCCTGGCCCCGACCATCTTCCATGTGGATGGGCTGTGCATCCTCTGCCCTGGGCCTTGTGCAGGGTCCTTTCTGTCCACAAGGCCCTTCCTTCTCCCATCTGTCTGAAACCTCCGCAGGGCCCAGGGCAAAGGCATCTCCCATGCATAGGGCCTACTCAGCACTGCGAGCTCTGTTTTCTGCACCCCTTGCTCGTGGCCTCCCCTGTGACAGAGTTGCAGGCACAGCAGGGCGTAACCATGAGCTGCTTGTCCTTCTCTGCACTGGGCCTCATTACTTCCCAACTAAATGCCAGGGGCCAGGCATGGTCCACGTTCTGAAAATACCACAAAAGTGAAGCAGACAAAATTCCTGCCTGAGAGGTTTTGAATGCATGAGGAATGAAAGAGGGATCCCATTTTGGCTGGGTGTGGTGGCTCGTGCCTGTAATCCTAGCACTTTGGGAGGCCGAGGCGGGCAGATTGCCTGAGGTCAGGAGTTCGAGACCACCCTGGGCAATATGGTGAAACCCCTCTCTACTAAAATACAAAAAATTAGCCAGGCTTGGCGTCGTGTGCCTATAGTCCCAGCTTCAGGGGGCTGAGGCAGGAGAATTGCTTGAACCTCTGAGGCGGAGGTTGCAGTGAGCTGAGATTGCACCACTGCACTTCAGCCTGGGCGACAGAGCGAGACTTTGTCTCCAAAAAAAAAAAAAAAAAACAAAAGATCCCATTTTATCCCTTGGATTTCTTAGTAATCAGCAACTCCATATTTTCCTAGTTGTTTTTCCTATTTTGTGCCCTCGTTGGTTAACGATTCTCATTCCTGATGAGACTGTCAACCTCCCTCAGGCACAGAGCGCAGCTCCCATACTCTTCACAGAAGGCCACTGGCGCTCTGCCTGTGGCCGGCGCTTCATGGCGGGTACCCCTCTGTTTACTGACACCTCCACCTTCTCACACACAGAGGAGTGGAGTTTGCACGCTCAGTTTCCTCCCAGGCAGGTGCCGTGGGCCTTTGAACGTGAGGATGTCAGAAGGGCCAGGAACATCGGAGTCCTAGTAGAAATCCCTGATTCTTCATATTCCAACTCATTCTGTCTATGAATGCTGCAAGAACTCAAGTAATTCTCTGATTCTCCTTGTGTCATGTAATATTTTATCGAATGCTTCTCTGCGTTCAGTGACCAGTTGTATTTAGTCACCACTAACCAGCCTTGTACGTTCTTCTCCTCCATGAGAGGGGGTGTGAAATCGTGAATCAAAAAACAAAATGGAAGAGACGGGAAACTCTTTAAACTGTAAGACGTACATCTTTAAGTGCTGTGTCTACCAGACGAAGTTACTTATTAGCTCCTACTCCAGTGGCCTGAAATCACTGAAACAGCTCACAGTCCAGGGCAAGCCACACCGCCTCGGTGTTTGGATAGCATTTCTCCATTTCTCTACATGCTGAACTTTGGTTTTTGAGTCACATAAACATTTCTGGCCTTTAAATCACTCATCCTGTGATTAAACTAGAAAAATGACTTAAACTTTTTAAGTTTCTAAAGAAAAAACTTAGGGTTAGGTTAGGTTTCTAAAGAAATGAATGCTCAGTCACGCTATGCAGATCTCAGAGGATTTTACAACTTACCATGCTGTCAGAGATTCAACGGAGCATTACATAGATAATGCTTCACATGTGAATTATGAATACTTGCTTTGAATGATAAAAGAAAAATGATATATTTTTGAAGGTGACTGTTATAATGAATATATTGATCACTACACTGGTGAGGAAAAGGTAGTTTAAATCTTTTAAGGTACACATGATGTTGGTAGGTTTTATTTGAGCTCTTGGAGCTATTATCGGGGGTCAGAAATGTCTATGAAAAAGGCAGTTGGTTTATTGGTGGTCCTCATACAGAACAAAGAATGCAGTGAGCAGCAACTGTTTGTTGAATTAACATGTAGGCTGTTTAGTTCACTTTTAATACAGAACTGACACTGGTCTTCAGTGAATGGAATAATTTTCATAGGATCATACACATTTTTTGGTTATAGATGCATTGAAGAGTGACTGAACTAGGGCTTTGACTTGGGCTTTTAGCCATAAATCATCAGTTGCCTAGATAATTTGAGGCAGTCTTATATCTGTATTGTTATACCATAGTTGTAATGACCTATCACTAAAAGGACATTTAGTCAATTATATATCTACATCCAAGTAATGAACAATTAAAAAACATTAAAAATTATTACATATAATAGCATCAAGGAAACAAAATATTAGGTATACATTTAGCAAAAATGTACAGAACTTTAAAGCTAACACTAGAAAATGCTGGTGGAAGAAATCAAAGTGAACTTATAGAGAGACATACTATGTTCATGAATTAGAAGACTCAACATAGTAAAACTGTTGATTCTTTCCCCAAATCGATCTACAGGTTTAATGAAATTCCAAATCAAATTCCAGCAAAGTTTTGTTTAGCTAGAGACAGGTGGATTCTAAAACTGTATGGAAATCCGAGGGAGCAAAAATAGCCAAACAATTGTGAAAAGGACACATAAAGTGAGAAAAACACATTACCTGGTTCTAAGATTGACTATGCAGCCATGGTAACTGAAGACCTGTGGTGCTAGAGGAAGGACAGGCACCTAGATTAATGGACAGAATGGAGTCCAGAGATAGACTCACCCAAATCTGACCAGCCGATTCCTGGCAAAGATCATTCAATGGAAAACACTGTCTTCTCAACAAACAGCATTGAAGCAATTGAACATCCATATGTTAAAAAAAACAACGACCACGAAAAACCACTTTAACCCAATCCACACCTTACACAAGATTTAACTCAAAATAGATCATAGATCGTTATCTATGATGTAAAACTATAAAATTTTAGAAGCAGCCATAGGAGAAAAACCTTCATGACCTGTGAGTAGACAAGTTCTTAGACCTGACACCAAAACATCATCTATAAAAGGAAAAAATGGATAAATTGGACCTCATCAAAGTTTCAAAACTTTTGTTTTACAAAAGACACCATCAAGAGAAGAAAAAGACAAGCTACAGACAGGGAGAAAATATTTGCAAATTACGTATCTGACAAAGGACTTGAAAGCAGAATCTGTAAAGGGCTCTCAAGACTCAACCAGAAGAAAACAAACAATTTGGTTTAAAAATGGACTAAACCCTTGAATAAACACTTCAGCAAAGAGGACGTAGGGAGGGTGAATAAGCAGATGAAAAGATGTTCAGCATCATCATTAGCATCAGGAAAACACAAATCAAAACCGCGAGGGGATACCGCACCGTTAGAATGGCTGAAATAAAAAATGCCAACATTCCCAAGTGCTGGGAACGCAAACTGTCACTCCTTGAAACAATTTGGTAGTTTCTTAGAAAGTTAACCCTATACTTACCATATGACCCTGTAATTCCATTTCCTGCTTTAAATACTAAAGGATAAATTACATGCTTTTGGAAATGGCTTCTATAATGAATATATTGGCCACCAATCTTTTGAGGGAAAAGTAATTTAAATTTTAATAAAAACTTATGTTTATACAATAACCAGTACATGAATGTTCATAGCAGCTAAACCCACTAGATTTCACTAAAACCTTCAAACAACCTGAATGCTCTTGAGGGGCTGAAGGGATAAACACACTGTGCTGTATCCAGGCATGAAATACTGTTCGGCAATAAAAATACAAACTCTTGTTACAGGCAACAGCTTAGAGGCCTCTCCAAGGAATCTTGCTGAGTAAAAGCCGCCATTCTAAAAGGTTTCATACTGTGTGGTCTTATTTATATGACATGCCGGAAAAGGCTGACCTATATTGGGGGAGGTCAGAGCTGGGGGGCAGGGAGTGGAGGGAGGGTGCAGTGTGGACCACGAGGGAGGGGGACGTGGGAGGATTTGGGGTTGTGTCCTTATTATGGCGCTAGCTACACAAATCCATACGTGCATCACAACTCATAGAAGTGTACCCCCAAAGCAAGCCCATTTTGTTCATTATTTTGTGAAATAGAATATAGAATAAGGCCATTTAACATGAGCTGTCATTGTACAGCCAGAGATGGAATTCATGGGTGCATCGTATCACTGTGCAAATTTTCTGATTGGCAGTCTCAGGTCTCCCCTGAAAGTGTTGGCCTCTCCTTCCGCCTCGGGGCTCCTACTGCCTCCCCGACCTTTGCCTAGAGCGTCCTCCCCCTCCAAATGTCTCTGTTTTGGGAAAATATAGCCTCTTTTGGCTGCAACCCTCATCTGGCATTGGATTGTCCTTTTTAGCTTTCTGCAAGCATCTTCCCTCTCCAGCTAGATTTTAATCTTTCAGAGGAAAAAAGAAAAACTTCTGTGGGATCCCCAAAGCTCCCGGCATTTGACTCACAAGGTGGAGCTCAGCAAATAGAAAGTGACCAGAGGAACAAAAGCCTTCCATGGCAGCCTTGTGAAAAGAGCTTGCTGCAGGGAGCTGGGAAGCTCCAGCCCGGGCCTGACGCCACCTGTGTGGCCTTCAGCGAGTCCCCTGGGGCCCTGGGGCTTCTGGTTCCTCGCGGGTGAAATGATGGGACTGAAACAGAGAGTCTCCAAGTCTTCGGTTCTAGAATTTTACTGAGAAGCCACCTTGGAAAAGCGGCAAAGCGTGTGAGATCAGCCTCTGGTGAGCTTTTATATTGGTTGTTTCCGGAGACTCCAGACCTGGGTTTTGGTTTATGTTCCTAAAGAGCTTTTGTGCTGAGCACGGGAAGAAAAGCCCAGGAGCACGCCTCGGTGTCAGGCTGGTGACGACCTCGGGCAGGGGACTGCGTGGCCCGCGTGGACGGATGCTGCATCTGAGCCACTTTTTTTTTTTTTGAGACGGAGTCTCACTTTGTCCCCCAGGCTGGAGTGCAGTGGCGCGACCTCGGCTCACTGCAAGCTCCGCCTCCCGGGTTCACGCCACTCTCCTGCCTCAACCTCCCGAGTAGCTGGGACTAGAGGCTCCGCCACCACGCCCGGCTGATTTTTTTGTATTTTTAGTAGAGACGGGGTTTCACTGTGTTAGCCAGGATGGTCTCGATCTCCTGACCTCGTGATCCGCCCGCCTCGGCCTCCCAAAGTGCTGGGATTACAGGCGTGAGCCACCACGCCCGGCCTGAGCCACTTTTTAAAAAGTAATTTTTTTATTGTGGTGAAACACACATAAAACTTACCATTCTAACAATTTTTAAGTGTGCAATTCAGTGGCACACATCACATTCGCACTGTTGTACCAGCATCACCGCCATCCATCTCCACACCCTCTCCAGCTTCCCGAACTGAAACCTGGCCCCCATGAAACACTCACTCTCCATCCCTGGCCCCAGCGTTCAAGTCACTTCTTCTCTATGAACGGGCCACCCGAGGGGCCTCCTGTGCATGGAGCCTGCAGCGTCTGTTCTCTGCGGACGGCTTGGTGCACTTACCGCAGTGCCCTCCAGGCGCCCCGTGCTGCGGCCCCCGTCAGAATCCCCTTCCACCTTCCACCGTTAGGCTGAACGACATCCACGGCACCGTATGCGCGGATTGCTTTCTGCTCATCCATTCACCCTTCCGGGGACTTCTGGGTTGTTTCCACCTTCTGGCTCTAGTTCTCAGTCACCTTTGAAGTGACCCAGGCTCCCCGGAGCCACGCTGATCTGATTTGGCCATGACATTCCCATGCCCTCGGGTGACTCGCAGAAGAGATGCCCGAACGCCCCACCCTCCTTTCCCCAACAGCCTGAAGTGAAGCTGCCGAGGTTCCCTTATTCTTTGAAGGAATAGCAGCACGCGGCATCGGGACATTGCTGCTCTTTTGAAGGTCGACGTGCATTTACATTTATGAGATGAGACGTACACACAGTGTTAGGGTGGCTTGGCTGAGAAGTACAGCCCTGTGTCTGCCCCGCTCTCCTGTGGGTGGCTGGTTGCAGGGCCATGATCTGGGTCTGCAGTCCTTTCATGCAGCCCCTTGGCTCCTTCCTCGTTGACCCCACAGCCCCTTGCTCACCACAAACCCGGCTCAGCTCAATTGTAGAAACGCACCACCTACTCCACGGCTTCCAGTGGTGCAGGAAATGTGATAGATGCAAGGTGTCAGCGGATTTTAAGAGCAGTGTTTTGGGGGGTTTAAGAGCAGTGTTTTGGGGGTTTAAGAGCAGTGTTTTGGGGGTTTAAGAGCAGTGTTTTGGGGGGTTTTTCAATTTATGGGGAGTGGGCACTTATCATTCTGTCACACCTTATGATAAACAGGTTACCTGTTCCTAGGTGGGAGGAGCTGGGAGAAGATGCTAGGCCTTAAAGAAACAACGGGAGGAGGTGAGGGGAGGACGCAAGCTGGGTGGGGCACTTAGGGGGTGAAGGTGAACTCAAGTCACTTCACAGACCAGCCATGGGGGACGCTGAAGCGGGTGGCGCACCCTCAAGCCTTCCCGGAGGAGACCGCTGAGGGCCTGGGCCAGCCTCGCAACCTCCGCTTCCCCCGTCAACCCCATCAGAAGCTCTGAGCTGCGGCCCCAGGAACGCTTGTGACGTATAAGGTCATCCTGAAAGTGAACTGAGAGCTGAACTTCAGCTCTCTAGGACAGAAAGGGTTCCTGCTGTTTAGTTTAGGTATTTTTTTTTTTTTTGAGACAGTCTCACTCTGTTGTCCAGGCTGAAATGCAGTAGCGTGATCTTGGCTCACTGCAACCTCGCTCCTGGGTTCAAGCGATTCTCATACCTCAGCCTCCCAAGTAGCTGGGATTACAGGCATGCACCACCATACCTGGCTAATTTTTGTTCAGTGGAGACGAGTTTCACCATGTTGCCCAGGCTGGTCTTGAACTCCTGGCCTCAAGCAATCCACCCACCTTGGCCTCCCAAAGTGCTGGGATTACAGGTGTGAGCCACCGTGAGCCACCACACATGGCCTGCTTACTTTTTAGGACACACATTTAGTAATTCCCTGATATACTTTTAGTTGTACTCACTAAGGTTTAAAAAAAGCCAAAACTGTGAACATTTTTGGTTATTCATTGAGATTTGTGTCTTCTGGGCCATCCCCAACCTGTTTCAAGTACTGCACTTTCTTTGTGGGTGATTAAAAGCGAGGAAGAGCTAGGATGTCAGTTGCACTATAAAAGAAGAAATGGACACAGGGCCGCACCTTGTGATGTAGACTCAGATGCTGGGGGGCATCCTGCAACCTGTGTTTTGCCAGCTAGAGATGAGGCCAGGACATTTCTGCAAAATTTTTGGCTAATTTGGAGCTGAATACCTGGGACAGCTGAAGAATTAAAAAAAGACCTGATTTTTAAAAACTAATATTTTCTATTGTTTAGAAAAATAATACATGCTCATATGAAGATATCCCATGAAATAAGAAAGTTTGTGGAAAAATTCTACCACCGAAGGATGACCCTGGTTTACACTTTGATGAGCACATTGTTAGATCTGGCTTTGTGCAAAAACACAGACAAAATATGCAAATGCCGTTAAAAGTGATCATACTAGACACACTGTTTTCTTCATCTGAGTTTTCTTGTTTTACTCAACAGTGTTGGGGCCTCTTCCTATCAGTAGAGCTTTTCATCACGATGCATAGAGCAACAACAACAACAAAATGACAAACGTTTGCTTGGTAAATAAAAATAACTTGCTGAAAAGTTTTTAAAATCACGGGAGGAAGACCACGGGTGGCCATTTATTTGTAAAAGAAATTCCTTTTTCCATTAGGCTGTTTGATTGCATGATTTTTGAAGAATTATTTTCCTCAACCTGCGATGATACCCATCACCAGCAGGCGGAGCTCCTGCGCACAGCACCCAGGCTGCTGCCCGCCGCCTGTTTCTCTCCAGAAATCAGGAAGAGGGTTGTTGTTGTTTTTTTTGTTTTTGTTTTTGTTTTTTTATTCCCCTGCTTTCCAATTTGTTTTAAGGCCTGGGGAGCTGGGCGTTCTGAAACTGGGAAGCAGTAACAGATGAGTTGCCGCCCGATGCATCTGAAGATCAGCGGCTGCAGGGCCAAGGCATTTCTTGGCAGCATCATTTCCACTCGGATTTTATTAAAGGAGATACGTTGATGGAGTCACTCCCTCTCAGAAGAAATGTTTACAATTAATTTGAAAAAAGATTAATATTCACGGGTGCCTGGAGTTGGTAAAAAAAGAGTTCAAGCTCTTAGTTCTTTGTCTGAGAGAGGAATTTAATTGCTTCCCTGAATCAACGATCATAAGGTCAATACGTGAAGACCTAGTGAGTTTATGGTTCTGAGCCTGTCCGGGTCCCTGCCCACCCGGTCCCCACTCACCTGGTCCCCGCCCACCGGGTCCCCGCCCACCCGGTTCCCACTCATAGGGTCCCCGCTCACTGTCCCGGACCCTGAAGCTCATCTCAGCCTCCAGGTGGGACCATGCAGGGCTGGGGCTTGGGGGTTCCTCGCCTGCCATCCCAGGCTGGGGTGTGCCCGCGTTTCTCTTCCAGAGGAGAGTAAATCACTAGATACACGGGTGTAGATACACCTACCCAGAAGATCGGCCCAGCGTAGCCTGACAGTCTCCAGCCACTCCGCAGCAGTCCACGGCAGCTAATGAGCCTGCCAGGGTACCCACGCTGCAGTTTTAACAGATGGGCGAGGTATTGGAGGTCTCTACTCCTATTTCACATGGAATCCTTTTGGAGACACAAGGAGAAGTGTGCATTCCTAGAACTTGGATGACTTACTTAAGAAAATGCCCGTAAGAGGCCAGGCACGGTGGCTCACACCTGTAATCCCAGAACTTTGGGAGGCCAAGGCGGGTGGATCACCTGAGATCAGGAGTTTGAGACCTCCCTGGCCAACGTGGCAAAACCCCCTCTCTACTAAAATACGAGAATTAGCTGGGCGTGGTGGCGGACACCTGTAATCCCAGCTACTTGGGAGGCTGAGGCAGGAGAATCACCTGAACCTGGGAGGCGGAGGTTGCAGTGAGCCGAGATCAAGCCACTGCACTCCAGCCTGGGTGACAAAGTGAGACTTCATCTCAAAAAAAAGAAAAGAAAAAAAGCCTGTAAGAAAGTTCCTGCTCATCTACACCCTCCCCTCATGATAGTGTTCTTACTGACACAGCCACGTGTTGGAACATCTTCTAACTATCATTAGAGATGATCTGCCTCCTTTCAGATCACACATATTAACACAGTACATTTTGTTTCCCCATTTGTATTGATTATGTGCCAGTTTTGGGGAAGTGGGTCAAATAACTGAGTGTTGATAACATCTGCCCCATTTTCCCACCTGATGGGATGGAGCACAGGAAGTTGGCTCCATGTGGAGTTGCCGCCTGGAGACCTCTGGCCTCTCGTAAACCTGGAATGGTGCGTTCTCATGGAGGCAACCACGGCAGGGTCCCATGCACCTGGCTCTCTCCACCTGGGCCTCCCATTAGGGCCTTTGCTACAGAGATGCACCCATCAGCACTCGGCTGTGGAGCCTTAGCAAGCACCTGTTCTTCCCTTTGTCGTGTGGTCCATGATGTCATTGCAGAATGACACGTTAGAAAAATGTCTCTTTGTTAATGTATCTCAATATGCCCAGAGAGCAGCATCTACCATCCAGTGGCTAAATGCAGTAGGGATTTCCTTATGGGCATTGTCTTAATCAAGTAAGTGGTCCAAGTTCTAGGAATGTACATGTTTTCCCTGTGTCCCCAAAAGGATTCAATGCAAAGCCAGAATAGAGAAAGCAAGGCGTCTTGGTTTTAAAACACGAGGTGTGATCGTAAACCAAAAATATCATTCAGCACTGCTCCCACGTCACCACTCATTTTACAGATTTGAATATTGAGATGCACAGAGGTTCAGGGAGCTGCTCGCAGAGGCTGCTAGCTGTCTAGGGCTTGAACTTTAGACTGCATGCCAAGCGAGACTCTTGTGGAGTGAACGTAGGATGAGAGGCTCACGTTACCCACCTGAAAGTCAGCGGCCTATGGGGAAATTCACTGGCTAGTCATAGGAGAAAGGGAAAAGGGAAGGGAGAAGAACGGATTTTTAAATTGTATTTTATTACAAGAATTTGTAGACTTACCTTGTAGTAAGTTATGAAGCTATTGGCTAGAACTAACAGTGTGCTCACAGACGAGAAAAATAAACTAGTATCTGTAGACAAAGTCAATGACATATGCCAGTTAGTGTCTAGGGAATGAGGGAAGCTTCAATTGCTGCTGTTTACCAAAATAATTGGGAACTAATTTTCTAGTAAACACTGATGGATACAATAAATGCCAGTGTAGTTAATGAGATGAGATTTTTCAATTTTCTCTGTCATTTTAAAAGACGCATTTCTATGTAATTAAAACAAAGGGCCCATCAGTTCCTCCTTTCAGTGGAGAGTGATGCCTCAGGACTGACAGATGGCATCGTCTGGACTGTCCTATTTTGTCTATGTGACTGAAAACCAACCAACCAACATATCTCCTGGTCCTTATTCCTTTAATTTCCAGGTTGCACATGGCGGGTTTTTGCACACATCCACAAAGCGGCATTCGGGACCTCTGCTGTTCATTTCGACGGTTTCAGCAGTGGCCCTGAGAGTGAAGGGCGAATGAATTTGCTTTTTACTCTTTTTACCTCCCAGAGTAATATTTGATTCTTCTGGCACTCTCAGGAAGTGCAGATACCAGAGAGCTCAGAAGTTAATCTGAAAAAACTCAGAGACAGAGAGCTCAGGGATGAATCTGTGTGGCCTGTTCAGAACCACAGAAGATAGTGGTGTCACTGTTTTTCTGAGCTGCCATGATAAGAAAGAACAGAGGTATATTTGATATAATTTTTTTCTTGTGAAAGTGATAATATGCTTCTTCAGTATATTTTTTGAATTAGGAATCGTAAAATGTAGTTCTAGATGAAATAGATGCACCTTTTCTGCCATTTTCCCTACATCACACTTCTTTTGTGGCTCACAGAGATCCTTGACATCCCCAGAAACCTTGTTTAAGTGATTAAATGATCCTCCTTAAAGATGCTCAAAGGAGACAGTCACCTACGCAGCATCTTCCTTTCTCTCCAGGGATCTTCTGTTATTCAATGCGTGCGTATTTTCTACCTAAAAACCGGTGGGAGTGGGAAACAGCAGACCCCCTGCAAACTATCTGAAGCTTAGGGTCATGGTATCTGTTTCCCATGGAAACTGGAACCAGCAGCTAAAACAGGCACCAGTGAAATCAGTATTATTGGACAGAACATGGGTGTCAAAGTCTGCAAGGCTGGAGATGAGACGACACATCCGACTGTAAATGGTGGGCCATGCTGTCTCCCCTTTTCTTACTCTCCATCCCCCTGACTTCATAATGCTCTGGCAATTCCGAGAAATCACAGAACACTGTGGTTCTCTTTTCAATACTAGTTAAATACTAGTTACAATACTAGTTAAATAATAGCTTCCTCTGAAAAAAAGCACATATATATATATGTGTCCCCCCCCACTCCCCGCCGCAAGGAAGCTATTATTCGATTTCTGGTCAAACAGCTCCTACCATGCCTCAGGAGAGTATGTTAGATTTTTTTTTAAAAGCAAGATCAGGGCATTTTAGATTTTGCAGTTTGGAGAGAATTCTTTTCTGTCTGAATGACAGATGCAGTTTTTCCTGTGTTTTTGCCCTTTGCCGGGTTGAAGATTATGTTTATTCCTGAATCATCGGCTCGCACGAGTTAATGAAAGTCACGGGCATTTACTTTCTTTACAGAAAGCTGTGCACCATCCAGAATAGCGGGCTTTTCTCTATGTCTGAAAAAATTCACAGACAAGCCTTTCGTTCTGATGCAGATTTCAGGTAACCTGAGGCTGTTACCTCAGCTCCTTGCAGAGGATGCAGCTCCTTGCAGATACTGGGAATGAGAGCGCTGCAGGGTGGCGGCCGCTGGCGCCCGTGGCTTGTGTGTGTGGTTTCCCTTCTGGTGCCCTACTCGGGAGGTTGTTGCTTTGCCCCATGACAGGAAGGATCAGCGTTTCTCCTCTTAGCAAACTGTGAGGCTGGATGCAGAGATTCAGATACTGCTTTTGTAGATGTGGTCGGGGCATATCTGGTTGTGTTTTCTCTCCCATGTTTCATGGGGAAGTGAAGCTCCCGTGGCCTCCTTTGGGGGCCTTTGCCTCTGTCCGCTGGTGATACAGGGGTCGGTATCAGAGACCTCTTGGCACGAAACCTTGTGGGACCCACATTGGGGCTCTGGCTCTGGGCACAGAAGGATACAACAAATCAAAGTTCGGCAGCCTGTGCTTCTGCCATTAAGTAAACCCTTTCAGTGGCTGCATTTTTCTGATCTGGGTTTAACCTCAAAGAGGAAGAGCTTTGACGCCGGGTTCCAGCTTCCTCATCCTGGTGAGTGTGCCGAAGAGGGAGAAGCAACGGAGGTGGACAAACGGCACCTGTCAGAGGCGAAAGCTGCTGTCAGATTGGCGAGGAAGTCCTTAAAATGGTTGTGTGCTTTCCGCCGGGTGGCTGTGCCATGGCCTCTCTGGTTGGCACCTTGATGGCAGCCCGCCCCCAGGTACCATGTTGCCATGGCGTCTCCATGCAGGAGCACACCCTTCATGACCACAGCTCCGGGAAGCAGGGTCTCTGTTCCTTGTCCCGAGAGACCCACGGAAAAAATTCCTCTTCCTCATGGCAAGAGGGACTCCTCTCCCACGGGGGAGGCTCAGAGACGTCTGTTTCCCAAACGCAGATGACTCGGAGCTGATGGCCAGAGAGTGAAGTTCTAGTCCAGCTGCCCCAACCATGGGGCTTTTGAGGCTTGATTACCATTTCCTTCTGAGAATGGTGGGAGCAGGGATTGATATGAGGTTCACCGCTCGGATTTTCATTTTACAGTTTCGGAAACTAAGGCCCCAGCACAGAAACACAGAGGACCCAAAGCTACAGCCTTGAGGGGCAGAGGGGCCAGGGCCAGCAGGGCTTTTAGAGCCAGCACTGCCCTCCCCAGCAGCTCTGAGGGTGGCCAGGCCTCTTCCAGAATAGCACGAGTGTGGAGTGGCACTGGGGCAGGGTTATGATGACACCAATGTTTTCAGAGGACGAGGCTCCTGTGGGGCCTTTGCATTGCTTTTCTTGCTTGATCAGCACAACGTTCCAAAGCATCTGCAGGACAGGTGACGCTTTTGCCACCATTGCTGTTTCACAGGAGAGGGAAGGAAGCTCAGAGAAGACAGACACCTGCCCCAGGTCCACGGCTATGACGCAGTGCCATGAGACCTGAGCCAAGCATTTTTGGTTCTTCCTCCTGTGCTTTCCCATGGCACAAAATGCTTTGCTTCCTAAACGCCAGTGTGCTGGGTGATGGTGGATTCAGAGGCAGGGCAGGTCTTTCCAGAAGCCTCCATGGGCGCCAAGGCTGAGGGGTGGACAGTGTCCTCCAAGTCAGGCCAGGAGCACAAGGGTCTGTGAGAAAGAGGCAGAAAGGACGTCCGAGGACTCGGAGACAGTGGCTGCTGGAAGCCCAGAGCAGCCCCTTCCTGCTCAGGTCAGTGTCCTGGGCCCCAGGCCGAGCCTGGAGCTTGGAGGAGCTGGCACCGTTGGCGGGGCCGAGAGGAGCCGCCCTGCCCGGGGCCACCTTTCCAGCTGCACCACTGGCGCCCTCACTCCAGCCTCCAGTGCAGGCCCAGCACCGGGTTCCAGGGACCTGCAGCACGGGATGGACAGGCAGGCGGGCAGGCAGGGGCTGAGCAGACAGAGGAACTGCAGAGAACAGTGGGTCCACTTCCCACGCAGCCATTCCCCATCGTGCGTGTTGCTCCTCTCCCCTCAGAATCCTTGCTTCCCCAGCTTGCTTTTGGGTTCTCGCATGTCGCAATATTCCCCTACTGTGCTCCCGCTGCCTGCCTTCCAGTCCTCAAAGAAAAGAGCCCTGTCAGCCCCGAGAGCACCGGTGTCTCTGGGAGTCAGGGAGCTCGGAGCAGGGTCCCGTGCTGGAGGGGGCACCGCAGCACGGGAGCCAGGCTGTTCTTTGCCTTGTTGCCTATTTCATAGCTGGGGTGTCTCCCTTACCCTCCTGGTGTGTTTGCACAGAGAGAGAGAGGGAAGAGGAAGAGAGAGACACGAAGAGGGAGGGAGAGAGGGGGAAGTAGACAGACAGAGAGACAGGGAGGGAGAGGACACAGGGTGAGGTGGACCCAGGCGGAGGCCCTCTGTTCAGCTCGCGTTTCTCAGCCGCAGGGCAGGGAGTTCTTGGTTCCGACTCTGCTGGTTCCTGGCACTGCTCAGCCTGAGCCTTCCACCCAGCTGCTTCTGTCTCCGTTGGGAGCTGACTTCAAGGGTCCTTTGTCATGGAATCCCTGCATTTTAAAATCCCTCTGTATTTTAAAACCATTTAGTGCCTCCGGCCTTGCAATTCCTTCTTCCGTGGCTGGTGCCCTCACAGCCACTTTCTTGCAATAATAAAGCATCCCAAAGTACCGGAGGAAGGCATTCTAACTCAAAAGCTCCTTCTCAGGGACGAGAGAGGGAAGCTCCTCGCTTATTCTTCCACTCAATATGCAAATGGCGTGGGATTGCCACCGTCTTCGGGCAGGGGCACCCCTGGGGGCTCTCAGACCAGCCCGCCTGCACCCTCTGTGTGCACCTCCTGCAGAGATGGCCTCTGTGAGCCAGGCATCGCCGGCCCCTGCTCAGGGGGCTGGAGGGAGAAGTTGAGGCCTCTAGCACGCATCCCTGGGAGGGTTCTCTGTCCATTAAGAGCAACGCTGGGAGCCCACACAGCCTGCCCAGGCTTTAGTTTCAACTTACGCTTATCTTCATTTTCCCTTCATTCCATAGACATGTAAATACCACACACACCCCCACACAAACACACACGCACACACACCCCTACTGCTTTTCCTATCTGGACCAGAATGGGGTGTCCACAAGTGCACAAGTGCTGAGCACAAGGAGCTGAGTCCTGGAAGCCTGCAGACTTTTAACCACCTTTCCGCGTGTGTCCTGGAGTGTGAGCCTCAGGCAGCCACGTGGACAAAGCGTTGTGTAGAGGATTTACTTATCTTTGGCCAGGATTTTAAAGGTATATGCAAAACCTGTCTAGGATGAAACTGTGGAGAACAGAAGGGCTGCTTTTCCCTGCTAAATAATTTTTTTTAGAAGAGGAATGAAGCATTCTGTTGAGTTTCTTACTATGATCTGGATACCAAAGCCTGGGACTCTCATCCTCTCCACTCTGCTTGGCTACACGGGGTTTCTGGCAGAGGCTCCATCTCTCTGTGGCCAGGGTCCACTGAGGACAGCGTGCCTCTCGTGGAGCAGGGAACGGGGTAGGGGCCAAGCCGCTACCTGCCAGCGCGTCACACACTGGGTGCTGTGCCACCCTTAGCTCACCCCTCCCACACATCAGATATTCCTGCACACACAGTGAAAATCCTCCTTCTCGCCAGCACTGCTCTCCAGGGCGGGGCCGGCAGGGTCGGTGCCTCCCAGGCAGGGGCTGGTGCATGCAGCCCCATCTTGGTCTCAGTGAAGCCCAGGTGGCCACAGCCCCAGTGCACCCCAGAGAAGAGGCCTCCCAGAAGGACGGGGGACCCTCAGAAACTACCTGCGGGTAGTGGTGGTGTTTTCCATCACCAAGAGAGCCCTCGAAAACCAAGTGCGGCTTCACAACCAGGACACGATTCAAGTTAAACACAGACTCTCAGGATGGGCTTCCAAACCACTGAGACCCCCTCAGGGTGCATGGTTGCCTCCACCCCTGTGGCTTCAGGAAGAAATCCTTCTCCCCAGCCGCAGCCGCCAGTCACTCCAAGTCCCACGACCACCTTGGGGCTCTCACCTGGCCCTTGTCTGGCCCCGGCTCCCCCAGGGCCCTTCTGCCCCCAAGCCCTGGCTTCCTCTGCTGCACTTTCAGCCACTGCCTGGACTGGCCATCCCGGGGCCAGCAGGCACATCCTCATTCCTCATAAACCTACTCCTGGCCCGCGGCGGTGCAGCCCTGGACAGCCAGGCACTAGCATGATGTCTGACATGCAGCCACACCTGGCGGACGCTTCCCCTTCAGGGCCTCCAAGTTTTGGCATCCGCAGGCGTCCTGTCCCCCGTGCTCCTGTGCTCCTTGCTGAGTGTAAATGGTCCCCCCTTGCCGGCCTCTGAAGAGGGGTACCCCAGCTCTCCCTCAAACTTGGTGCGCCATTGAGCATAGCTGTGAAATGTTCTCGCTATTTAGGTACTTGAGCAGCTGTTTCCAATCTTTTGCACATTCCCATGCTTAAAAAGCCAGGTGCCACGGTGCAGACGGTGGTGGCCTGGGTCTGGAGGGGGGCCTGGTGGATGCAGGTTTGTGGTGACCGCTCCTAGTGTGCAAACGGCAGCCCTGCTCACGGTGACGGCAGTGCCAGCTCTGGGCTTGTCCCCTTCCCCTTCTCCTCCTGGCTGTCCTCTTCTTTGTGAGTGCTCCTGGCACCTATGTGCTTTGAGAAGCCGTGGCAGCCACACAAGGAGAAGAGGACAGGCCACAGCGATAGCCCACTTCCTATGCAGAGCCCAGCTGAGCTCAGGTGAGGACAGAGCCCAGAGAGACCAGACGTCCCAAGGACACTCATCGTTTAGAGCTCAATTCAACCCATGTTTAGTGAGTACTAAATGTCTGCTAGGCACTAGTTTTCAAAGCAAACTCGGGTATGCACGTGGCCATAGACCAGGCCAGCCCTCAATACCAGAGCCACTCCCGGGCCCCTCCACGCACTTCAGGCCTCGGCAAAGTGAGGCAGACTCTCACCAAGGCTGCCCATCATCCTGAGCTGACAGCCATACCCTTTGCAGAGGATTCCCTCCAAGGATTCAAAGGCAGGTCCTCCATGCCCCTCTTGGGCATTTGTCTCTTCCTGCAGCTGCTTTTCCCTGGGGGAGGCCTGCCTCCCTGCTTTCACGGCCTCACAGATGCCCCGGAGGCTGGGGGTGGGCCCCTGGCAGTGACACTACCTGCCCCGAGGGACAGTGGCTGAGAGCTCAGGAAACGGCAGGTCACCCCTGGCCCCGATGGGTGAGGACCCGCCGGCGTCTTACCTTGTACATGTTGCACAGCCCAGGCTGGCTGCGGGCATGAGAGGGCAGAGGGCTCCGGCCCGGCTTTAGCCAGGGTACCTGCCGGGGGACACAGAGTGGGCTGCGTGAGTCCGGGTGGGCGCCGCCGGCAATGCCCCAAAGTCCTCCAGCAAATCTCCTCTAGAGCTGGCTTGGCAAGAGCCCAGAGTGAGGAGGAGTGAGCGGGGGGTGGAGGATGAAGGACGACAGGGAGAGAAGAAGGCATGTGCAGATGATGGATGATGGAAGGAAGAGCAAGAGGTGATGGGAGGTCAGAGGGCAGGCATGCGCCCTGAAGGACTCAGGAAATCGAGAGCAAAAGGAAAGTTTAGGGAAGAATTCTCTCCTCCAAAGTCTATTCTGAGGCCCTGTATCAAACAATGGGACCAAGAGTTCTTAATATGGCAGCAGGCACCAGCTGTGAAAGATTTCTAGGATCCAGTGCAGAAGGCCTTTCCCAGTCTGGAGCAAAGTGCACTAAAAGGGTTTTTTGACGTCTACCATGGAATGGATAAATTTTACATTCCACTTTACTTGCAGAGTTGTATTTTTTCTTTTATAGCAAGTGTGTTATCTTCTGCATTGGATTTACAGGTTGAAACTTTTTCTGCTCTGTGAAGGTTCAGTGAACCGAGGACGGACCTTTTCCGATTTTCTGCAGAGCATGAGGAAATAATTTTTAGGAGCAATAGTGTTCAAAATCACTTTAGCCAATTACTTAAAGTTGATTTTCTTGCTGACATTATTCCTTGGTACTGGTGAAGGTTAGGAATTTAACATAAGCAGGAAGTTAATCTTCCTCAGCAGGAGCAGGAGCTACGCATTCACCTGAGCTCTGCGGCTACAAATCTTCCTAAGTAGCATTAGCTCCTAACTTAATGTATTATCTTTGTCAGTTACACGAGAGTATCTGCTATATCAATGAACTTTGAGGGCTGCAGTTGAAAGACTATTATTATAGGACCAAGGTAAGTGCCCTGCAAGAAATGTCTATTTCTTGACTATCAGCTACAGCAAAATGAAGACAGAGAGAGAAGAGAAAGAGGAGACTTATAGTGGTCAAGAGATGAAATCAGCGTAATAGGTTTCAGGAGATGTATTGGCTGCAGATGAAATGGATTCTTTTAACCAGGTTAGCAGCTGAGTATGCATGAGAATAGAGTAGTTCCGACACTGAAGAATGTGGGAGCATTCTAGAAGTATTATGGAAAGTGAACACACCGGGGTTTTCAGAGGCAAATCTGTGGTGAGTGTGTGCTTAGCTGTACGTCTCCTGATGGATTCTCCCTGCATGAGAGAGGCTATTTCTAGGTTAGCAGGAATTTCTGGTGACTTTAATTCATGATATTAAAGGTAAGTAAATTGAGTATTCACTTTAGAGGAGGTCTCCGTGGATAAGCCTGCGGGAGTTGCTGTGCTGATGAGACTTGGCTGTCCTCATAAGCAGTGACTCCCATCAGCTGGTGTCCATGAGCGTGAGCAAGTGTACGCTATGTACAGGGCCAACAAGCGAAGAACTTTCCATTAATTTTCCCTCCATCTCCTACAATGGCTCTTCTTCACAAAGAAGATCATCACTGTGAGGCATGTTCTCGTGGCTCTGGTGGGCTGGCGTGAAGCCCCTCTACTGACTCCCTGTCTACTCATGGGGAAGGCAGGTGGCTGGGGTAGCCATAAGACATCCCACTGATGGTTTTCAGGAAATGCAACCTGTAACCCCGGCTGCCTGCCACTCCCAGAGCCAGGAAGAGGGAGGACAAATGCAAGGGCCAGAGAAGACGAAAGGCAAGAATAGCCTCTTAGGAGAAATTGTGTGTGCTAAGCCCGCTTGTATGGGGCTCCCTCAAGAGAGTTCAGTGTTCTTTAGCTGTTTCTTCTTTTTTACTACGTTTTTATGAAGTAGGATGATTTCAGAGCATTAAGAGTGTGCTGATAGCCATAAAGGAAAAAACTTTTAAAAACATTGAATCAGGGTTTGATAGGAAATGTCCACACTTCTTAAATTTGTATCAATATCTAAGTGATTTTCACGAGTGCTATTGTGTGTTTTTTTCTAAGGATGATCTATTCCCTCAGATGTCAAGCCAAGCTCCTAATTCACCGATCAGAATTGCCTGTTATCAAATGTCCAGACTTTTTATCAAAGGAAAATCAACGATGAGAGAAATGAATGCTTTAAAATGCAAATGAGTTTAAAGGGAGGAGATGAGTTAAGACGAGGGTCTGATGGGACATGAAAGGCAGGACCGCATCCAAGCCAATCACTTATCTTTACTCTTGTTTCTAATTTCTCAAAGACCCCAAGTTTCAGCTTCATCTCATACACTCATTATCATCTTTCAGAGAGCCAGCACCATCCCCTCATTTCAGTGTCTCGAGGTTCCCATGACCCCCGTTGTGTGTGAGCTCCCGGGGGGCCCTGTGGGCACTGGCACCCATGTGCACGTTCATTCAGGAGATGCTGGTGGGGCGGGCTGTGTCCATGACAGCACCTGCCAGTGGGATCTGCTCAGCGTCCACCCTCCCTAACATTTGCGGGATGATGCTTTGAGAGAAACACAAGAAACTTCAGGCAGAATCAGAATAGTCACCATAGAAAGACCAGAACACCGAACTGTCAGGGGAGAGAAGACAGTAAAATGTCTCTGTGTAGTAAAAGCAGATGAGTGAGCAACTGTGACCTTCCCACACAGAAGCACAGGTCAGGTGAGAGAAGACAGTAAAATGTCTCTGTGTAGTAAAAGCAGATGAGTGAGCAACTGTGACCTTCCCACACAGAAGGGCAGGAGCTCGGGTGCTCACACTTACCTGCCAGCTGTGTCACCAGGCCACAAAAATGCCGGCAACACAGCACACTGACGTGGTGGGGGCAACCAAACCAAAAACGACAAATTAAAGAAGTTCGCATGCAATTAGTACACTGTCCTTGGTCTGTTAAACTGTTTAATGAATGCATAAAAAGGCAGAAAAATATATAAAGCCAAAAGCTCATAATAAAATTAAATCATGATACAACCACCACAGGCAATTACCATCAAATACATTCCCATGATTTACAAATGTATCGCTTATACAGAGGAAGTTGCAAAATCACTGCCAGTACAGACACATCCAGTCTAATTAACTATCGTCTATTCATACAACAGCAACAACTGCAGCTCCTGAGACCACAGAAGGACACAGTGAGCAGCTGGTGACTGAGCCAGGGTAGCCTCCGATCAATAACTGATCAGAGTAATGAGACTTTGAGAGGAATGCCTATAAGAAATCTCAAAAGGTATTTGTTTGGGTGCAGAAACAAATGCACCCTCCACATTTGGATTTTCTCTAGAAGAATCTGTGGCCAAATCTCTTATCCAATGGAGGTACTGAGTGGCTGGATCAGTTACCATGCAAGCTCACGATGAATGAGATTGAATTTGGTTCTGTGTGCACACTGGGCTCTGGGGAGGGAGGACACCCCTGTGTGTTGCTGCTGCCTTCCGTGCTGTCTACTGTATCCTTCATGTGTCTCCAAATGGTACACGCCCCATGGGATTACAGAACACAGCTACAGAATTAGGATCTCATGGTAACAATGAGGAATTAGGTTACTGTAGAACTAAAATATGTTTAATGAAATTAAAATGCAATGGAAAAAAAATCAGGCAACAGAACATTCTGATGAATTTACAGGACTGATTATATCCCACGGCACTGAATGACAAACAGTTCTTCTCCATACAGTCGCAATTAGAGGCATAGAAGTCATACTGAATGCTGAATAGAAGAACACTGAGAAGAGCAGGTTATAAATGAAGGTTTTCACATAAAACAGAAAAATAGACAAAATCATCGGTAAGAAGCTAGCTTTCGAAAACCTCCCTAAAAGTACACGGCACGGAGAAGTGGGGTACTGGGATGTCCTGGCTGCTTTCTGCTTTGGGAACTATCCAAGTGGCACATCACCATGTCCAGCTTAGGTGTCTTGTGAAACCTTACTTCCTCCACATAAAAAGGAAGGAACGGTTTCCAAAGCTAATGTTTCCAGGCTCTGCCTCGTGACACTCAAGTGGCCTCAGATATGAGCACTGGCACAGAGTGATGCTGGAGAGGTCACTTAGAGAGAAGCTGCCGGGCCAAGCACACGACAATCTTGGCCCTAAGTGCTCACCCATTCCTCATGTGACCCTGACATTCCGGGGAACTGGGAAACCTGTTCCTTAAAGGCAACAACAGTCCTTTCTTTCCTCTCACAACAAAGGAGCATGTTCTCCGTGAATGCACTTTTCATTTACGGCTCTCAAAAGAATATGCCTTCTCAAGGAATTTTTAATGCACTTTTCTTGAATGTCAGCTCCCAGCAACACAAGCATGGGTGTTGTTAGGGCATTCCCGGGCTCGGGGGCGGCCGCTCCAACATGTGGTACCAGCGGCCATGTGCCCTCAAGGGGAGGGAGGAAGAGCACAGGAGGGTGGGAGGAGGACAAACAGCCCCTTTTATAGGGTCATGGGGGGGCTCCACTCAGAGTCTGGCAGGAATCTGCCAGGAAAACCTCGTTCTAGATAGGGAGAAGCAGAACTGTGTGTGGGGCAGGCCGCCGTGGTCCTGAGAGACAGGGCCCGGGCCTTCCACTGCTCGTTTGCACACCTCTTCGGCCTATCCCAAGGACCTTCCTAGCATATAAAAACAGGGGCTCTCCTGATTTGTAAACAGAACAACAAATAAAAATAAAAACAAAACCAAAAATTCCTCCATGGCAGCCCACCCAATGAATACCCCAGATTTTTAGGGCCATTGCGGGTCTGTAGCTGGGTGTAGAGAGAGTTAAGCTTTCATCTCCCATGTTTACAACACTTTGTGATAAAATAGTTGAGTGGAGCAATCACATCCCCACTGCGTGCGCTCCCCCGGGATGCCTCACAGCTGCTCTGTGATCACACGTGCAAATGTTATTATTATTATTTTTTGCCTTTGGCATCAAAGGGCAAGCCTGTTCATTAAAAAATCTTCTATATTCAACACTCCATAGTGAAAAGAATGGATACTTCAAAATTCCTAAAGCAATCATGTGAAAATTATTTTTATTTTTAAAATTTTTGAAAGTGTTTTGATTTTTATGGGTCCTTGATAATTGGCCAGCCCTGTTTTGCAAAGAGATGGACTATTTCTGAGACTAGAATGTTTTCTTTGAAAATATTGAAGAGTATAAGAGATTTAAGACAATAAAGGCTGTAATCTTACCATAAAGGAAGAAAAACATCTATGTGTGTCAATATTGTTTTGAGATAAAGTCACAATGATTGATATCAATGCTTTCACCATTTTATTTCAACTTAAACCAGTGTCACTCACATGAAGCTTATTTTATAATACATATTATCCAGTGATTTCATCTTTTCTGCACAGTTTAAGTACATTTTTTTTTTCTGTACCTTGAAGTAAGCAGAATAGTTCAAGCTTTCAAAACTGGTGATGCTGTATGCGTGAGGGATGCTTACATAATAGCAACGCTTTATTGGGCAACCCGAATCCATACATGTCTGGTGTGGTTTGATAGCTGGGCTTGAAAAAGTGCTTCCAGTTGAAATTAGCATTAGAAATCGGTTAGAACACCAACATTTCAGGGTGAGGGAGGACTGCTACAAAGGAAAAGAACATGTCTACAAATGCACTGAAAGAACTAGCCAGAATATGAATTCCATTAGTATCTAAGACACACAAAATGTCATTTACAAATAAGTCACGGCAAGTGTCACAACCTGAAATCTCAACTCAGACAGATGGTAGAGATGTTAACAGTTGCCTGAAACTTCGATGTGCTTTCACGCCCACAGGAAAGGTAAAACTGACATTTGTGTTTCTCTTCAACAATTTCATGATCAATAAAGAATTGCAGTTGGAGACTAAAGCAAATTCTAGAAACTCCTTAACTCCAAGTTGCCCTATGGTTTTTATGATTGCATGTTATCAGAATGAGGCGCTCTGTTCCACACTTTATTCAAAAGCCTTTTACGCTCCCACAAGGCCTTCTGGAATTCCAGAATCAGCCCTGCACACAGGCAGAAAAACAGCTTCATCTTACAGGTTGTGTGAGAACACCCAATAAACTAGGGACTTTTTTGGGAAAAACTTCTTTCTCTCCAAAATTACACAACCACCAAACACTCTAAACATCACGTAAAATACTGCATCTGCAATCTGAATGGCACTCAGGGACCAGCGCTTTGATGAACCAGCAGCCACAGGTTCTCCACTGACAATCAACTGCAGAAACCACTCCTAGACTCTGGACCCCATAGCAGAGTTTTTTTTTTTTGTAATACATTTTTATCCACATTTGCTTTTGAATAAAGAAACTTCTAAGACTCTGTATGCAAATTAATGGAATCACAAGATAATAAAGCTTTGATTCATAGACACTCATTTATCCCTCCCCCCTTCCACTTCTCAGACCACAGAGAACGTTTGCTCAAGGCGGATTTAAATTGAGGAGTTTGTTCAAAAGTCTTCCTCGACCTCAATCCTATGATTGTCGCAGAGCAACATGAAGCTAGCAGCACTGACTCCAGGAAAAAACGAGCATAACCCAGTGTTGAACCCCAGCGTGTGGGCTGCAGAGGCAACATCAGTCATCAAGTCCGCAAGCACACACCACCAGAGACCCTGAGAATGTGGCTCTCTTTCTGCAACGCCCATGTCCAGGCACCCTTAGAGATCCAGAATTCAGCATGTCCTTACATTCCTGAGCCACACCCCGGCCACCATCCCTTGTGAGGAAAAGAGGGGGTGAGTTAAACGAAAACGTCCTAAGCAGCCACTCAGGCCCACACTCTTGGGCTCATATGCATTCTCCAGCACGGAACGAGACCTTAGACAGCAAGAGGCTACGTGCCAGTTCTTCCTCTAATGGCTGAGTTCACCTACTGATTTCTCCTTTGCTTTTTCCATTTAAACTAAAACTCCTCTACTCCTCAGAGCTCACCTTGCCAGAGCCCCGCTTGGGCGCACCCCTGTCACCGCCAAAGAAGCGCCCGATGGAGTCAAGGATGCCCGTGTCTCTGTGCCTTGGGAGGAAGCCATGCCTGGCATGGTCCATGGTACTTGCTGTGGCCAGGTACTTGGATCCGTGCCTCTGGGAGGGTCTCTTCTGTGACGCCATCACATCCAGGCTCTCGGAGGTGGCTGCACTGTCTTCTTGGATGGTCTGGAGCTCGTCGGACTCAGAGGGCCTGTCTTTGAAGGTGTTGTCCTCCCTCCCCGGGGCATCTCGGGAAAAGAGGCGGATCAAGTGGGGGCGGCTCCCTGGGTCAGCTGGGTGGGCATCCTGCCAGGCATTCTTCGGGTCCGCTGTGCGCTTGGAGTCAGTCACCGCTGTGTCCTGAGAGGAGGTCCCATTGTTCTGGTTCGCATCTGCCTCTCCTGCAAACAACAATGAGATATGAATACGGGCCTGTGCAAAGCTGAGCACCGGACAAAGCAGCTTTCTCTGAGGGGTCTTGACCTAGCTGTCTCCTATAAAACCCACAGAATATGTGCAGTCCTCATAAAGCCCTTGGCCTAGGATGGAGCTAACCTGGATGGAGCAGCCTTATTGCAGCTCTGTGTTTCAGAAGGCTCTGGGAATTCCTCAGTTACTCGAGATTTGGCACCCAGCGTAAAATGCACCCAGGCTTCCCGATGAAGTCATCTGAGCATGCAGAGCAGCCACATCAGCGTTTCTTCCCGGGTGCTGCCATGGCTGCTCCCGGAGAGCCCAGATGTGCAGGCACCTTGATGGGACATTGACTGTTTAAAAGGCCACTGGTGCATAAGTTAAATATGCAAGGAGCATTTATTTGACAAAAGGTGTTTTTAGTTTTCTTGGTAGAAACAAAACTTGCCACATCTTTTTGCAATTCATGCATGAAAGAAGTGGGGCATTTAGAATTGTTTCAATCCCAGATTCCACAAGAGGCCTCTCACAATAGAGAACTGCTTATTCAGGACATTTTGACTTGGCTTCTCCTCTGGAAGCAGAAACAATTAGAAATCTGAAGTGGGATTGAGATATTTCATGTTGTATACCAGCATCTCATAGCTTTCTCCAAAAAATACCACATTTCTGTCACGAAGGGCAATGAATCCATTTTGCTTTCAAGTTAGAGTGTTAGGTTTAAATAAATATCATTTAGTTAGTTTCCTCTCCAAACTCTATTACTTATCTACAGAAAACAGGATTCACTCACATATTCCTGTAATACCAGTCATCCATCTATCTCTCTATCCATTCATCCATCCATCCACATAACAGTCCATTTACCCATCCATCCATCTATCCATCCATCCATACACACACCCACCTACCCATCCATCCATCCATGCATCCATCCATCCCCCATCCACTCATCCATCCGTTCACCCATCCACCCACCCCTCCATCTATCCACTCATCCATCCATCCACTCATGCATCCATCCATCCACATATCAGTCCATTTACTCATCCATCCATCTATCCATCCATCCATACACATACCCACCTACCCATCCATCCATCCATCCCCCATCCACTCATCCATCCACCCACCCACCATCTATCCACTCATGCATGCATGCATCCATCAATTCATCCATTCGTCATCCATCCATCCACATATCAGTCCATTTACCCATCCATCCATCTATCCATCCATCCATACACACACCCACCTACCCATCCATCTATCCATCCCCCATCCACTCATCCATCCATTCATCCATCCACCCACCCCTCCATCTATCCACTCATCCATCCATCCATCCATCCATCCATCCACATATCAGTCCATTTACCCATTTATCCATCTATCCATCCATTCCATCCATCCCCCATCCACTCATACATCCATTCATCCATCCATCCACCCCTCCATCTATCCACTCATCCATCCATCCATCCATCCATCCATCCATCCACATATCAGTCCATTTACCCATTTATCCATCTATCCATCCATCCATCCATATATCCACCCATCCATCCATCCACTCATCCATCTATCCATCCATCCATCCATCCATCCATCCATCCATCCATCCATCCATCCACTCATGTATTCATCCATTTACCTACCTGTTCATCCATCCATCTATCCATTCATCCATCCATCCATCCATCCATCCATCCATCCATCCACTCATGTATCCATCTATTTACCTACCTGTTCATCCATCCATCCATCCATCCATCCATCCATCCATCCATCCATCCATCCATTATTTATGAGTACCAAATAGGTGTAATGTACCATTCTAAATATCTGAGTTACAGTGATTGTAATTCACGAGGTCCTTGTCCTCGTGAAACCTACATTCTAGTGGGGAAAGCAGGTGAAAATGTATGTTATGGATTGAATAGTATCCCTCCAAATGATATGTCCATGTCCTAACTTCTGTACCTGTGAGTGTGACCTTATTTGGAAATAGATCTTTGCAGGTGGAATCAAGTGAAGATGAGGTCATTCTGCAGTAGGGTGGGCCCTACTCCAATCACTGGTGTCCTTGTAAGAAGAGAGCAGTTTGGACACAGCCACAGATGCACAGGGGAGAGGTGTGAAGATGGAGGAGGAGCCTGGAGGGGGGCATCTACAAACCTCAGAACACCAAGCACTTCTGGCACCACCAGGAGTAAGAGACATGGAGCAAATTCTCCTGTAGAGCCTTCGGGGGAAGCAGGGCTCTGCAGACATCTCAACTTGAGCTTTCTGGCCTTCACAATGGTCACAGAAGAATTCCTGTAGTTTGAAGCCCCCAGCATATGGTAATTTGTCTTGGCAGCCCCAACTCATGCAATGTGCAACTTCACATCAGGCAAGAGAACAGGAAAGCAGAGAGGGCTTGGGTCAGCAGGAAGGTCCTTGCGGAAATGACAGGACAAGATGAGAGTCTGGGCCCTGCGAGGACTTGGGGAAGTTGGGGAGGGTGCTTCTGGCAGAGGGGAAGGCAGCCCCCACTGGAAGCCTGCGCGGAATCGGCTCCCGGTGGCGGAAGCAGCAGGAGAGCGGCCATGCTGGTTCTGGGTCCAGGAGGATGGCCGGGCTGAGAACCTCCCAGGCCAGGCAGTAACCTGGGAGGCAGGAGGGCCTGTGCAGGGAACTGACCATCTGTGAGCAACAGCAGGGGTATCACAGCCTTGATGGCTGTGAACAGACTGTGGAAAGGGCAGAGCAGGCAGCTATGTGGCGAGAAGACAGGGCTTGGTTTGGGGAGCAGCGGGGCCTGGGGAGGGAAGATTCTAGTGGACGGCCTCTGTGGAGGGATATGATGGAGATGGTGGTACCCAGAGGCCGGGGGCACCTTGGCTTCCATCCTGAGCAATTGGGAGAGGGACAGGGACTGGGAGTCTGGCTGGGACACTAAGGAAAGAAAGGTCTCTGGCCTGGGGTGGGGGAGTGGGGAGAGTGGCTGCAGGTGGCCTGGTTGGGGAAGGTGTAGACAGGGAACCAGCGAACAGTTGAGAATGCATGCCTGCCAAGCGACCAAGAGTGAGCAGTGGACAGATATTCTTCTACGTCGGTTTCCACAAAGGACCTCTTTCAGTAACTGCCCTGGGGTCCCCGTGACCCCTCCAGTTTCCCTGACTTGCTAGGAGAGCTCCCGGGACTTAGGATATGGTCCTGTCACTGCTATGACTCATTGCAATGAGAGGTGCATGGCGAAGTCCAGGAACCCCTCCTCAGAGTCACATGGGAGGCTGAATTTCCCAGCACATGCTGTGACCCCATGTGTGACATGCTGTCTGTTAGGGAGGCTCGTTAGAGACCCTTCCCAGGGCTTTACTCGGGGCTGGTCTCATAGGCTGCCTCGCTTGGTGCCACCAAGATTCCAGCCTTCAGAGGAAAGGCGCTGTTCTGCACAGACCATGTGGTGCTCACAGCTGTTCCGGCACAGCGAACCACCCTCCCGGTTAGGGCATGGTGGGTGGGAGCACTCTGGAAACCCGCATTCCCAGACCACACCCCGGGACCTAGCTCACCACAGGCCTGCCTAAGAGTGGACGGCTCCAGGCTGCAGTGTGAACTCTTTTCTGCACAATTACTAAGAGGCAGGAAAGTCATAAAGACGTTGGTGAGGAAAAGATGTTTCTCATGTGGTTTGGTTCACACTAAAAATACTTTGAGGGCATTTCTTCACGTGGACTGAGAAGACACATAACTTGGGGGATGTTAAGTTGTTAAACTAAATGTCTGGAAGAGTGTTGTCTTCTGAGAAAGAGTCCTCCACCCTCCGCTCCGTACAGCCTTGGTATCAGCAGCTCTGAAGATGAAGCCGTAGGAGCAGCCTCTCGGGTGGAAGATTCTACGTCTCTTGGCAGCAGCTCTCAGGGAGAGTGGGACTGACACATTTCCCACCTGAGTTAAGTTTGTACTTGGTAAGGTTAGGTGACCCCCGCTCTGGTGCACACACACCCACGTGTACACACACACACGCAAACAGGCAGAGCACCACCAGAATTGGAACCCAGGTTCAGCAATTCTTGTAGAAACTTTAAATAAAAATGCAATTTCCTCTTGCATTAATAGCACTATTGACTAAGCCAGATGACAGCCTGCTAGCCTCCCAGGTGGCTGACCTTGGGCGATGCTGTAGATAAAACAATGCCTGTGAAGATGCACCTTTTTTTTTTTTTTTTTTTGAGATGGAGTCTCACTCTGTCGCCCAGGTTGGAGTGTGATGGCACAATCTCAGCTCACCGCAACCTCCGCCTCCCGGGTTCACGCCATTCTCCTGCGTCAGCCTCCCAAGTAGCTGGGATTACAGGCGCCTGCCACTGTGCCCAGCTAATTTTTTGTATTTTTAGTAGAGACTGGGTTTCACTATGTTGGCCAGGCTGGTCTCGAACTCCTGACCTCGTGATCCACCTGCCTCGGCCCCGCAAAGTGCTTGGATTACAGGTGTGAGCCACCGTGCCCAGCCTCTACTTTTAAGCCATCATGAGCACTTGGACTCCAATGCAGCTCCTTTCTTTATTTCTCAGTGTATTTCCCGGGGTCTTTGGCCAACTGCAGCGGGTGGCCTTTTTTGAATCTGAGAACGCACGGTGACACAGGCCCCTTCAGCACTGAGGTCTCATCTGGGGGATGCGAAGAGGGGAGGGCACCAGTTCTGGGGGTGGTGGCATGGGAGGAGTGAGGTGGGGTTGCTTTCCTTCTGCTGCTGATAGTCGTGGATGTTTGCACACTTACAACTCTCGCTCATTGGAAAAAGGATTCCAGTGCTTCTGATTTTTTTAATCAAAATCATCTGGGTTGAGAAACTGCCCTGTAAGTGAGACGTATCATGCAGTCCACATAAGACCTGGTTCCAAGGCAGGTTAACCTGCTCTCACATACATTACAGATGTTTGCCAACAGCAAAGTGTAAAGCCAGCAGTTGGAACCCAGGGTCGCGGTGGTCTCGTCCATGCACCCAAGGGATTGCGTACGGCTGCCAGTGTGACTGTGCTGGCTGAGCCCTGTGCCTGAAAAATAGGTCACCTGCTCCAGGACAAGTGCGGAAAAGGCAGGACCAGGTGGGGCGGGAGACTTCGGTGGCACCGTTCTTCCATGACCACTGGTGAAATTCAACTATGTAAGAACGCTAAGCTTTATAACATATTATTAAGTACATCATTGCACTGTAGTGTTTGAAAAAGCAACGTGAAGAATACTGTGGTCAGTACAAAGCTGCAGTTTTTGCAGGGTGCAATGCTTATTTATAGGTTGCAAGAACAACAGAAATGATTAGTCTGATTTTATAGCTGTGCTTTATGTTCTCTAGCTAATATAAATTAATGCAAATGTGAAAGGAAAACAATAGCTATATTGTACATAATTAAATGCATTAACAAAACACAAGAACATCTGAATACTAATATTTTTGCAACAGTTGGGCTTTGTGTCCCTGAATGCAGTTATTTGTGAGGCACAGAGAAGGGCATTTTTGTCCCCAAAGTAGCTTCTCCCAACACATAAGAAGTATGCGAAGAAGTCTAAATCTATGGATGTGCAGCGTTTTTGGTAGGGGCGAGTGCAGTTTAGTCGTTAATATTGCCTTCAGTCAAACGAAATCCCAATGCAGACTTTTACATTTGGATATTTATAGAGCAGAGCATTATTACACAATTAGTGAAACATGCAGATCTACATTTTCCAAAATATGTACTTATAATATTTTCTGTGGTATTAATCGATTTCTGCAATTGCAGGAAAACTTCCTTAAACAACAACACCACACCCTAATCTTATTGCTAGGACAATGCTGGCCTTTAGAAGGTGGTGATATTCAAATCACTGACCATCTGTGAGCAACAACAGGGGTATCATGTATCTCCGAGTGGTTTCTGAGGCACAGAAATGCACAGCAGGACGCAGCTGTGATATGTGGGGGATAGCGTTTACTAAATAAAGAAACTCAGGCGTCATGACCTGAGGAAGCTCATCTTCCACTGAGGTGGTGTTAATGAAAGGTCACGTGGCCTCATTTTTACAGTGTGACTGGCTGCTTCCAGTGGCTCATCCCCAGCACACAAGCGTCGCCAGGTCCTGCCACTCCTTCTTTTGGACTATTTCTTATGTGACCACAACCCCCCGCTTCCTTTGCTTGCTGCCGCTTTCTGCTGGGGCTCTCACTGCGACATCGTGGCTAATTCCCTCATCTCCAGGATCCCTTCGTGGGTTCCACTGCCTGCACAACCGCTGGACCATCCGTAAAGGGCTTTGCAACACAAGGCTCCTAACTCATGCGCCTGCACGGACTCCTCATTCTATGAGCTCCAAGGACACACTCCTCTCTCTGCCATTGGGTTCCCTTGTTCTCCTCCGTGGCGCCATGTGCAATGCTGCAGGCCCTTGACCTCTGTGGTCTCAACAATGGCCACGCTGCTGCCTCTGCCTCCAGGTCCCCACCCTGGGGAGGCTGGCCCTGGGAGGCCCAGACACCCTTCTCCGAGTGCGTCTTACCCTCCAGTACCACAGAGTCACTCCTTAGTTCTCTTCTAATCGCCTCATATTTGCTTTGTTCTCTCCAGTCAAGTGACCTCCTCTCCGAGGGCCAGGGACCAGGCTCTGTTTATTCTCTAACATATCTGGGATGGTGTGGGGCCTCCACAGATGTCCAACAAGCATTGAACGTTTGCTAATAGAAGATGCTGATATTTACTGGAGTATACTCCAAAAGGAAAGACACCAAACCCCCCACTCTTCTTTGCTAGAAAAACTTAGATTTTGGCATGATAGCTGTTAAGCTGCTTTTTATATACTTATTTTTAAGTCAGCCTCTACACCCATGGTCTAAAGCAAGCTTGTCCAACCTGCAGCCCACAGGCCGCATGCAGCCCAGGATGCCTTTGAACGCAGCCCAATACAAATTCATAAACTTTCTTAAAACATTATGAGTTATTTTGTGACTTTTTTCTTTAGCTCATCAACTATTGTTAGTGTATTTTATGTGTGACCCAAGACAATTCTTCTTCTTCCAATGTGGCCCAGGGAAGCCAAAAGATTGGATACCCCGGTCTAAAGAATTCTGTTTAGAAATTAATTTCTGTAGCAAAATTTCACTCTTTCTGGTTCTGCAGAGAGTTTTCTAATATGGTAAATAAAACCATTTAGCATGGCTCTGAAGTTCCAGAATACAGAATTAAACTTTTCTGCTTTATCCTTTCCTAAAGTCCAAACCCTAATTTATGCTTTTGGATGTGTTGCTCAGATGAAACATGGATGGCCAAGCGGGACCGCCTTCCACAAGCCCCAGGCCCTCGTGCTCTGCAGTTTCCTTGGAGCAAATCAAAGCATGTGGGCGACGGAGAATCGGCCGTCGTGGCAGCGCCAGGGCCTGCAGTCGCCAGGGTGGGGCTGAGGCCAGGGCCGGAGGTCTGGGCAGAACCACAGGGAAGGACCTTGGAGGCCGACCTCAGTCCCAACACTGACCAGCCGATGTGCTCCAGCAAGTCGCTGAGCCCAGATGTGCCTGTTTCTGTGTTTATGAGATGGGAGCATTCATTTCTATTCTTACCTGAAATAACCCCAGGCTCCTTTCCGCAGCAGCACACTGACCTGGGTGACGTGTCCTCCCCATGCCACCCTCCCACAAACGCTGCCTTCCACCCACAGCACCCGCAGAGAGTGGCAGAGAGGGCATTCCTGAGCAGATTGCAGGAGTTTTGGGAGGTGCATGTGTGCATTCTCGTAACTCTCCGAGGCGGGTGGTTTTAGTAGCCCTTTTATTCATACCAGAAACTGAGACTTAGCAAAGTTAAGGTGGGATTGATGGAGGAGCTGCCGTTCACTCCTGCCTAAACTCCCTCCGTATGTTCTAGAAACGCAGGCGATCCCCCACCTCTAGCTGTCTGACACCAGCCCTTCTCCAGCCCAAAGTGGCTTTCACTGCAGCCAGGCTTTTCCTCTCAGGGTAAAATTGAACTGCAGATAATCGATGGCTGACGCATCTGTGGCTAGCAGCTGCTTCACGGAGGGCTGACCAGGAGAGACCCAGAGGCTTTCTGATCTGTCGGGAGCCAAGAGCTGAGCCAGGGCCCCCGCCTGCAGCCACAGGGACCTCGAGTGCACTCAGCGGTCTTGGTGCACCATAGCCACCTGGACATCGATACGTTAATGACTGTTAAACATGAACAAAAGCCGAGTCCCACACTCCAGGACATTCAACACCCACCCGACAGTCTGTCCGAGTGTTACCTCCAACAGTATGAAGCTCACCGTGCAACGGCTCCAGGCTTGTTTAGGAAACTGTCCCACTCTCATCTTGCTCTAATCAGAACATGGCAGGAATCAAATATCCATACCTGACTGTCTCCAGTAGAATGGTGATGACAGAGCGGACACTGTCCTCTATTGAAATACTTTTTTTTTTTTTTTTTTTTACCTAGAGCATGTTTCTCGTGCTCCATTCCCCTGCATCCGTGGAAATCACATCGCACAAGTAACTTCCATCAAAACCAGCACGTGTGAGAGACAAACATCTGGGTTCCCAGGCACACCCCACACCCTGAGTAAACCAGGACGGACAGGCCGAGGTTCCGCTGCTGCCTTTCTGGCACACGCAGGGGAGCAGTGGGCAGCGGGTTACTCCCTCTCCGAAAAACCGTCCTTCTCCCCATGCCCTGCGGCACCGTGAGTGCATCGCTCATCCCGCTCGCTGTGCTCCCAGCCTGTGCCATGGAACCTGCTCAACTGCGGAGCCTGGGATGAGGCTGAGCCTGTTGCTCTTCCTGTTGAGTTTGGTTTCGACCACCCTGCATGAATCTTTGTGCTTCCAATGCTTCTGGTCAGGGGGCCCTGCCGCCTCGTTTCAGGGACGGTGCCTGCAGGCCGCTGTCTGTGCCTGAACTCAGCGCTTTTCACGCTGGCTTGACCCACGGAGGGCGGCTGTCAGCCGCAACCGGAGGCAGAGCGCGGGCGTTCTGAGGCTATTGGATGAGGCTCGCTGGTGATACCTTCTGGGTTTGCAACTTTGTTCTAAAGCCAGGGGTTTTCAGGCCAACAGAAATGCATTTAGTTAGTAATCCAGAGCATGCCATAGGAAAACATAACGAATAAAACTAGAATAAAACATAACGCAGAAATCACCTTCTCCACGAAGGCAATCACACTACCCAATTTAACTATAACACGGTGGACTTCTGTGGATGAGATGATACTATCCTTCTTTTCACTACAATTAATTAAATGTTGTCCCCTTTTATTAGAGATCTCAAAACATTAGACCTAAGGGATCATCCAAATATAATTTCACTAGGGAATTTTAATAAAATGTCCAAGCAGATCTTAAATGGGGAGGATGGCTTCAGGCTGGAAGTTTGAGACAACCCTGAGCAACGCAGCAAGACCTTGTCTTTACAAAAAAAATTAAAAATTAGCTGGGATGGTCTCATGTACCTGTAGTCCCAGCTCCTCAGGAGGCTGAGGTGGGAGGATCACTTAAGCCCAGGAAGTTGAGGCTGCAGTCAGCTATTATCAAGCCACTGCACTCCAGCATGGGCAACAGAGCAAGACCCCGTCTCTAAATAAATACATAATTTTTTTCTGTCAAAATATCTGGTGGACATCACGTCCAAGCAGATCTTAAATGAGACAGAAGGCAATGAAAATTACCATCCCTCAGGTAACTTGAGGGTTTCCCAACAATAAGCTCTAAGACATGCAGTGGAGGCTTAGCCTGCCGTGAGTCGCCACTGTTGGCTTATTTTATGTATTTGCATCGTTCCCATCTAAATGGGGATTCCCAGACTTCATAGGCCAGTAAAATAGGAAAAGTTAGGGATGAAAATGACAGGCCTTTGTCTCGCCACCTCAAAACTCCCAAGTTTTTATTTTGCCAGCTAAGACATTAAAAAAAAAGCAGACAACTACCATGTACTGGGAATATAATTTCACAAAAGAATTTTGGAATCAGTAGAATGGGAAGAGCCTGTCCTCAGGATGAAAGGCTATGGAATACACTTAGCTTCATTAAAGTGACATTGTAGGGTTGCTTTTTGATCTGCTGCAAAGACCCTGTATCTGCCTGCACACGCCTGCCCGCACACGCCTGCTGAGGCCCACCGAGCAGAGGCTGCAACGTCTAGCCCTGCTGGTGTCCCCCTGGGCAGGGGCAGGGCCAGGGACAGCATCAGAGAGCACCAGGTCTCCGACAGATAAGACATTCAGACCCAGCTCCCCGCCCTCGGCACACATTCCAGACCCCACAGGCCCCTTGCATACACATAGAGCTCACAACTCTCATTTGGCCACAGACAACTAAAAACTTCCCCACAGAGGGGCTTTTGGTAACCACTTTTCTGTATATTTTCAACATGACGTCCACCAGATATTTTGACAGAAAAAAATTATTTATTTATTTAGAGATGGGGTCTTGCTCAGTTGCCCATGCTGGAGTGCAGTGGCTTGATAATAGCTGACTGCAGCCTCAACTTCCTGGGCTTAAGTGATCCTCCCACCTCAGCCTCCTGAGGAGCTGTGACTACAGGTACATGAGACCATCGCAGCCAATTTTTAATTTTTTTTTGTAAAGACAAGGTCTTGCTGTGTTGCTCAGGGTTGTCTCAAACTTCCAGCCTCAAGCCATCCTCCTGTCTTGGCTTCCCAAGTAGCTGGCATGAGCCACTGCCCCAGCTAATTTTTATTTATTTATTTATTTATTTTTTTATTGATCATTCTTGGGTGTTTCTTGCAGAGGGGGATTTGGCAGGGTCATAGGACAATAGTGGAGGGAAGGTCAGCAGATAAACAAGTGAACAAAGGTCTCTGGTTTTCCTAGGCAGAGGACCCTGCGGCCTTCCGCAGTGTTTGTGTCCCTGGGTACTTAAGATTAGGGAGTGGTGATGACTCTTAACGAGCATGCTGCCTTCAAGCATCTGTTTAACAAAGCACATCTTGCACCGCCCTTAATCCATTTAACCCTGAGTGGACACAGCACATGTTTCAGAGAGCACAGGGTTGGGGGTAAGGTCACCGATCAACAGGATCCCAAGGCAGAAGAATTTTTCTTAGTACAGAACAAAATGAAAAGTCTCCCATGTCTACCTCTTTCTACACAGACACGGCAACCATCCGATTTCTCAATCTTTTCCCCACCTTTCCCCCCTTTCTATTCCACAAAACCGCCATTGTCATCATGGCCCGTTCTCAATGAGCTGTTGGGTACACCTCCCAGACGGGGTGGTGGCCGGGCAGAGGGGCTCCTCACTTCCCAGTAGGGGCGGCCGGGCAGAGGCGCCCCTCACCTCCCGGACGGGGCGGCTGGCCGGGCGGGGGGCTGACCCCCCCCCACCTCCCTCCCGGACGGGGCAGCTGGCTGGGCAGAGGGGCTCCTCACTTCCCAGTAGGGGCGGCCGGGCAGAGGCGCCCCTCACCTCCCGGACGGGGCGGCTGGCCAGGCGGGGGGCTGATCCCCCCACCTCCCTCCCGGACGGGGTGGCTGCTGGGCGGAGGGACTCCTGACTTCTCAGACGGGGCGGCCGGGCAGAGACGCTCCTCACTTCCCAGATGTGATGGCGGCCGGGCAGAGGCGCTCCTCACTTCCCAGATGGGATGGCGGCCGGGCAGAGACTCTCCTCACTTTCCAGACTGGGCAGCCAGGCAGAGGGGCTCCATCCCAGACAATGGGCGGCCAGGCAGAGACGCTCCTCACTTCCCAGACGGGGTGGCGGCCGGGCAGAGGCTGCAATCTCGGCACTTTGGGAGGCCAAGGCAGGCGGCTGGGAGGTGGAGGTTGTAGCGAGCCGAGATCTCGCCACTGCACCCCAGCCTGGGCACCATTGAGCACTGAGTGAACGAGACTCCGTCTGCAATCCCGGCACCTCGGGAGGCCGAGGCTGGCGGATCACTCGCGGTTAGGAGCTGGAGACCAGCCCGGCCAACACAGCGAAACCCCGGCTCCACCAAAAAAATACGAAAACCAGTCAGGCGTGGCGGCGCGCGCCTGCAATCGCAGGCACTCGGCAGGCTGAGGCAGGAGAATCAGGCAGGGGGGTTGCAGTGAGCCGAGATGGCAGCAGTACAGTCCAGCTTCGGCTCGGCATCAGAGGGAGACCGTGGAAAGAGAGGGAGAGGGAGACCGTGGGGAGAGGGAGAGGGAGGGGGAGGGGGAGGGGGAGGGGGAGAGGGACCCCAGCTAATTTTTTAAACTTTTTGCAGAGATGGGGTCTTGCCACGTTTCCCAGACTTGTCTCAAACTCCAGGTCTCAAGCAATCCTTCTGCCTTGGCCTCCCAAAGTGCTGGGATGACAGGCATGAGACATTGTGCCCATCCCTGATTTATTTCAGAGATCAACATAATAATAGACTCACTCGTTCTCCACATTTTTACCTTGGCTTTAAAAGTAGTATGTTTTGGTAGCGCATCTAGTTAGGTTTAAAGCCCAGAGTACAATTTTGGTTAGTTTTGAGTGTTCTATGTTCCCATAAAATGACCACACACACACACACAAACACACACACACACACGCAGTCACCACTGACCTGATTTGACAGATCTGTCCTCTACCACCAGGAAATTTAGCCCGGAAACTAATAATTTTCCTGGCTCAAAAATCCAGGTTTCCAGCTTACCGTCCACAGATATCCTTCTTGTAGGTCTGACCCACACAGGGAACCTAGACACAATCTTAGGGGCCTCACAGGGCCCCACTCCCCAGCCACCAAAATGCACTTCCAGATCATCTTTTTAGGGCCTAGAGTCCACACGATTGCCTAAGGAAATTTTGGGATCTATCACATTAAAATACAAGCAACTGGAAAGGAGAGTCCCCAGAGGCTCAGGCAATGGTTAGGAGGCTGGGAATCAGGCAATGGTTAGGAGGCTGGGAATCAGACAATGGTTAGGAGGCTGGGAATGGCTCCTGGAAATATTACTGCTTCTTCCTTTATTTTCCATGATTGGCAATCCAGCTATAAGGCCATACAGTATCCGAGGCAGAAAGTACTGGAAGGAGACCCAAGAGCCCATGGTACTATTCACGTAGGGACTCTGTGTGGAAAGAGCTCTGAACAGGGCAGCCACTTCTGAGGGCTGACGAGGCCTCCACACAGGGACGGGAAGGGACAGGAAGGGACGGGAAGCTTTGGTTACTTTTGTCTTAAATGCACAATGGCAGAATTCATTGGAGCAGGACGGCCCTGTGGTACCGGTACATGGAACAATTTTCTCTGACAGTGATTTGCAATCTGGTTTTCTAGCCCACAGTTGCTTTAGGAAGTATTTTCCAAAAATAAATCCATATATCTAAATACACCAAAATGTGTTATTTTCCATAATTGCTCAAATTAATCCTTAGCTGCTAACTAAAAACAGCAGCATGGAACAGGTCAAGGAAACTATTATTGTGGAATTCACACAATGGAAAAATGTTTAATTATTTGGTTTGTGATTTGGTGTTTTTAAAGCTATGCTTTTTTAAACATACACATTTCTCCCATATCCTTTTATCAGACGGTATCTTCAAGGTGACTGAGGCTACCGGGGCCACTGTGTGATCTAGATTCCTGTAACTGACCCTGTTTCAGACCTTCTCTTATGGGGACCAGTTGTCACTGCAAAATAAGAGTCTGCATAGCTAAGTTCAAGTCAAGTCCTTCGGGGGCAACCTGGTATCTGTGGAAGAGGGAATTCTGAAGTCACAAAACCATTCTTTATGGTCAAGAAACTCTAAAGCCATACAGACACTGTTTTAGAGAAATAAAGAAAAGTTATCCAATTCTTCAGCCATTGCAAAAAAAAAAAATCCTATTTTCAGAAAATCAAAAGAAGGTGATACTGTTTCCTCTAGCCCAGGAAAAACCATATAAAAACTCCACACTAAACTGAAATAAGATAATACAACTTTCCTCAAGTGGCCTTTCTAAATTTTAATTCTCAATTTGCTTCTAATGGTGGTGAGACGTTTTGGAGTTGTTACAATTGGCTTTTTACCTAAAGCAGTTTGGCAGATGCCAGACAGACCCCCGAGGCTGTGAGCATGCCCGCCCTGCTGCCCACCCTCTCACACCCCGTGTGGGCCACCACCTGCCCTGCCAGCCTCTGCTCAGAGCCTCCACCCTCACCTGCAGACACCTCCAATTCCCCTACAAGCGCAGATTTCAGGAACACGTGAAGAAAGCTAAGAAAAAGGAGGCAGGGAGTATTCCATTTGTTTAGACCTGAAGCCGGTCAGGTTCTCATTTTTGTGGATGTTTTGACGCAAGTAATTCACTATCTGGACACAATTTCCAGGGTACTGTTCTGTAAGTGAGCTCCTTGATGTCTTTAACACTGGGTGTGCTGACATATCTAATAGACGAACATCTTGTTGCATTTTACATGCTAAGCTGCAGAAGAAACAATGCACCAGGGCCTATTTGCAGACCATCAGCCTCTTGGCACGAGGAGGGCATTGCCCGTGCAGCTCTGCTGGCTCTAATGGGCTCCTGGTCCGTGCCTCTCCATTTGGCCACCTTGGACAGGCTGTACACTGGCTGCAGAGTGGGCCGCAGGTGACCTCTCTCATGGATGGGGAGAGGCTTGCAGGCTGTGCCCAGTGGGAGCCAGGGCTTTTGTCGAGCACTCAGCTCCAGCTCCTGTCCAGCAGATAGATAGTCTGCTCCCTGCCTGTGAAGAGTCGGACAGAAACTTTGAGCGATGGCAACGACAACAAGTGTGTTTTCTGGGGGTGGAGGTGAGGAGAGCTTGGGGCTAAAGGTGCAGAACCGAGCTTTAAGCTGTGGCCCCTTGTCCCACTGGAGAAGGCGCCGGGGGCACGCAGGGCCTCCACTCTCCTGGCCCCTCTCAAGGAGGCCGAGCCCTGCAGAGACCATGGAATTTGGAAGTGTGGGCCAGGGCCAAAGAGGACGCTCCTTGTTTGTGGAATACTTGTGTCACGGCGCGCTGTGCTTGGGGTCACCAGGGAGGGCAAAGGAAACAAAAAGGGCCATGGTGTGGCCTGTGGATTTGCGATGGCAGAAATTCTGCATCTATGAGAGGCATGTGGCTGCCTGCCAGGCTTCCCGCAGAGATTTCTTGAAAACTTTCCCACAAACGAGGCTCATCAACCCACCCATCTCACACCAATGCCTCCTTTGTGTGCCCAGAACATATAGTTTTTATTTGCTCCACATAGCTCACCCCTGGCACCTCCCACGGCAGGGAAGAGGCCACAGGAGAGGCAGCCGTGTGCTAGGGGAGCCTCAGGAGGGTGGGGACGGGGTCGGCGAGGCGCGGCCATGCGCTGGCCAGTCACCCCTGTGAGGCTGCACACACTGAGCTCAGGTTCCTTCCTCCTTCAGCGCGGTGACAGTCCACATGCCCAGCTTCCCTAACACGGTTGGCGTAGAGATAAGAGATTCTTAAAGAGCCCAATATTCATGTAGATTCGGTTAGGTTGTGCAGCCTTTGGTGAATTTCACAGTGACTTGTACCAACACTGGACAGACCCAGAGCAGTCATAAGAAAGTGGCATCACAGGTAGTACTAGGAATTGCTTCTCAGGGGGAGCAAAGAACTTAAAAAAATTATTCCTAGCTCTTGGCCAATTTGACATAGTGGCAGCTCAAAACACACTAGTTGAACTGAGTTGAATTTGGACTTTTAGAAAAGGTCTGGAGGCCAATATGGCTGACTTTGTTTAATTTTTTTATTTTTATTTTTTGAGGCTGAGTCTCACTCTGTGACCCAGGCTGGAGTGCGGAGGCATGATCTCAGCTCACTGTAGCCTCCACCTCCCAGGTTCAAGTGATTCTCCTGCCTCAGCCTCCTGAGTAGCTAGGATTACAGGTGTGCACCACCACGTCCAGATAATTTTTGTACTTTTAGTAGAGATGGGGTTTTGCCACATTGGCCAGGTTGGTTTTGAACTCCTGGGCTGAAGTCATCTGCTTGCCTTGGCCTCCCAAAGTGCTGGAGTTACAGGTATGAGCCACTCCACCCAGCCAAACATGGCTGACTTTGATTCTTGGTTCTATCATCTACTGTGTGACCTTGAGCACATAATTTAATCTCTTTAAGGCTTGGTTGCCTCATTTGCAAAACTGATATAACAGCTGGAGCTCCCCCATGCATTGCTCTGATGAGCGCTTGCAGTGCATGTCATAAAATGTCCTTGGTCTTGGTGCACAATTGGGGCTTTTGTTGTTGCTGCTATCAAAATGTTTCTAAAACTACTCTGGAAACACCTTGTGCACAGGAGTAAGGCCCTATACAGTTTTCATCCTTCCATCCACCTCCCATCCATCATTTACCCGTCCACATATCCATCCATCCATCCATGCATTCACTCACCCATCTACTAGTCCACTCATCTATTCGTCCACCCATCTACCCATGTATCTACTCATCCATCCATATATCAATTTATCCATCTATCCACCCATCCATTCACCCAGCATCTGTCCATCCATTTATCTACCTATGCATCAATCCACCCATCCATCCATCCATCCATCCATCCATCCATCCATCCACCCACTCACCCATCCACACACCCACCCACATATCCATTTATCCATCCATCCATCCATCCACATATCCATTTATCCATCCATCCACACATCCACCCATCTGATACTCACATAGTGCCTTGAGTTAGGCACAGTTCTAAGGATGCTCCCACTAATCCTCACCCTGACAGAGTCCCGCTCCCCACTGCACCCCTCATCCGCAGTATGGTGGAGCCTATCTATGATGAAGTGTCTCTTGTGATTGTTACCTAATGGGGCAAAAAAAAAAAAAAAAAAAAAAAAGATTACCTGGGGCCCTCAGACCTAATCACAGGAGCCTTTAGGCAGGGTTTTCTCCACTGGTGGCAGAAGTGGAAGTCAGAGAGATTCTAGGCTGAGAAGGATTTGAAGCGCCAGGGATGCCTTGAAGACAGAGGGGACCATGTGCATGTCCAGAGAGTGGCCCCTGGGACCTGAGAGTGACTCCTGCCACCACTAGCAAGGATGGGGGAAGTGGGCCCATTCTACAGTCTACAGAGCTGAATTCTACTGGCAACTGGGTGAGCTGGGGAGTGGGTTCCCTCCCAGAGCCTCTAAGAAGAGCCTGGCCGCTGACTCCTTAATGCTAGGCCTGGAGACCGGGAGTGCAGACTCCAGTTGAGCCTGACCCAGAGACCCAGAGTACAGACCCCAGTTGAGCCTGCCCTGACTTTTGACCTACAAAACTTTGAGCTCATAAACCTGTTTCAAGCTGTAAAATATGTGGTGATTTGCTACACGGCAATAGAAAAACAGATGCCTGCCTCCCACAGTGGAGCCTCCCGCTGCCTCTGGGAGCCAGGGCTGCAGGTACACAGGTGGACAGAACAGTCCCTGCCCTCATTTTGCTTGTGGATTAGAAGACGGAAATTAATAAAATCCAGTGGTGCGTTTTATGCCCTCCCTGATCGCTCCTTCGGAGATTCTCTTGCTTTGCGACCATTGGCTCACCCACCTGGTGCAGCCCCTGCCTCTCCTTGGTGGGCTCCTGGGACTTCAGCTTCGGTGGGCGACGTCCTCTTTGTACCATTTGCTCCAGGGCCCCCGTGCACCATTATCTCAGCCCTCTTTATTAGCTTTTCTCCAACTGTGTTTCCTGAAGCCCGGGTGTGCTGCATGATGTCAAAAGCTGGTCTTTGAAAAAGCACTGCTCCGTGGCTAAACTGCTAGGAAAGCACTTCTGTATTTCAAGACTCCTCAGGGGCTTCAATGTGCGGAGCCGGAGGATGCAGCATGCCCCAAGTTTACCTTCCATGGAAGCACAGCTCCCCGGGCACCCAGCAGCCCTCTGAGAACAGGCTCCGGGGCACAGGCTGTGTGATGCTGCTGAAACTTTGCCCAGGTTTCCTCTGCTTCTCCAGGTGGCTGCTTCTTACGCATTCCGTACTCATACTCATTCTAAGCTGGTGATCAACCCATGGCTTTCACAGTAACTGGGACCCACCTGTGTCCCGGGACGTACACACTGCATTCTAAGTGTCTCTTTGCCCACATATCACCACTGTACGCCCTTTGGAATAGTTTTTCTCTATGATTGGAATGTTGTGTGCCCAGTAGATGTCCACTAAATATTTCTGAGTAAAGAAGGCTGTTAAATTTTACCAATCTATCCTGTTTTTCTCTTTCTCAGTTCAAAATGTGCTTCAGTCAAAGATGCGAACCATCTGTCCACGTCTCCATTAGGAATCAGCCTTTGGCTGAGGAAGGCCAGTGCTCTCCCTGTGCTAGGATGAGAAACGTGCATCACTCATGCAGAGCTGTCTGTGAACTGTCTTGACCAGCAACAACACAGCCCCTGCAGACGACGCTAATGCAATGCCGTGACACCACACGTCACGCTGCAGGTGAAGGGGGGGGGACCATGAGGCTGACTTATTTTCATACAAATTAAATACACTGCTGGAGCTAAGTCTATAATCCTATGTTTCTGAGAAAAAATACTTTACACAAAGCAAATGGTCATCATATTGAGGGAGGGGCCTTTCAGAACAAACACGTTGCCAGGAAAGACTCTCCTGCAAACATTACTGCTTAAGAATTCTTTCAAACTCAAGGGACTTTAAAGCTTTTTTGGGTAAGAAAACACTCCTTAAAATCATTCTGCTGACTGAGAACTTACTAGGACAGGCTCCTAGGAAATGCAGAGGCGTTTTTCTCATAGAGTAAATAGAACCGTCAGTTCTTGGGTCAAATTGGAGGAAAAGTGAAAGGAAGAGAAGATGTGACTCATGTCATGGTCACATTTTGGAGACAGAGCTGAGCAAGTGCTGGTCACGTTTTGGAGGACTGAGCTGAGCAAGTGCTGGTCACATTTTGGAGGACTGAGCTGAGCAAGTGCTGGTCACATTTTGGAGGACTGAGCTGAGCAAGTGCTGGTCACATTTTGGAGACTGAGCTGAGCAAGTGCTGGTCACATTTTGGAGACAGAGCTGAGCAAGTGCTGGTCACATTTTGGAGGACTGAGCTGAGCAAGTGCTGGTCACATTTTGGAGGACTGAGCTGAGCAAGTGCTGGTCACATTTTGGAGACTGAGCTGAGCAAGTGCTGGTCACATTTTGGAGACAGAACTGAGCAAGTGCTGCTCACGTTTCAGAGGACTGAGCTGAGCAAGTGCTGGTCACATTTTGGAGGACTGAGCTGAGCAAGTGCTGGTCACATTTTGGAGGACTGAGCTGAGCAAGTGCTGGTCACATTTTGGAGACTGAGCTGAGCAAGTGCTGGTCACATTTTGGAGGACTGAGCTGAGCAAGTGCTGGTCACATTTTGGAGGACTGAGCTGAGCAAGTGCTGGTCACATTTTGGAGACTGAGCTGAGCAAGTGCTGGTCACATTTTGGAGACAGCTGAGCAAGTGCTGGTCACGTTTCAGAGGACTGAGCTGAGCAAGTGCTGGTCACATTTTGGAGGACTGAGCTGAGCAAGTGCTGGTCACATTTTGGAGACTGAGCTGAGCAAGTGCTGGTCACATTTTGGAGACAGAGCTGAGCAAGTGCTGCTCACGTTTTGGAGGACTGAGCTGAGCAAGTGCTGGTCACATTTTGGAGGACTGAGCTGAGCAAGTGCTGGTCACGTTTTGGAGACTGAGCTGAGCAAGTGCTGGTCACATTTTGGAGACTGAGCTGAGCAAGTGCTGGTCACATTTTGGAGACTGAGCTGAGCAAGTGCTGGTCACGTTTTGGAGGACTGAGCTGAGCAAGTGCTGGTCACATTTTGGAGGACTGAGCTGAGTAAGTGCTGGTCACATTTTGGAGACAGAGCTGAGTAAGTGCTGGTCACATTTTGGAGACAGAGCTGAGCAAGTGCTGGTCACATTTTGGAGACAGAGCTGAGCAAGTGCTGATCACATTTTGGAGACAGAGCTGAGCAAGTGCTGGTCACGTTTTGGAGACAGAGCTGAGCAAGTGCTGGTCACGTTTTGGAGACTGAGCTGAGCAAGTGCTGGTCACATTTTGGAGACTGAGCTGAGCAAGTGCTGGTCACGTTTCGGAGGACTGAGCTGAGCAAGTGCTGGTCACATTTTGGAGACAGAGCTGAGCAAGTGCTGGTCACATTTTGGAGGACTGAGCTGAGCAAGCGGCCAGACTTTATCCTCCAGTGAGGTCGGGAGTATGTCCAGGTTTGGGGACAGAGACTGGCCAGAGCCACAGAGAGGTGGCTGGAGGGGCTGTTTTTAGGGCATTCTCAGCATTGCCAGCAGCTCTCCTCTTGAAGGTCTCTGAGCAGGATCTGGGGGATGATTCCGGAGGGCTGTCCAGGGAAGGTGGCAGAAATGAATCCAGAGTGGAGAGTTCCAACTTCCAAGCTGACCAGTTTTGTGACTGAGCAGGTAATTAAAACTTAGTATTTACCAGCCTTCGCCTTTTCTCTTCCATCCTCTGGCTTGCAGGATGAGAGGAGGAGGAAGCGTGCTCAGCCTCTCTGATGAAGCTGCTCTGTGCAGCCGAGGCGCCTGGAGTACATCGCTGCTGGGTGACAGCAGGACGGTACCAAGTGCTGGTGACAGAGACGTGGCCACATGCAGAAAGCAGGCGACGGGCCTCCGAACAGGCCTCCCGAGGTCTGCAGCGTGTTCACCAATTATACAGAAATAATCATTTTGAAATAAATCACACTGCTGCCTTTGCAGGTTATTTCCATGCAAATGCAGAGTCGCAGTAGGGAATGATAAGGCAATCGATATTAAAAATCCAACCAAGACAGCAAATCAGATGCTCAAAAGGGTTCCTGTCAATAATGACTTCAGTCAGTTCCAGGGCCCAAGATTTAACAGCCAGCGACTACTAAGATAGAAGACTTCTCAATGAATCTGCAAAGGGATCAATACACTGAAAGACGAATCACATCCACATGCGAGCCGCATAGAAATTAAGAATTTGTGCCAGAAACCTTAGCTTCAAGGGATGGGGAACAACAGTTCAGTTTAAAAGAAAAGAAACATGTTGGCAAATAACAGAAGATGAGGGCAAGTTCTGCAATAATTCAGATGCATAACAAGGACTGGCCACAGTGTGAACTGGCAGCCCTGGGTTCCAGGTTGCAAAGACCTTTCTGATGCACTTTCATATTTGGTCCTCTGCCATACATAGAGTGTATGTTACTAACCCAAGTTTACACAACAGGGACCCAGAAGTAGTGGCCCTTACTCAACAGCACGCTGGCAGTAGAAAGGCAAACCCTTTGTTTGACATCATATTTGGTGTTTCTTTGCTATCATGCCGTAACTGGGTCCTGGGAATGACAGGAGCCCAAGCTTGCAGACCTGTGACTATGTTTGTCCCTGTCTCTCCTACATTTCCAGCACCTAACCCAGGGCTTGGCATCAAGTACTTGCTATGTATGGGTGCATATATGCATATGCATGTCTGTGCATGTATGTTTATATATGTATGGACATGTGCATATATATATGTATGCATATATGTACACATGTACGCATATCACTTTCTTGATGCAAGAATTACTCATCAATTAATATGATGTGTGCTCTTGTTAGCTTTTTATGTAATATTTTAAAACATAAGATATTTTAAGAGTGGCCAGAGTTTTTCATTTGTATTCTGTACTGGGCAGAACAACACGATATCACTGGTTAGTATGGAGGTTTGAATAATCAGTGAGAGGCGTCTTCAAACTATGCCTCGGGGCCAAATCTGGCCCATATGTTTTTGTACATCTCGAAAGGTGAGAATATTTTTTTACCTTCTAAATGGTTAAAAAAGAAAAATAGTATTTTGTGACACATGAAAGACATAGGCCATTCAATTTCCAGTGTCCATAAGGGTTCACTGAAACACAGTCACACTCATTTGCTGATGAAATTGTCTCGGCTGCTTTTGTGCACTGATGGCAGGTGCACAAGCAGAGGCTCCACAGAGACTGCGTAGCCTGCAAAACCTAAAATATATACTGTCTGGCCCTTTATGGAGAAAGCTTGCTGACTTCTGTGATCTATAAAATAATTTAAAGTTCTAAGAACAGGCAGGGGTGACTAGTTGGTGCTGCCCTGATGGGATAGAGTGCTGACAGTTAACGCAACACAACTCAGAAGTCAGATTTTTGTGAGCCTCTAGGTGTATGAAGCCAGGGTGAGAGACTATTTGCACTGTTGAAGCTCTGAGGCTAGAGGGGTAAGGTGGAGTTAAAGTATGCATTTGGTTTTAATTTCATAAATGAAATGGATGAGAATTATTTTAAAACCAGAAGATGAATGTAAGGTGATGGAGGAAGTCAGCCCTCTGGGATAATTTATGTTTAATTCATACCCAAGGGCCACCCTAGAACACAGCAGGCATGCAGGGGAGGGTGAACAGCACCCCACATGCCAGGGGACAGAGGTCAGGGGAGTGTGAACAGCATGAGCAGCCTGACCTCATCTCTGCTTCCTGCCAGAAGAAAGTTGTTTCTTAGACAAAAACATTCTGAAATCAGGTAGGAGCTGTGAATCAAGTGGTAGGAAGGAAGAACAGGATTTGTGATCATTTATCACTGAGAAGCTAGAGGAAAATGGGGAACAGAAGGGAAACGCAGGGGTGGATGCCCAGCCCCTGTCCGGTCACCCGAATACAGTTCTTACAACTGACACCCTCGACAGCCAGGACCTCTGAGTCAGGGAATGCTGGTGCGGCCGGCTCTACAGCATGACTCTACAGCATGACTGCGCATGCACTTGGTTTTCATTGTTCGTAGAGTAGGAAAATTACTCTGGTGATTGAGGACTTTATTGGTACAAAATCACATAGAAATTATAAAGCCACAGTTACCTAAACGAATATGCACCTGCCTTGACACCCACAAGTGTCTCATACTTCTTTAAGAACCAAATTTTAGTCTCTTCTCATATTATCTTTACTTTTTTCTTCCCTTCCAATTCTAAAATATGTTTGGTAAATGATCAAATACAAGTTTGTTTAGAAAGAATGGTCCATCCTCTTCAAGGAGAACTACAAACCACTGCTCAATGAAATAAAAGAGGATACAAACAAATGGAAGAACATTCCATGCTCATGGGTAGGAAGAATCAATATCGTGAAAATGGCCATACTGCTCAAGGTAATTTATAGATTCAATGCCATCCCCATCAAGCTACCAATGACTTTCTTCACAGAATTGGAAAAAACTACTTTAAAGTTCATATGGAACCAAAAAAGAGCCCGCATTGCCAAGTCAATCCTAGGCCAAAAGAACAAAGCTGGAGGCATCATGCTACCTGACTTCAAACTATACTACAAGGCTACAGTAACCAAAACAGCATGGTACTGGTACCACAACAGATATGTAGACCAATGGAACAGAACAGAGCCCTCAGAAATAATGCCGCGTATCTACAACTATCTGATCTTTCACAAACCTGACAAAAACAAGAAATGGGGAAAGGATTCCCTATTTAATAAATGGTGCTGGGAAAACTGGCTAGCCATATGTAGAAAGCTGAAATTGGATCCCTTCCTTACACCTTATACAAAAATTAATTCAAGATGGATTAAAGACTTACATGTTAGACCTAAAACCATAAAATTCCTAGAAGAAAACCTAGGCAATACCATTGAGGACATAGGCATGGGCAAGGACTTCATGTCTAAAACACCAAAAGCAATGGCAACAAAAGCCAAAACTGACAAATGGGATCTAATTAAACTAAAGAGCTTCTGCACAGCAAAAGAAACTACCATCAGAGTGAACAGGCAACCTACAGAATGGGAGAAGATTTTTGCAATCTACTCATCTGAGAAAGGGCTAGTATCCAGAATCTACAATGAACTCAAACAAATTTACAAGAAAAAAACAACCCCATCAAAAAATGGGCAAAGGATATGAACAGACACTTCTCAAAAGAAGACATTTATGCAGCCAAGAGACACATGAAAAAATGCTCATCATCACTGGTCATCAGAGAAATGCAAATCAAAACCACAATGAGATACCATCTCACACCAGTTAGAATGGTGATCATTAAAAACTCAGGAAACAACAGGTGCTGGAGAGGATGTGGAGAAATAGGAACACTTTTACACTGTTGGTGGGACTGTAAACTAGTTCAACCATTGTGGAAGTCAGTGTGGCGATTCCTCAGGGATCTAGAACTAGAAATGCCATTTGACCCAGCCATCCCATTACTGGGTATATACCCAAAGGATTATAAAACATGCTGCTATAAAGACACATGCACACCTATGTTTATTGTGGCACTATTCACAATAGCAAAGACTTGGAACCAACCCGAATGTCCAACAATGATAGACTGGATGAAGAAAATGTGGCACATATACACCATGGAATACTATGCAGCCATAAAAAATGATGAGTTCATGTCCTTTGTGGGGACATGGATGAAGCTGGAAACCATCATTCTCAGCAAACTATCACAAGCACAAAAAACCAAACACCGCGTGTTCTCACTCATAGGTGGGAATTGAACAATGAGAACACATGGACACAGGAAGGGGAACATCACACACTGGGACCTGTTGTGGGGTGGGGGGAGGGGGGAGGGATAGCATTAGGAGATATACCTAATGTTAAACGACGAGTTACTGGGTGCAGCACACCAACATGGCACATGTATACATATGTAACAAACCTGCACGTTGTGCACATGTACCCTAAGACTTAAAGTATAATTAAAAAAAAAAAAGAATGGTCCATAAAAGACCTGCAGGAACCCCCAGGAGATTAGTGCCACAGACCCCGCATCATCGATTTGTCACCAGTGAAAAGAGGCGCACTTTCTAGTCATCACAAGAAACAAGTCCCACCTGGAGCTCTCCAACACAGAAATCAAGGAAAACCATGAATTCACAATAAACTGGAAAGAACTCTCATTTTCTCTGACCTTTTTTGGAAGTTTTGCTGCTGAATACATGCATAGCCTGTATTAAGAAGCGAGGGCAAGGGAGGTGTGCAGGAAGTGGCATGCTCTCTTATCCTTTCAGACAAAGGCACGTGTTCTGAAAACCTGGAAAACCTCCTGTTCGGTCTCCCCGGGGGACCTGACTCTCAGTCTCCCCAGGGGATCTGACTCTCAGCCCTGGGCACCACGCTTTGAGCCCATGGCGTGTCCCACTCTGATTGGCACCCTTTCTCTTAGCTGAAACAGAGTGTCAGGCTTAACTTTCACACTTCCAAAAACATTTGCATGATTTTGTAAATATCCAGAGAATACTTTTATTATTTCTTATCTGAAAACTCTAGTGAGAAACCATAACCATTAATACGTATTCTGTATTGCGGGATAGACATGACCCCCAGCTTACCACGGGAAAAATAGCAGATACATTTCCCACTGGGCATTTTGTAAGGGAGAGAGTTATTTTAGGTCTTTTCTTGGGGACAGTTGCAGAGCTGTACGCAGCACTTACTGTCCCTGGAGGTCGCAGGAACAATGGTGTCAAATGTCTAGCACAGCGGCCGGGCCAGGGCCTCACACAATGTCTGTTTTTCAGAAACGGCATCCAACACCCAGCAAGCGCCTGCGCAGTGCCTGCCCGGTACCAGCTCGTGTTAGCTACTATTTTTTAAGGATAAAAATAACTTAAAAGCTCTTCAAGTGAGGAACTATTCAGTAAAATACTTTTAAAAAGCCTCAGGCAAGAACATGATTTTCCAGATTAGGAGAAGGTGATATAATAATTAGTCAAATGGGAAGAAAGGCGTTCCAAGATATCATTTATCAAAATGGCCTTGGATAACTCTCTTCAACCTCTTTGGTGCTGAGCTACTTCTAGATATACATAGTTTTAGAAAAGAATGCATACTAACATTAACGTTTTGAGAAAATTTATCATGATCACAGAATCAGATATTGCTTATATTTTATAGGGCCTATCAGAATGAAGAAACTGAAATATTTCCCATCTATGCATCTAGAGGAGGTAGAGACTTCTAAAGGTTCGTTCATGAAAATTCTAACTTAATCACAATGGGCACTTACAATAATCTTTCACCTTTTTTTGCGTGAACCTTGAATAAGTTGGTAATTAAAAAAATTATCATACGTAGAAAGTCAACATCTCCATGTCATGAAAATAAATTAATAAACAGTTCTTCAAAATTGAAATACGATTGTCTCTTTAAATCTCACTGTAACATTTTTCTGTTTTTATCGCAGGGACAACATGGCAGAGATTCCTGTAAGTCTTGGGTTATTTCTGAGTGCTGGTTATCGTGGCATCTGAAAATGTAAATAAGTGATGTACCCTGTGGGGTAGCTCTGCTGCAGGCACCCCGGGGACCTGCTGGTGACCCTGCCCTTCTCCTGCTGCGATCATCCCAGGCCAGCGTGACACTCAGCAGCGTGGACGTCTCTCTGCAAACGCCCAAATGCAGTGTATGAAATGTCATCCCTAGAAATGGCTTCATTTGGGATAAAGCTTTGAACTTGCGTGCGTGCCCCGCACCCCGTGGCGGACTGAGTCACTGCTTTGCTGTTGCGGCGTGGTGAGTAAAACTTTCCCAGGGGAGCCGGAGTTGAGTGAGAAAGGGATGCAGGACACGCAGGAGCTGACACATCTCTATGGATTTAAGTCGCTGTTTCCACAAATGCTACTCACATGCCCACACGTGTAGGGCAGGACTGTCACGCGTCCACTCTGCTCAGCTTTCCAGGCCGGATCTGGTCCCAGCCATTCTACCTGACCCAGACTCCCCGCACCCCTGCCATTCCCCCAGCTGCCGTCCTGTGTCTCCTGATTTCTGCGTTTTTGATCCTGAGGCTCTCTGCCTCTCTGCCTCCTCCCTGGAGGCCGTGCAAATCCTGTTCTCCTTCCAGCGGTGAGTTCCTCCTGCTGACCACCTCCCCCGATGCCCTCCACGCTGCACACTGGGCTGGTCTGCAGAGGTCGAATGCACTCCCTGGTGACTTACACATCTCACAAGTGCCCTCCATCACCTGCTTGTGAACTCCTGACCACAGCAGCCTACTCCATGTCCCCCTGTGGATGCTGCAATGCCCAGCACCACACTGGTGGCTCAAAGACTGCATGCCTGAGACGGGGTCCAAACCCCTCTTCAACTGTCCTCCAAGCTTCAGGTCCACCGTGACCTCCCCCAACTCTGCTGCAGCTGCCGTGGTGCCAGCCCCCTGCCCCTCTCCTCCACCTCCATAGATCAGGCTTCAGTGTCTGGGGACCTGGGGACTGCTGTCCTCCTTCCCAGCATGAAGTTCTACTGCAAGGGCCACTCTCCCTGTACAGGCCTTCCTGACCCCTCGTCCCTGGAAAGCCCTCTCCAGGGCCCTCGGCCTCGCTGTCTCACATCACTCGCCTCCCTACCCCACCTCCCTCCTCGCACCTGGGACGCAGGTGCCCTCCGGTCACACCCTTCCATCCCGTGTGGTGCTGAGCCCCTCACACACACGAGGGGCCCCGGAATCACCTGCCACGTGAATAAACAAAGTCAGATCTGAAATGCTTAAAAGCAAATTAAACTTAACTCATAAAAGGAGAAGAAAAATGTTCATTTAGAAAAGTTGTATCTGTTTTCTTTCCAAATAAATTTACTTGTAGGAAACAGAAATGTCTGTTCTCTTAACAACAATTGTGAGGATGACTGTAAGGTTGTTGTCTGTTGTATCCTGTGTGTAAGTGTGTGTGACTGTGTGAGTGTGTAAGAAAATGTGAGTCTGTGAGAGAACATGAGTGTGTGTGTGTAAGTGTGGTGTGTGAGTGTGGAGTGTGTGAGTGTTCAAGATTCCCTACATAACGGGATACACACAGATGTACTGATAAGCGGATAGATACGATCTTGATGTATGATGATGGAGGCTGGTTTCTCTAAGTAATCAGCCTACATGTCTGGGTTTAATCTGCTTATTCTTTGCCATTAGAAAAGGGACATTATGTTGGTTGGAGAAAACTGGTGACAAGTGGTAAACAGAGTAGCTGCTGACAACAGCAAGTGGACAGAGGTCTCTCTGATCACCATGTAAATGTTACAGCCCACCCGTTAATGCACAACTGGGTGTTAAACCAACTGACCTGCTGCCGGCAGCACCTGCCGGCATCAGGTCAGGGTCTCTGGAGCCCGGCTGCCAGTAAAGACACTTGCATGCATCTCCGAATTGACCCGCTGCAGCAGCACCTGCCTGCACCAGGTCAGGGCCTCTGGAGCCTGGCTGCCAGCAGAGACATTTGCATGCATCTCTGAACTGACCCGCTGCAGCGGCACCTGCCTGCACCAGGTCAGGGTCTCTGGAGCCTGGCTGCCAGCAGAGACATTTGCATGTGTCTCCGACAATGTCCTAAGGAAGGCACCTGCACTGCCAACACCGACTTCTGCTGCAAATTCTGAAAACCCTCGAGGTTAGATTGTTAGCCAGGAGTGCTCAGAATATTGAAATAAATGGACTGTGACAAAATTCCACACTGTTCTGTAATTTCCATCTTCTGTAGCAAAGCCATTTCCAAAGTTGAAAAATTACTATTGTGAATGTAATCTTTCATTTTTATTAGAAACAGCACCGATTAACAGTGAAATTACTTAAATCTTAGCATGTAGGCAGCACAGAAAAAAGGAGACCAAAACCTCCACGCAACTGACATCCTGGAAAGTGGATGGTGCCTTTTGTCCTGCGGGAGTGTTTCCTAGCACAGCCGCGAGGTGAGTATTGGGCACTAATGCAGGTTTTAGAAATCCAGCTACAAGACTGTGGCCCAGCTCCATGGCAAACATGTCGATGGATGTGACATTTGTTTTCTGGAAGACACCAGGAGGGAGAGCTTCATTCATGTAATATTATATGAACTAGAAACTGAATATATAACATACTTAATAATCTAGATATTCAAATTGCTGGATCAAACTTTGTCTATTAACTACAGACATGAATGTTGGTATTTATGTAGCTGTTAAAATGTTGCATAGTTTTACTCCTTGGTAACATTAAAACCTATAGAGACTTCACGTCCTGAGAGTGTCAGAGATGTTGGCTAGATGAGGCTATTACTCTGCCTATTCTAGAACATTCTCAGGCACGGAAGCTTACTCCCGCATTAGCAAGATACCCAGTTTTGTCAGATATTTGTGCTTTAGAACCCTGGCCCACTTTTCTTCCCACTTTAAGTAGCTATTACCTGATACACAAACAACTTGCTCCCCGGAAGGGAAATCCACTGGCATGGTTCATCCACGGCATGAAGACAGTTAGGCTGAGGCACAGGGAGGGTGTGTTGGGCCTGGTTCCTCAAGCACTGGTTGGGCATTTGTGTGGATTGCTGCCTCCTCAACCACTGCCTCCCTCCAATTATCCTCCTGACAAACCAGCTGTCTTCCCTGCACCTCTGGTCTGGCAGCTGCAGGGGCAAGGCCAGGGCCGGGCCGACCCTTTCAGATGTGCCTGGGGAGGCTGGAGGAGGTAGCGACAGGTCCCAGTCCCCCGGAGCTATAAATGAGCATTGTGGTTCCACATTATTCCATAGTCTCTCCAAAGACTCGGTCCTTGTTCCTACGGCCCACCCTTCCTTCCAGATCAGCGGGAGAGGGCTCTGGAAGACGGGAGGGAAAGCTTTTGTTCTGGTGTAAGTACTGGCTTAGAGGAATTAAATTTAAAGACAGATAACTGGACTCTCAGGTTTCACTGCTGATCCAGTGACTGTCACCATCGGGAGGCAGAATCTCTGATGCCAGGAAACATCAGGGCCTCCATCCCTCAGCTGCCTGCAAGCTCCACATCTTCATGGAGAGGTCAACCAGGCAGCAGAGAGGATTTTTACCTCTGGGGAATGGTGTTCGATAAACACCCAAATGTGAAAGATAGACATGAAAAGGAAAGTCTAAATGAACAAACCTTGGAGCCGAACGTAACAGACAAAACAAAGGCGACCACGGCTGGGTGCCTGCCCAAGAGAACCGCAGACCTATGTCCACGGGAAACCCTGAACGCCAAGGCTCCGGCAGTAGGATTCACGACAGCCAAAGGGTGGCAGCCACCTGAACATCCGTGAGCTGATGCGTGGATGAACTGACGGTGATGTGCACACACGATAGAATATCCTCCTGTCGTAAGGAGGAATGCAGCACTAGCGTGCGCTACTCCATGATGAACCTCACCAGCATTGTGTGAAGTGAAAGAAGCCAGCCATAAAACACCACGCATTTACAGGAAGAATCCAGGACACGCAAATCCACAGGCATGGAAAGTAGATTCGCAGTGGCCGGGGGCTGGGGTGAGACGTGTCGGGGAAGAGAATGGAGAAGGACGTCTAGTGGCTCCAGGTGTTCTTGCTGGGGTGGTGAAAATGTTCTAAGGTTAGTTAACGATGGTTGCACAGTTCTGGGGATACACTAAAAACCGTTAATGTGTACACTGAAAATGGCTGAACTCTGTGGTTTGTAAATTATCTCACTAAGCTTGTTAAAACATAAAAGCAATTAAATCCATTTTCATTTTGCTGTTTTGTTGCTTCGACACAACTTTTCAACAAAACAGAAAATACATCAGAAGATAAAGATGGTATACTCAATCCTATTTTTAAGGCAACTGGGAGAACTAGAGATATATTTAATATTTAATTCCAAATGCTAGCAAATGAACTGATTATTTACCAGAACAGGCCAGTGAATAAGGTATGTATTATGCAATCAAGGAATTAGATCTATTAATCTTCAGAGGGAAATCCTGTGCAGAAATACAATGATATCATAGTACCACTAAGACCAATTCACCCCAAAGCTAGAAATCAAATAATTTTCAACAATGTGATGATTACGCAATGCCAGTAAAAAATAGGCTAATTATCAATTTTGGAATTAAACACTTAAATGAGCTAAGTGTCTGTTTTGACCCCCCAAAGCATCTCTCGTTTGACGCCCTTTTAATCTCCACTGGGAAGGCCCTCCTTCCACACACAGCACCCCAGCAGGAAGACAGCTGTAGGCAGCAGGTGGGCAGTCGTGGTACCTGCTCCTATTTCCTCATCTTTACCCGAAAGAGGACCTTGGGCTTCCAGCCCTAGCAGCGTTCTGAGGACTGTGCAGAGGTAGAAGGAAAGCTGGGCCATTGTCATAGGAAACTGTTTCTTTTATGATTAAGGATGTGGCGGTGGAAGGAAGAGGTCCAACTGGAGAAGAGAAAAATGAAAGCTCATCACTCATAGACCACTGTGCGAGGCCTTCTATTGGCATCTGACTTTATGCGTCCCTAACAATCTCTGCAGGTAGGATCTTTTTTTTTGTTGGCTTTTTGAGATGGAGTCTCGCTCTGTCGCCCAGGCTGGAGTGCAATGGTGTGATCTTGGCTCACTGCAACCTCCGCCTCCTGGGTTAATTCTCTTGTCTCAGCCTCCTGAGTACCTAGGATTACAGGTGCCCGCCACCACGGCCGGCTAATTTTTGTATTTTTAGTTGAGACGGGGTTTCACCATGTTGGTCAGGCTGGTCTCGAACTCCTGACCTCAGGTGATCCTCCCACCTTGGCCTCCCAAAGTGTTGGGATTACAGGCGTGAGCCACCATGCCCAGCCAATCTCTGTAGGTTCTATAATCTCTATTTTACAGATGGAAAAACTGAGGATCAAAGAGGTCAAATAAAAAAACATTAAACACACATGGATTAAGCACTAGGGTTGGGATTTGAACCCAGGTCAAGAATAATCTCTACGAGGGCAGGGTTTTTTTTTAATTTTATTTATTTTTTTGATATGGAGTCTCGCTCTGTCACCCAGGCTGGAGTGCAGTGGCATGGTGTCAGCTCACTGCCAGCTCCGCCTCCCGGGTTCAGGCCATTCTCCTGTCCCAGCCTCCCGAGTAGCTGGGACTACAGGCACCTGCCACCACGCCCGGCTAATTTTTTGTATTTTTAGTAGAGACGAGGTTTCACCGTGTTAGCCTGGATGGTCTCGATCTCTTGACCTCGTGATCCGCCCACCTCGGCCTTCCAAAGTGCTGGGATTACAGGTGTGAGCCACCGCACCCGGCCGAGGGCAGGGTTTTTAATCTGTTTTGTTCACCGATGTACTCCTGCCTGACGCGGTTTCTGGGGCATAAAAACTGTTCAATAAGTATTTGTAGAATAAGTTTTATTTCAAAATAATAAAAAGCCTTGATGCATGATGAAGATGGAATTTGTGTTGGAGAACATGCTTATAGCTGGGTCTCTTTCACACCCTAATTTATAGTCTGTTTCTTTTGGAATTTCTGCAAGTAGAGAGTCCAAAGCTATCTGAGGTAGCTGAAATGGGACCCGGAAGATTTGCCTCATTGGTTTGGGAGGAGTATTTTGCCTATTTGCATATTTCATGCTCAGATTTATTTATTATTAGGAAAAGAGTAAGGGTCATTACATAATTCTGTCGTTCTAGATCATTCCTTTTGGTCACATGTGGATTTATTTTATTTACTCATCATTGGATATGGATAACTATTTTATTTTTAATTTTTATTTTATTTTATTTTTTTTGAGATGGAGTCTCGCTCTGTGGCCCAGGATGGAGTGTGTGGTGCAATCTCAGCTCACTGCAACCTCTGCCTCCCGGATTCAAGCAATTCTCCTGCCTCAGCTTCCCGAGTAGCTGGGACTACAGGTGTCCATCACGACACCCGGCTAATTTTTGTATTTTTAGTAGAGATGGGGTTTCACCATGTTGGCCAGGCTGGTCTTGAACTCCTGACCTCAAGTGATCTGCCTGCCTCAGCCTCCCAAAGTGCTAGGATTACAGGCGTGAGCCACTGCACTCACCCCTAATGATCATTTTAAACTCCCAAAACAAAAAGCACTTTTGTAACTATGGAAACAAGTGCTATTTTCATTTTTTACTTAGTGTAGAGTTTGTCATTGCTGACGTTCTTGGTAGAATGTCAACAGCAAGGACAAAAATTACAAGTTTTCTTTGAGTAATGCTATTCCAAATTCTTGTTCATCTCTTGACTTCAAGAAATCACATGTCTAAAAATCATTCTTGTTCTATGGAAACGTTTCCAAACTTGTTCAGTTTTGACTCATAGAGACACATTTGGCAAAGCAATGTCTTCTGCTGACTGAGGCGCTTACTGGAGAAAGGCAGTTGCAAAAGCAGATACCAAAACTAAGTATTTTAAAATAATTTTTGGAGATAAACTAAAGCTCTGAAACACAAAACAGCTTGCTATTTATATTTTAAATGTTAGATTATTTGCTTTTTTTCCTATACAAACTTTGCTGAAGCCTGTAGCTTGCCACAGTATTAGCTGTTTACAAGGGCAGTTCCTTCTTCATTGCCATAACTGAGCTGTGTGCCTCGCAGGTACTACTGACTGAAATGTTCTATTAATTAATTTATTATTTTTGAGACGGAGTCTTGCTCTGTCACCTGGGCTGGAGTGCAATGGCGTGATCTCGGCTCACTGCAACCTGTGTCTCCCAGATTCAAGTGATTCTCCTGCCTCAGCTTCCCCAGTAGCTGGAATTATAGGACGTGCCATCACGCCCAGCTAATTTTTGTATTTTTAGTACAGATGGGGTTTCACCATACTGGCCAGGCTGATCTTGAACTCCTGAGCTTGAGTGATCTGCCCGCCTCGGACTCCCAAAGTGCTGGGATTACAGGCGTGAGCCACCACACCCCACCCTATTACCTTAGTATTAAGGAGCATGTCTTAATCATCTCAAGGGAAACCTCCTGCCACTCTCTCATCCTACCCGGGGCAAATTATTATGGTGTCCAGTTCCAGTCATGGGGACCACTAATTATAATATTTGCCTTTGGTGTTTTTGGTTATTAATGAAGACCCCAGGAAAAAGAAATGGAACATGAAGACATAATTTTAAAAGTAATTTTAATAAAAATATTTAGGTAATGGTAAACTTGAGGTAACATAGCATGTAAGATTCTATTATCTAGGTGGGCTCTTCCTGTCAGAGGAAGAAAGGCAGGACAGCCTTCCGGTGTAAATTTTATTATTGTGGGAAATGATTGCATTGTAGCCTTGAAATAAAAATGGCCCAGATACAAAAAGTCAACCTCATGAAACGTTCCCATTTCAGTGTGCCCAAATTACGAGGTTCTTACCTTTCACTTGCGGGCGAATGACGCGAGCATCTCTCAGTTGCTTTGTAGCTCTCTAATGATAAAATTAACCTACTTAAATGGTCACATCCACTGTTTATTTTAAAATCCACCCACCACTGTCGGCCTGGCTCACAGTGAATTAACCGTTCAACAGTTAAGGAGAGACTGCCCGACAGAGCCCACCTGGGGCTGCTTCTGGGCCTCTGCACTGGGCTCCTCCGGGGAGGGTGAGGTCAGGATCTAAATGCCTCTGCAGCAACCACACCAAAACTGAGACCCAGTGCAGAACTGGGGCTGAAGGACCCGATTTTCACTGAACTCTTATCACTAAGAAGAGTTGAGGGTTCTTCCACATGTGGAAGGAGAGCTTAGGAATAATAATTAGTAACACCTTTCCTGATACATCAAATTTAACACCTTCCAGGGAGAAGAAGAAAGGGCGGAATGAATATGGAAAGCAGTGGTGTGACAGTGATGGGGTTCAGTTTGATGCGTGAAGACCAGGGGTAGGAGCGTGAGTGGGGGTGCACTTTGCTAAACCTGCATGTAACAGTGGGCTTAATTTTCCCTTTTTTTAACACCTTGTTTCTTCAAATTACACAATGTTGATGCTAAAATGTTCTTTGTAGAAGCGAGGCCCAGCTCCTGAAGGATTCATCTGAGAAACCCAGGGACATGCCCTTCTCTCATTGGAACAAGTGGGAAAAAAGGCATCTTAAAAAAAGGTTATGGTGAAGCCGTGCGGCAGCACTGGAAGAGGATGAGGAGGCTGGAGAAGGCGTGTGAGTGCAAGCTGCCCTCCCGAGACTGTGCCCTCTGAGCCAGAGTCTTCCTCCGATGTGCCCAAGTCCACCCGACCAGGAACGGGGGAAGGAGCGGGGCGATCCAACAGCCACACAACAGAGTCCCAAGTTCCAATCACAAATTCAGGCTGTGAGGTGAAATCACAAATGTGAACTTTACTTATGGAAACCAAATAGAAGTGCTTTCAAATTGGGGATCCAAGACCCAACAGACATAAGTGATCAGCAGCATCCCGATCGGGGGGGTAAGACAAAGGGGTCCTTGGATGGGGGCACCTGTGAGCAGGGACCCCTTTGTCTGAGCTCCCCGGGTCCCGAGCTGGACGCACGGCTGCCCCACTGGCCAGAGCCCATCCCAGCTGCTATTTGTGCCATTGTAAGGTTTGTATTCCCTCTTTGTTCTGGGAAGCTTTCAGTTGTCCCATTGTGGCTGTGATGACCCTAAGTGACTCTTAGCAGTGCATTTTTATATTTGAAGGCCAGGATCGCTTAGGGGTAAGTGCACAGGAAACAAACTTGAAGCGAATGCAGCTATGATTTATGAGTGTTTGTGCTCACTGTATATCCCGGCAAGCTCAGAGGACCTACTCAGCAGTGTCCCCCACCCATCCACACGCTCACCTGGAATAATCCCCCACGGGAACACAGCCACTATCCTCGCCTTGGGATTTGTGACTCCTGATGGGAAGTACCCTGCCAGCCCAGCAACACCGGGCCTGAGTCCCCGAGCCCCCACTCCTCTCCACTCAGCAGGGGCCCCCTCACGCCATGTATACCCCCCGGGTGGACTTCAGGGGCGCTGTCCCTGTGGGCGCTGTGCCCTTGCCGTCCTAACCTACTCCCTCCTGTGGAGCCACTGGCAAGGTTTTGGGGAACATGGGTGTGAGTCCACGCTAGACCTCAGCTGCCTGCCCTGGATCATTTGAAAAAGGGGAACTTTTAGTTTCCTGCTAAATAGAAGGCCCCAAAAGAAGCCAACCAATGCCGTGTCCCCGTGATAGGCCAGCGTGGCTGTCCCAGAAGCAGAGAGGGGAACAGCACAGGCTCGCATGTCTCCAGGGAGCTCAACACCAGATGGCTTAGTGATAGGAGCCCTGGCTGAGGGTGGCCGCATCTGCAGTGACATGGCTGCTTCCCACTTCCCTGCACCTGTCCTCATGGTGGCTGCTTCAGGGGAGGGGTGGGCAGGGGCCCCACTGCAGGTCCAGCCAAGGGGCACACAGAAGCTGGACATTTGCACACTCAGCTGGGTCGGGACTGAGCTCCGTCCTCAGCCCCTGCAGCCAAGACGCCAGTGTCAGCCGGTATGCTCCGCTACGGGGGCTGGCTGTGGTTTCAGAGTCTCACCCTAATTCCAAAGAACAAAAGCATCTCTCGAGTTCCAGGGACATTTTGTCAGTTGGAACAGCATTTCTATAGTGTGCACCCCACATGCTATGTGCACACATCACAAAGCACACACGGGTACTCTTACACACACACACTCTGATGCACGAGCTGCGGGCACTTCTGTGCATCACTTGCTGAGCTGTAGCATAGAGGCAGAATTCCTTACAGGGAAGAGTTCAGGCCTCAGGCACACTGTCTGCTGGCATTTTATGTGGAACACTGCCATGTGCAAATGAAGTCTTTGAGACAGGAGAGGAGAGAGCAGCAGGGACGAGGGGTGTCCCACCTGTCACTCAGTCATCCAGCAAATATTGATGAAGCTCGTCCCATGAGCCGGGCCTGCGTCTAGGTGCTGGGATATCTCAGCGAACAAAACAGACAGATGTCCCTGCCTTCATGGGGCTCACTTTCCATCCGGAGTCGGGGCTCGGACAATAAACAACATAATCAGGGACTGTGACAGAGGTGACTGTACTGCCCCACTCTGCATCCTTCTTCCTCTTGGCCCCCTCCTCGAGGTGGGGCCACATGATGCTTCTGGCCATCAGAACTTGAGTGGACGCGATGACTGCCCCTCGGCCTGGTCTGCAGGGTGCTTGGCCCTTGGGCTGTCCTCCCGGTCCCTCCCCGCCCTGCCCTCCGATGGCAGAGACTCTATGTGGAAGCCACAGGACTCTCCCAGGCACACTGGATGGAGAGCCGCCTGGCCCTCGCTGAGCTATGATGTGAGTGGACATCACCTTGAGCCTCAGAGATTTAGGAGTTCCTCTGGCAGGCCTGCAGAGCCCACCTGCGCTGACACAGCTGCACTTCTAAGTGGGAGATGTCAACGAGAAGGGACATGGAGCGAAGAGCTCACCCCCGGATATCTGGGCAAGAGACTTAAGGAGGAGGGCAGAGCTTGTGCTTCAGCCACACCCAGGAGGCTGCGGGAGGGAGGGGCCGCAGGAGATGTGGTTGGAGAGGCCCCTGGGGAACAGGTGGAGGGGATTTGAGCAGGGAGCGAGGTGCTCAGCAGCTAGCTGGCAGGGAGAACCAACAGGGATGGATCAGGATGGAGGCTGGGACCCACTTAATCACCCAGGTGGGCAGAGGAGGGCTTGGGCCTTGGTGATGGGAGAGGTGCTTGCTAAGTATCAGAGCTTCCCTGGGTCCTTGGCACAATCAGCCATCAGTGCTCTCAGCAAAGACATAGAAATAGTGCTCCTCATTTTGTACCTGGATAAGGGGAGAGCTCAAGTTCCAATCCCTGTTAGCGGCGGGTGACACAACCATGCACACATCTCAAATTCCAATTCCTGTTAGCGGCGGGTGACGTCACCATGCACACATCTCAAGTTCCAGTTCCTGTTAGCGGTGGGTAATGTCACCATGCACACATCCTGTTTTCTCCTGCTCTGCCACTGTGATCTCCAGATGATCAATTTCATATTATCAGGAAAATGACCTTTGGCACAGAAAGCCCAGAGGAGAAGGTGAGGGACTTGCATGCACGCACACATTTAAATGTCAACATTCTATGGAATTCAGTATCATAAAGGTATGCAAACCATGGGAAGTAATCATGAGTTTGCTCTGGGAGGCCCCGCAGTTAGAAGGGAACCTTCTGGGCACGCACATCGTGGATGGAGACAGAGGAACGGCAGCGCCGCCTGCTGCTGCTGGGCCCTGCGTGTCTGTACCACCTTCTGTGGTAGAGAAAACAGCAGGCGGCTTTGCTGCAAACTCCAGCACAGCCTCTGTGTGGGAGGAGCAGGGTCAGCAGAAACCCAGAGGCAGGAAGGAGCTGAGCTGAGCTGGTGCAAGAGTGTCCTGCCCTGGGAGGAAGTGGCTTTGTACCAACTGATAAAATGCCCAGAGTAGGGGGCACATAACTGTAAACTTCTAGAACCCACATCCTCAAAGCCCAACCCCTGACCCAGGAGGTGCATGGGTGGCTGTTCCCTCCCAGCCCAGTGCCACCTCTGCCATCCTCCCTGGCTGGGAAAGATGAACTGCGCTTAAAATGGGCTCAGTTTTCTTTTTCCTTTCTTTCCTTCCTTTCCTTCCATTCCTTCCCTTTCTTTCCCTTTCTTTTCATCCTTCCTTCCTTTTCTTTCTCTTTCTTTCTCTCTCTCTCTCTCTTTCTTTCTCTTTTTTTAACCTAGTAATTGCTTTTCACATCTGCTGGTGGGCTGCTATCTTTCATAGGATAACTTCCATTATTGCTTTAAATAAGGTGGTGTTTGGCCTCTGTTTTGTTTTCAGGTAAAGCAAACTGCAATCAGGAAGCCCTCATTACAGACAGTGAGGTCATGACAAGAAAAGTTCATTCACACTGGAGAGTTCAACCCCATTGGAAATGTCTTTCCAAACACAGCTGGTGACTTTGCAAACCCAGACATTCCCAGAAACTCAGTGGTTCTAGAAACTTGCTTGGAATAATTAAGGTTTTAGAGCAGCTGTTGGAATTTTTAGAAAGGAAAAAAAGAAAAAACGAAGTGAGGCTCCCCCTCCCCGACTCCTCTTACACATCCCTGTGGCTCTGTGGTGTCACGGCTGAGCGTGCTGCGCTCCACTGACCGTGTGGATGAAGGGCAGGCAGCACCTGGGTGCATTTGTGCCAGCGCATGGCAGTGAGGCCGCTGGCAGTGCATTTCCTGTTATCCGTGACCCCGTGCGCCCGGGGCTGGGTCTGCAGAGGCTTTGGGGAACACACTGTTGCTGTCTCCTGTGCCTGGCCCGGTGTCCATGTGGCTCACAGGACCCATAGGGACCAGGTGCTGCTCTAAACTGGAGGCATGAACTGACCATTGGCCCAGACAGCCTTGCCATTCCCGTCCGGGGGATTAAACCTTGAACAGGTTTTGTAGGACTCTCAGCCCCAACTTCCTTGTCTCTAGAAAACTTGCCACTATGAATTATTTCTCCGTCCCTTTGAGACATCGGCCCTTTCCTGGCCTCTTGCTCAGTTCACTGCCCAGCTTTGTCTTCTCGAAGGACCCAGGAGCCTTTGAAATGTAACCAACAAGGAAGATAACACCCTCAGCTCCCAGTCCCTGCGGGAGGCAGGGGCCTAACTGTGGTAAGCGCTAATCTGCAAACATTGCTGGCCTGACTGCACCAACCGGCCTCCATCCGATGTCCTCCAGGACTCTCCCACCAGCTCACCCCAGTGCTTAAAAACCCTCCCGCCTTTCGTTTCAGCAGGGTGGAGTTCAGCTCGCTCTCTCCTACTGCAATAGTCTGGGATACGTCTTCCCTGCCTGTCTCACTCTCCCTGGGGTAACTTTTCTTTGACACCACTGAGTCCTCCCAGCAACCTGCAGCTGAGCACACAACCCCCCTCTGCACAGGGGAACCGAGTCCACAGTCCTAACTACCAAATGACATGGCCTCACTAAAGTAACTCCTAGAAGCCGAGACCTTTGTCCGACAGCTCTCAGGAGAGGCTGCCGAGGAGAACCGGCTTCCCACGTGCCCTGACCACGCCCACACCCACGGCGTGAGATTTCACCACTCAGCCGCTGAGAAGCAGGGGGTCTTTGGCCCAAAACAAACATCCTCTGAGACGGGAAGGAGGCATGTCCCCCAAGAACTGCCTGGGTACTACAATGAAGCAGGGTAAATATTCAGAAGTGTGTTTGGGTTTTTAATGATATAAAGTATCATTAACATTCACTTCAACGCACAGAGGAGAAGTAACTGTTACAGTGTTTGTTTTCACATCTGTCAGACAGACATGAGAACTGCCCTGCCCCTCAAGGAACCAGCTGCGGTCTCCCTGGCTGGCTGGGAGCACTGGGCTCCGATCCTGCTCCTGAGTGTCTGCCTGGCAGCTGCACCCTCATCTGACATGCAAGGCGGGGTCAGACAAGATAATCTGAATATTCCTTCATCCCCCAACTTGTGATTTTGTTTCTATGATTTATACCCAGCCCAAAGATGCTATTTCACAAAATGGGTTTTGTGGCTTGTCTAGACAGGAATACAAGGCCTCAGGCAGCCACGGAATCACAATTAGCGATCCATTCACACTAGCACCGAATATTCCCACGGAAAGGCCGTGCAGTGATTATCTCTAAGGACAAGGACTGTGTGTGAAGAAGGACAAGGAGAGAGGAGCTCCCGCGACTGCCAGGTCCAAATGGAATTTTACATCGGAAATGACAGCTACTTACTAAAGTCTTGTAGCTTAGTTTACTAACCTGGATGCATTAAATACACACATCATTTGAAAAATAGCATCTCAAAAAATGATTTTCTCATAGCCGTTTCTTGGAAACAAATTTAAACAAAGATGCAATGATTTAAAAAACCGCTACACGAAAATTCTGAAGGGGGACACCTGAGGAAGGCGGGGAGTGTTTTTTTTTTTTTTTTTTTTGAGACGGAGTCTCGCTCTGTTGCCCAGGCTGGAGTGCAGTGGTGCGATCTCGGCTCACTGCAAGCTCCGCCTCCCGGGTTCACGCCATTCTCCTGCCTCAGCCTCCCGAGTAGCTGGGACTACAGGCGCCCGCCACTACGCCCGGCTAATTTTTTGTATTTTTTTTTTTAATAGAGACGGGGTTTCACCGTGTTAGCCAGGATGGTGTCGATCTCCTGACCTCGTGTTCCGCCCGCCTCGGCCTCCCAAAGTGCTGGGATTACAGGCGTGAGCGGGGAGTGTTTTTTAAGTTCGGCAGAGGACACCCAGGGCTGCACCGGCTCTTCAGGGACCCTCCGGGGAGAAGAGGCATCCCCTCCCCAGCCCTGGACGTCCACCTCAGGGGCGGTGGGGATGCGGGGATGCGGGGATGCCGAGCGCTCCCAGGCTGGGTCACAGCAGGCAGTGGCTCCGCTCTGGCTTCGACTCTCAGGACCCACCTGGGACCCCTGCTCCACGCTGCGGGGAGGCCAAACCTGGAGAACCCAGGGCACCAGTTCAGGCTGACAGCCCGGCCGGACCCAGCCAACGCCCCGCACAGCTCGCCAGCCACGGGAGGGAGCGGCCTCCGGCAGACCCCAGCCCCAGGCACGACCCCAGGCCCGGGCACGACCCCAGCCCCCACCGGCTGATGCGACGCCCACAGGGGACGAGCTGTTCCAGCACCACCCCCGCCCCCGCGTGCAGAATCCTGAGCAACAGAAACAGCACTTTAAGAAACGAAATCGTGGACGCACTTGGAACACGGCCGCAGTGACTGGAATGGTGCCCAGAGCCATTTTAATCTGGAACAGACTGGGGACCAAGTCTCAAGCTCCAGGCCTGTGGGGTCAAGCAGCTTATTCCGTGGAGGGAGGAAAGTCGCAGGGGACCTGGAGGCCCTGGAGATGGGGGCTCCTCGGCCGGCCGACTGCAGCCTGGAGAAGGCCACTGCCAGGCCTTTAGTTTCCAGAGACGCTGCAGTTCAACATTTTCCGGGGAAAGTTTACCGTTTCCAAATGTCATCAAAATTAAAAGAAAACACCTCCACCATATGGACATAACGAGACCTGCCTGAGGGCCACCACATCCAGCCCTAGCCCACCAACTTACAACCCCCTGAGGCTGCCCCAAGATGGAAGCGTGCTGGGGAAATAGGCATATTCAGCCACGGGAAGGGCAGTTCGCCAGCACGAGTTCGGGGAAAATAATTTAGCCGTCTCACTTACTTTGACTGAAGCCTATTAAAACAATTAAAAGAAAGAAAAAACCCTACTGAAATCAAAGTGCCAACTGTAGCATGGTTTCTAGTAGCAAACTTGAGACAACCAAAATGAAAAGCAATAGAGGAATGATATTACTGTTCAATCATATGGAATATTAAGGAGCTATTTTAAAAGGATAATACAGGATCGCTAAACAGCCTAGAAAAATGTTGTTGGTTGAAAGATCAGAATTCAAAATGGAAAATGGGACAGTTATGTCAGGTAGTTGAATTATTTTTTAGTTCATCAATTAATCCCATTAATTAATTTTAATTATTAATTCAATTTGCTGCTTTATTAATTATAATGAATTTAAATTATAATAATTTAATTTTATAAAGTAGTCACTAATTATTTATAATTAATTTAATTCTAATGATAATAATTTAACCTTAATTACATTATTAAAATTAAAATTAATTAATTTTTATCTAATTAATCAAATTTGACATATGTGTAACACTATAAATAAATATATTTTTGCTTAAAAAATCAGGGGAATATTATTACAAGTAAAAATACACCAAGATGCAAAAGCAGACATGGATCTTGAGAAGCCATTTGGTATGTCCACTTCAGTGCTAAGTGCTTCCACCTGGTGGCCAATTCAAATAAAAATAGGGGCCAGCACAGATAAGAGATGCACCGCCTTCAAGAGGCTTGCATTTGTGGAAGAAAAAACACACCAAGTATGCAAATGCAATAACCAAAAGGCCAATGTGAAGGACATGAAATAAGGCAGTGGGATAAAGAAGTGTGGCATGGGAGACAGGCGGGCTTCTTGGTTAGATATGACAGGAACAGCCTCTTAGAAAAGTGATGTAAAGTAAAAATAAAGGCCCTAGCCCTCCAGGCAAGACGGAATAGACTCTTTGTGGCAATAAGATAGCAAATTATGGGCTGGGCGTGGTGGCTCATGCCTGTAATCCAGCACTTTGGGAGGCTGAGGCCCTCGTTCCATGTCCTTCTATGTTAAACCATCCCCCAAATGGTGTGAAGTCCCCAGAATGGCTGGCCCCGCCATTTCTCTATTTTGTTTTCTCTAACCTCCTGCCCTCTCTCTTCCACCTCCAGTATATGGCACGGCACATTGGAGGTGCTCAAAAATGATTTAATAAATGAATGGAGAAAGCACATAGGCAGGACATCCTAGTACCAATGATGAATGAGTGTTTATGGCAGATGTGACCCAGGTCCTCAGAGGCACATGAAAAATGCTAATGAACGGCAGCACTCATTATTCACTGTATGAACGTGGCTTCAAGCAGTAGAGATGTTAAAGCATCCTGTAATGGAGTATAACTGTTTTCTCTCTCTCTCCTTTTTTTTTTTTTTTTTTTTATGAGGCGGAGTTTTGCTCTTGTTGCCCAGGCTGGAGTGCAGTGGTGTGATCTCAGCTCACTGCAACCTCTGCCTCCTGGGTTCAAGGAATTCTGCCTCAGCCTTCCAAGTAGCCAGGATTACAGGTGTGCACTACTACATCCAGCTAATTTTGTATTTTTTGGTAGAGATGTGGTTTCCCCGTGTTGGTCAGGCTGGTCTCGAACTCCTGGCCTCAGGTGATCCACCTGCCTCAGCCTCCCAAAGTGCTGGGATTATAGGCATGAGCCATCATACCCGGCCAAATTGTTCTCTCAATGGGCCCTTGCAACAATTCTTGAGGGTCAATAGGAAACCCTGTTTTCTGGAGGAGGAAACAGGCACAGAGAGATGAAGTCGCACCCCCAGTTGCATTGAGAGTTGATGGCAGAGCCAATGGTCACACCTGCCTGTTTCCCAGGTGGAGTCTGTCTTCTCTTGAGGCTGCCGCTGACCCTCAATGGAACACAGGCACGCAGTGCCTCAGCAACCAGCCGCTCAGAACTCCTCCTGGGCCTTTCTCAGAGCCTGGGACCTGGAACTTTGTGCTATGAAATGCCTATCAAAGTCCTGGCTCTGGGAAGGGACCCCAAGTTCTTGTAATTCTGTCTGTGGATCATAGCAGGTCCTCTGATGGCTAGACACAGGGATCATAGGCTCTTGGCTTGCAATGCGGAAGATTCATGTTGCACCACTGGCCCTTACTGAATTCTATTACAATAAATAACTATACAAAACTAATCTCCACATGTGCTATAAAAATACCTTGAGGTCGTTGACTACCATGTGACTCTTTGTCTGTGATAAAAATTTAAGCAGGAAAAATTCTTAGTATTTGTTAAACAAAGCTCTGTATGCTTCAAAAAATGTCTGCAGTCTTCTCTCTGAAAATACTAGCCAATGTTTACTGAGTACTGTGAGGAGATGGGAGAGTCCCACACGTGCACATGTGTTGTTTCTTACTCACAGGTCATTTTATGATTACCCCTACTTACGTATGGGGAAACCAAGACACAAACAGAGGAGTTCATTGCTAAAAGCACACAGCTAAAAGGTGGTAGGGCTCTACCACCTGCTGTGTAAAATGAGAGACTTCAGGCTGGCCGGGGTCCCCTTCCACTTGGGCAGCTGGGCAGCTCAGAGTGAAACGGGCGGCTCCCTGCAGCCATTGTCACATGGTTGATGTGTTTGTGGTCTTCCTTCACTTCATCTAGACTTCTCAATTTTATTTACATTTTACTGTTTCCTGGTGTTTTTTCCTACTGTCAGCTAACTCAAGCTTTATAAAATAAAGAAGAGTGAAAACACGCACACACCAATATATGTACTTAAATGTTTCTGGGATGAATACTTTTTAAATAAACATTAAACACAGATATTTCTATCTCCATTGTCTGAGCAATGAAGTTGTGAATGTTTTCCTCATGACTCTTCATGGGGGTTTGCCCTTACATGCTGTGCACACAGGACTTGGCCCTGTGAAGTGGACGCAGTGAACACAGACGCGGGCTGGTGACGTTTTCACGGTAGGACATCCATCCTCTGTGGCACATGTGGAGTGAACTAGCTTACACATGACACGGAGTCCACATCCCTCCAGCCCTGTCTTTGAGATGCCTGTCCTGGCTGAGAGGAACCACAGTCAGTCACCGGGGCAGTAGTGCCCTCTTTTGGCCACTCCTCTCCTCCCTTAGTATAATTTAGGGAGACCTAAGACTTCGCTCACCTCAACTGAATTGCCTGCCTTTAGTTTAGCCCCACGATTAGTCAACTCTGGCGGGAGAAGAGGTGGAGACTGACTCCTGCCTTCCTTCCCGCCTGGTTTCTAAGGAGGAGGACAGTGTGTGCACTACCTGTGGGTGTGTGGGTCAGAAAACGCTTAGCAGCAACTGGTCTACTGAAAAATGGCCTGCTTCCCCAAAGCTTGGACAACGCCCAGTTCTCTAGGTTGTCGTGCCTTAGAGTGTTTTCTTCCTCCTTTTGTAACTAGGCAAAACAGTCTTAAGCATAACCAGAAAGCTGTCGAAAAAAAAAAAACAAATCACAGAAGATATTTGAAAGTGTGCTCTAACGAGTTATTTACTTAGATTGAAAACAATCCTTTGGTGAGATTTTTACCAGAACATGAAGGGCAAATAAAACTTCAAAGTGGATTGCTAAGAGAATGACTGGCTTTGGCCTTCACAGAGACGAGGAGGAAGGCTGCGTGGTTTTAGTTGTCTGTTTGTGGTTTTGAGCACTCAATGTGTGAACCATAGCAATAGCACCTGTGCCAGAGTCAGCACCTGGCACAAACTTCTCAATGCGCCAATCAGTCTTAACTCGGGGACTCTCTTATCAGCTGAAATACAACACTATTGCCTTTCGACGTTCACAGAGATCTTAGGTATGCGTGTCCTGCAGAGTGGTTAGCTAAGGATGATGGCTTTCTGCCCATTTCTCACATTCCTCGCTCATTCTTCTGATGCGTGGATGAAACGGCTGCCAAGAACCTAGAGATGACCATCACACGATCACGGTGACTTGTGCTCACGGGACATCAGGAATGGTTTCCCAACGTACTGATGGGATTTACTATCATGTCAAGGAAAGACCTTTTCCTAAAGTAGGTGGGAGCTGCTGCTCTCATTTAGAGTCACTTTATACATTACAATTTTAAAAGAAATTGCATATATGCCTCCAAGGTTATACAGCCAAGACTAATAGCCAAGATTATTTTAGTTTCTTTTCCTTCAGCACTCTGCGCCTTTAGAGTAGAGTTCTGTGTGCCCCAGGAAAGGGTCAGGCATGGGAAATTATTAAGGTCAATAGCAAAAGCCCCACAGTTCAACAGGCCCTTCCAGGTCGGCATCACTTGGGATTGTTGCTGCTAAATAATGCGTGCAGAGGCCTCCTGGGCCAGCCTCCCCTAGGGTGGATGAAATGAGGATGCCTGGACCACAAGCTCCTCCCACTTCCCCCTTGGTTTTGACTCAACCTGAATCAGGCATCAGCTGCAAAGGCCTGAAGGTGACTCTTGAGAACTGCTTCCTCGGCACACTCACGGGCAGAAAGGCTTGGAATGTGGGAGCTAAGTTCATTCGGCAGATATGCGAGCCTTGCTCCGGTGTCCAAGGACCTGGGAACACCTCAGTAAACACAACAGGCAGAAGTATTGCTCTTCCTATCAAAACACAACCCACGTTTGTGAAATGATGGAAATATTCTGCATTTCCATCATTTCCAGTAGTTTTCACATTCAATCCTAGGTAATAACTCTCTAAACTCAGTATCTCTTGGAAAAGATTAAGGAGGGCTGCGTTTGGAAGGGCTTCAGGAATGATATCATCTTGATAGCGTAAGGAAAGGGCTAAGTATAGAAGACCTTTTTATGTTATATTGTATCCATGCTGTATATATACCTATACATATGTGTGTGTGTGTGTGTGTGTGTGTGTATGTGTGTATTTGATGGTAACAGAACCGCTGCCATCGTTACGAATAATCTCAAAAGCAATTAGCTAGGGGAATAATGATAAAGATGATGTTTGCTTAAAAAAACAGTAGGCTTAGCCAAAATCATTCTAGAACTCACTTTTATTTATGTGTAAAACCTAAATTTGGACATTTGTCTTCGTGCTTTTCTATTACGTCTTTATATATGTAGCTGAAATGTATGAGTAAAGAGATCATCTAAATGAATTTTTATTCTAGAGTTTTATAGGCAGATTTATTCTTAAAACCATCAAGGCTGGGACATCCCATTCAAACTCATAGATTGTCTATTCTACGAAACCCTAAGTGTTCTCCAGAGTGCACGCTGCTGCTCCTAGTCATGGACGCGGCTGCCTTCAACTCCTTCCTCTTCTTCCTCTGCCACTGAGGATGGAAACCCCAGTACCTGAAGGCGGTGAGTTATGCTCAGACATGCCTCCAAGAAAATTCCTATAAAGAGCATAATAAAGTATGCAGAAATCAGCAGAGCACTGAGTCCCTTTTGCACTTGCCTATCTCCTTTCTAGTAAAGGAGTCCTCATTGCTTTCAGTCTCTGGGCCTTTGAGTTATGTTGATTTTCATGGACGCTTAAGATATTGAAACAGTCGGTAGCACTAAATCTGTTTTATGTGTGTTTGCTCAAGAAGGATGGAATTGTAGAAAAGAAAGGACTTTTGAAAAAGAGCAAGTTAATCACGAACAAAAAAAATCGGCATAAATTATCTTGTCTAACAGCTGAAATATAAAGAAAGGCCTTTCCATAAATAAGCAAAGATCATGCTAGGGAATGTGGCCAGGAAGCCTGTTTGCCTTGAATGTTGTCTGTAACCTACAGGGTGGCCTGATCTTGGGGAAAGGGATGCGTATTTTAGTAGCCACAAAATCACTCCTTTTTCCTTCGACCTATAGTGAGTTCTCAGGATCTGAGCACATTTCATTCCACCCCTTTTCCTCTTTGCTTTAGGAATAGATGAAGAAAATCAAAGAGCTGTGCACAGCAGAATAGAACTGCTTTGAGGACCTGCATAGCCCTGTGGTCTTGGGCAAGTCACTGAGCCTCAGTGTCATGATGGGACGAGTGGATCCAACCTCATTAATGTAAACCTCAAATGAGAACATGGTCAGTCACTCATAGGGGAAGCAGAAACAAAGATGAATGCTAAGATTATATCTTGGTTCATTTTCTATTGCTATAACTGAATACCTGAGACTGGATAATTTATAAAGAAAATAAATTTATTCCTTACAGTTCTTGAGGCTGGAAAGTCCCAGGGCATGGCACTGGCATCTGCTCAGCTTCTGGTGAGTGTGCCATGACGTGGTGGGTGGCATCGCATGGTGACACAGATTAAGAGTTGGCTCAGGCCTCTCTTCCTCTCCTTACAAAGCCACTGGTCTCATCAGGGGCCCCACCCCAATGACCTGATGACTAGGTCTCTGCTCCTAGTTACATCCCAAAGGCCCCACGTCCAATTAACATAGAAATTTAGGGGGTTAAGCTTCCAACACACGAAATGTAGGGGACACATTCAATCCACAAAAATATGTAAAGGCAATTTATATTCAATAAGGCAATACAAAAAAGTAAAATTCTGAAGACAACAGTTATTTCCCAATGCCTTCTGAGTCACTCTTTGTGGTTAAGATAAACACCGTGGTATCCAGGCTTTGGTGCAATTTCATTTCCTCATTAGCTATTTTTTACAAACACTGCTAGGCTTCCCGATGCTCACACAGGGCTGGACAAACAGACGATCAGAGAAACACCATACAGTGAGCCTGGGAAATGCTGAATGTCTATGTGTGCAACAAGGCATGCGAGCAAAAACAAAACCGAGATGGGAAGGGATTGCAGGAGGGGAGGAAGGGGCTGTATCTGCCACGTATCTACACAGCCGACATTTTAATTTTTTTTAGACAGCGTCTTGCTCTGTTGCCCAGCCTGGAGTGCAGTGGAGCAATCATAGCTCACTGCAGCCTCGACCTCCTGGGCCCAAGTGATCCTCTCACTTCAGCCTCCCAAGTATCTGGGGCCACGGGTGCATGCCACCACACCTGGCTAATTTATTTATTTTATTTTTTGTAGAGACGAGGTCTCATTGTGTTGCCCGGGCTGGTCTTGAGCTCCTGGGCTCAAGCGATCCTCTTGCATAGACCCCATGAAGTGTGCGATTACAGACATGAAGCAATGATCCCAGCCTCTATGTTTTAGTAATGAGTACAGACAGATCCATGGATCACCCATGCAATAAAAAAATCAAAGGCTTCCCCGAGTGAGAGTGCAGGTGCACGCTGTCACCATGTGGCGCCATGTTGCCGATATCTGCGTCACCTACCGAACACTTCGTTGTCCTCTGAGGTTGTCCGTGAAAGTTCACCCAGGTTTCTCTTTTTTTCAGATTCTCCTCTGTTAGTTTCACTATTCTGGAAAAAGAAAACACAACAAACCCTTTTCTTAAGATAAATTGTTTTATCAACAAAATAATTGTAATGCATTTGTCTCTTTATAAATTTTTTATCAGATAATCAGTTTCACATCTGTTTTCAAGATAGAATATAGAGCCTTGGTTCAGAGGAGGGTTTTCTGCGCAGGATTCGGAATTCTGGCTTGTTTTCTCTGCCTAAGCACCTAAGCACTTTCTGGACCCAGTTGGTATAGTTTTATACAAAAAAATTGGAATATCAGCCTAGGTAAAATAAATTAGCTACATGCCATCCCATTTATTCCAAGGGTGAGCCCACATAGTTACTGCTTTAGATTCTAAGTGACACTGTGCGGCAGAACTGACGCCAGGCCTTACTCCTCCAATGACACCTTTGGCTAACTGGAACCAGTCAGGACCACTTTGATGGGAGAATGAGTCCTTTTAGGGACAGAAAACGAAGCTGATGTCCGGAGGCACTTTTGCATTCCAGGGGAGGAAGCGGCCTGTTGTGGTGTTATGGGGTGGGCCAGGCCCCCTGGCCACTCCTCTGGGAATCTTCGGCTTCAGAGTTTCTCCTCTGGGCCTCCCTTTGCCTGTCGTTTGGGGCCCGAATGGCAGTGTGAGCTTGTTTTTCGAGTTTAAAGTTTTCAGTACATAGTTTGATCACCAGTGCAGAGAGAAGACATGGTTCAGCTTCCTGATATATTTGTAATCAATTTTACTTAACTATTTTGAAATGTCACACTTGCACATTGAATGATTCAAATGCTCTAGAAAGTGCACAGTGGCTGCGTGCTGAAACCCCGGGGTCTCCTGGATGCCCCCCCGCCCCCTTCTGGGAGGCAGCTGGCATTTCCAGCTCCTTCCAGACTTTGCACAATCATCTGGGCACCTTCAGACAATGACACATGGGTATTCTTTTCCCTCCTTTCTGTCTTCACATAAATGGCATCACACTGTGGATGATATGCTCCTTCTTGCTTTTGCCAGGGAAAGAGGGATCCTGGAGGTGACGTCATGTCGGCACGCACAGACTGCTTGCACAGCCCGCTAGCATTTCAGTTACTGTTCACACCTCACCAGGCTCCACAACCACCATCCAGCTTGTTCACATTTGTGTTTTTCAACCCTAACCGTGTTGCACTAATTTCCTGTTCACTTCTCAGAATGCACATGGCCAAGGAGTATTTCTGGAGGAGGAATGAGTCACACTGGAGCTTTCACTGAGCGGGCGTCAGTGCTGTGGGCAGCCGCGCTGGCCCTGGTGCTACCCACCAGCAGCACCGGGAGGCTGCTTCTCTCGGGTGCCACTCCCTGCAGCGCCCCACCCTGGTCTCTGCACTTAAGTTTGTACCAATTTTCCACCCAATCTCTCATTTCCTGGGAGCCTTTAACCCAGGACCATAATATGTACATAGTCTCAATTTTACATTCTTTTCCTTCTGGAGAGAGGGGCAGGCACAGCCATTAAGACCACCCTGAAGTCTGATTCAGACCTAGTGTGACTCACTTATGTACTGCAGGCTGTTTGTTCCTGGAGAGAAGTCCAGCCCTCTGAGCTCACACCAGCCAGGGCCCTACACTCCGCCTCCTGGTCACTAAGAGCCCTATCTGGAAACCCTCCATCCCGTGTGTGTGTGTGTGTGTGTGTTTGTGTGTGTGTGTATCCATTCCCATCCCTGGGCAGACAGGAGGGGATGGGTGGGTAAGGTCCCCACCAACCAATGTTTACGGCATTGTTTCTACAATTCAATGCTGTCTGGTGTGATTAACAGATAAAAAACACACGGGTTATTGGACTCACAAAATTGAGGAGGGAAGAATTTGCCTTCACGTTGTGAAATTAAATTGATAAGAGGACACTGGTTTGGACTGAGCTCCTGCACTGGGCCCAGCAGACGCCCCCGTATGAAGTATGGTACCAAGCCCAAATGAAGATCTTTATTTGACCTTCTGAGCAATCAGGAGAGGTAACAGCCCAACTTCCAAGCAGGCCAGGTTTAGCCCAGATGACGAGGAAGTCCCGTCTGCTTTAACCTTTATGGGGAAGTCATCTTGGAACCACCACACATCCGCCTGCATTTTGTTCTCTGTGTCTGCTTTCCTCAGTCTGTTTATAAACCAACCTCCTCTGCTCGGCTCATTGGAGCACTCATTCTGTTTTGCAGAAAGAGGTGTTGCCTGATTCTAGAATGACAAATAGCAGCCAATTAAGGTGTTCACATTTGTTGTAACTTTGTGTACACCTGCCAGGCTTCTGTTGCTGGTTGGCCGCTGTAGAAACCAAGCTGCTGCTTTCCAGATTGCGAGTCACAGAGTCCCACGAAACAGTTACTAATAAGCAATGAAATGCAGAGAATGTTCAAACTCACTAGTAATCAGAGAAATACAGAGCGAAACAAAAATGAGATTTCTTTTTAACACAAGTAGAAAACAAACTGATGTCTGGCATTGCTAGAGATGTGGTGGGAGGGAAACTTTCCTGGGACTGGAATAAACACTCTCAGCCTCTTTGGGAGGACAAAGAGCAGCAGCCGCCACCACGGAGCTGAGCCTTGGGGGCCTCACCTCGGGGACTCTGACCTCACCTCGGGGCCTCTGACCTCACCCCCATGGCTTCCAGGCTCCCAGCAGCCTGTGACTTCTGCGGATTTTCCTGTGTCTCTATTACAGAAACTCCCAGAACAGTCCATTGTTTTATTCCCCTCCCTGTGATGCGGTGAATACTGTGAGAACAAGAACAGTGCCTTACACACCTTCCCAACCCTCAGGCCTAGCACAGTGCCTGGCGCCCAGAGAGAGCTTTTTAAACATAGTTAAAATGGATTGTTTCTGTTTCAGCAGAGGGAGCCAAAGATAGCTGGCTATGTACACTTTTCATATCTATCCAGTTAATTTCAGAAGACACTAAAACTTGGAAAATAAATAATTTCCCGATAGTCTTTCCTCAGCTAGGAATTCATGTCATATTTTTTTACATCCTGCTTCTATGCTAATAGGAGATCATATTCTTCACTAATTACAAAATAATAAGTGTTATTTAAGAACTAATTAAGTACGATTCAGCTACCGTCGTTATTGATCATAGATGCATTTTCTTCATGCTTAATGTCTCTCCAAGCGGGACACCACTAGGACCAGTAGTGTCCTCCCATTGGCGTGGGAAGCCCTTCTCACCGGAGAGTAGAACAATGCCGCATCTTAGAAATGAGGCGTTTCAGATGCAGAGTGAAAGCTGATCTTTAAATCACAGCACTTTGCTTTAAGTGCGTGGCGGGGGATAACCTAGCGGCAGCCACTTCCCTGTATCCACTTCCCAGGCTGGTTTCGAGGGTGGGGGCAGCATAAGCATGAGGAGGAATTTTGTGTCCTGTGCGCCAGCTTGTGCACACGTTGGTCCCACAGCTATGGTGCGTCCACTCTGTTTATCCCTCACACCAAAGCGGCCACAGGTGGACCCTGAATAGTGATGGCAGACAGGACTCCAAATCCGCCTTTTTCTCCACCTTCTCAACTCAGTTCTCTGATGGTTCAACATCTCTAGGTCATACAGGGACACAGGACGCGTGCAGAAAGTACATACGGGCCTGGGAAATTTCATGACTAATTTCTACTCAAATATAAGGTTTGTTTTTGAGACCCGATATTGCTATTCCAAAAATATAAAATATTCCCCTATGATGAACACATTTCCTGTAAGCAAAAGGTCTACTCGCAAAACAAATAATGCAGATGATGTGTCAAAAGTGAGGTGATTTTCGTGATGATAAAACAAGAGCTTCCTGCAGACGGGGCTCAGACTTACGAGAGGGGATGGGTCCTGGCAGCTCAGGCCCTCCCTGCGTCATTGCCCAAAAGAGTCCAAATCTGAGTCCAAACGGAACCTGTGACTGCACGTGTCGACACGCATTTCAAGCAAGGGTGCCTCCTTCATACTATTTGTAGCAATTTTCTTTTTCATCAGCCTAAATATGTGGGAGCTGACCTATGTAAGAATCTGTTTCTTATCCATAACAATTTTAGAAGGTGTGTGGGAATTTGCTGCAGAAGCCCCAGGAAGGGAACACATTCCCCTATATCGTAAGGAGCACAAACAGCTCGGGACATTACCACGTATGGTGAAAGATGACAGAGAAAAAAGTGTATTTTTTTGGAACAAAAGAAATGATAGTCTCCTGATCTATTATAAACCAGTGATTAGTCTCATTTTCTCTGTGTGTAAAAACACAAAAACTAAAAACCCTCTACCCAGCCTTGACCTCTAACCCTTAAGTGTCAAGCTTTCCCTGGGGGTCAGTGTGGCCCTGCACGGGGCTCTGGGGCAGGTGACAGGAGGGGCCCTGGGAACTCGAGAGGTCCACCCTCTCCCGCCACTGAATTGTGGAAGCGCAATTCAGTTTTCTTCATCAGAACCGAGTGGAGAAGCAAAGGATGGCATGGAGTCAAACTTCCCAAAGCCAGTCACAGCCAGGACGTCGGCGGGCGGAATCCTGGTTGGTTTTGAGGACCCCGCTCAGGTGCTTGTTCCCGCGTAGCTGGAGTGTCCAGCCAAGTGTGAGAGATCTCCTACCTGGTACAGCTATTCATGTACGTGCACACATGGCACACACGCACACGCACATTGTAGGTGAAAATACGCTTATAATTAGCCTTACATTTTTAAAAGATTGGTGGTCTGGAGGTGGCAATTTCAGGAGGAATGGCCCAGAGGGTAAGTTTCTAATCATCACAAAAAAGGCTGTGAGAGAGGAAAACACTTGCTTCGTATTGGTACAAACATTATACAGCATATTCTTAAAGTCCTGATTCAGACTAGAAACTGCTTATCAGGAGAGGAAGGTGTTGAAACATGTTACAAAGTGACTCTCACCTGCAAAACCAGTTGTATGTTAGACTCGGAGTCATGGTCCACCACAGGCTGCTGTATTCAACACATGTAAGAGTTGATTTTGAGAATTTTTCAATCCCTTAAAAAATGCTGCATTTCCCTTAAAAAATGCTGCATTAGGAGATGTCCTAAGCTTGTCCAGCCCATCTTATTTTGTTGTTGCTCTTCTGTTTTGTTTTGTTTTAGGCTTTTAGCAACCTGAAGCCATGGTTTTTAGTTTCTGTCTCTAGTGATAACCAGAACAGAAAGATGAGGAAGGGTCTTTACTGACCCAACCAGGGACAGAAACTAAGAATCCATGACTGTATTCTCTCCTTGGACACTTGAAGCCTTGAGTGGAGAATCACTGGCCTGGAAGCAGATAAAAGTCTTGTCTGGTTCTGCATCCTCAGTACCTTGCCACTCACCCACTTGTTCCCACCCATGCTTGCACCAAACCCTGCTCAGGAGCTGAGCATACAAAGAAAATAAGGTAGGAAGCCAAATTGGGTGCTTCAAAAATAAAGCTAGAGAAGCAAGCCCAGAATGTCAGATGGCGACTGTCCAATTAAACTCGGTGAGCCAAGCCCTGTCCATCACACTGGAGAGTGTCAATGGCGTAGGAAGTGCACCGTGTTTATTTTTTCTGAGATTTCCCAGAAGAAAAATTACAGTGATTCATATTTCTAAAATTCCTAGGATGTTTAACAAGAGAAGTTGCAACTGTCTTCCCCCTTCTGAATCTTATACTCGACTGACCTTATTTAAAAAACAAAACAAACAAAAAAGCCCAGCTGAAGCTTCCTATGACGTCACAGGCGACACAGTCATATGTGGCACCTACATGCCAGCTGCTTGGCCTTTGAAGGCTCAGGATCCTGCCGGCGTACACACCCCTCCGCCTCCCCTCCCCTCCTGCCTCATAATTCTTATCTCATTTCTATGCACAAATCTGAATATGGCCTGGTGTTTCTCACAGCACCACACATATTTTGAGCCTTAGGTCATTTCAGAGGGGATGCTACTAAAAGGCAGATATTTCTTTAAGTTTTCTTTACCTTCTGCCATATTCCCTGCCGTAGACAGATCTAATTCACCCAGATATTTGCAGAAAATAGTTTGGGGGCATCAGGATCTGCAACACATGTACGTCGTATCAAAATCATTATTCGCATGACAGCCAAGACCTCGGGCTCTCTGAAGCTGATTGCCTGGGTAACAGGGAAAATAACTGAGTTTTCTGTACCTGTTTGCTCAGCTTTAAAATGAACATTATAATCATACTTTTCTATGTGGTCATCGTGAAGAGCATTCAATAAGTGGAAACTGCTCTTTGCAGAAGCACACAAAACTATTGAAAATGCAGATCAGTAGCATCTTAGCTTCACACTGTTATCAGAATAAGCCCTTATTTTTTCTCAGAACCATCAAAGCCACTTCTCAGGGGCTCTGGCCCAGGACTCCTGGTGTGGCAGCAGAAACAGTGGGATGTAGTGCCGCCCGCAGCGCAGTTACTCAAAGTGAGATCTTAAGCGAGTCAAGCTCCCTCCACCTCAGTATCCCCAGGAGGACAGTGGTCCCCATCTTGCGGCATCATTATGAGGACTGCAAATGGCACATTTCTCTGGAGGAAAGCTCACTGCTTTTAGGACGCCTGGCCTGTTCAGCCATTGTCAGCAATGGTCAACCCTCCTTGCTGGCAGCAACGTGTTCTTTCTGAATCTTCGCCCACTGCCATTGCCCTGTCTTAGATTCCTCTCCAATTAATCCACACCAGAGATTTCTAGGATTTCTAATGAAACTTTAGTTGACAATGAATACTTCCAAATACTTTGTCAGGATCCAGCATCTGTTCAGCAAATTTCATTTCCAATCCAGAAAGTCAAAGATATCAGGTAGAGGTTAACTGGCTTATTTTTCATCTTACATATTTTTGCTCTCTTTAAATTTTTATAAGTATTTTATATGTATATATATAAAAAGACTAGATTATAAAAGGAATTTCAGCATCATCTAGTTTTACAAAGAGGGTCAACACTAGGCTCATGTTAAGAACAGTGGCACATTTGAGATTTTATCTACCCGAAAGCTAAGTTTTGTGGATGCTCATGAAGGAATGAGATTCCTGGGTCAGAGACAAAGGGTGGGTTATTATTCACAGCAGTAGCAACATTTCACCATTTTGACATGAGTTCCCTAATACCCAGTTCACACAGGAGCCATGCGAATGGGCCCAGGTGGCTGTCTGCATGCAGTGGGTTGAGTGGCAGGAGAGGAATGCCCATCTAGGAAACCTGAATCCTTTAGAACTGTCAGTAGCTACGCCAGTGCCCTGCTCCGCAGGGAGACACTATATCTCCCAAGACCTGTTATTTGCTGCAGATAGACACTCTCTCTATCTTCCTAGCCTGTTCATTATGTAAACATCCTGGAAAAAATAGTCCAGAATACGGGTGGATCCTGCCTGGCTTGCAGGACATGCAGACCTGTGGAAGGTTATCTCCCAGCAACTGGTTATGTAAGAGGTGACCTGCTGAAAACTAACAACTGCTCTTCAGCCAGCTCGATGGGTGTATTCTCTTGCCTTCCGCCAGTTCACAGCCAAACCCAACTTCACACATTTTATTCTCAAGCTAAAAGATCACCATGATATCTGTTACTTTAGATGTACTTATCGGAAACGAAATGAGATAGACTTTCACAATTAGAAAGACTTTAGAGACCAGCCCAACCACTCTTCTCACCACTAAGGCCAGGAGTAGTGATGCTGACTTGTGCACACTCACAGGGTCCTTAGCTCAGAGATGAGACTGAAACCTTGGGCAAATGCACAGAAAGGGTTGCTTCTGATCTGAACACAGGTCTGAGGATTTCGCAGCCCCTCAGTCTGGGGGTCCTTGGAGGTAGACAGTGCCCACGTGGGGGCTTCAATTTTTCTGTTTCTCCCACTTTTAGGCTTAGCTGCTTCTGGAAAGGGCCATGAGACTTGTGCTGATGGTGGGGTCAGAAGACAATGGGTTCAGTGAGCCCGGGTCTCCCCAAGGGGGTTCAGTGAGCCCCGGTCTCAAGGGGGTTCAGTGAGCCCGGGTCTCAAGGGGGTTCAGTGAGCCTGGGTCTCAAGGGAAATGGATAGATTTCTAAGTTAACTTCTCCAAGGGAGTCAGAGACTTCAGGGTTGAGGTCATATGTATCACACTTTCGTAGGATTCTTTTTCTTTGGTCAAGACAACAGGACTATAAGCCTGTGATATGGAAAGGCCATAAGAATTTGGCAGCAAGCTACAAGGAGAACTAGGCTTCAGTGTCTGGCCCCCATCCAGGCCTGGGAGGAGGAGATGCTCGGGGAACATGGCGAGAGTGGTGGGGTCAAAGGAAAACAAATGGGGGCCACTGTGGGAAGGAAAGGGAAGCCAGGCACAGCTGGGGCGGAACCAAAGTCCACGATTTCATGGGAAATCGATTCCCAGACACAGCCTGCATTCCTCAACCTCAGTTCAGTGCAGAACGCCCTTATAATTGCATAACTGTTGGAGTACCATTGGCACCACTGGCAGTGCCTGCCTAGGTGGTCTCTGTCTAATATGCAGTGCAAATGAACAGCCAGTAAGAAACATTCATGTAAAGATCACAGCAACTAAATAGAAAATTACAGACAAAAGTTTTAATTTACCTGTAATCAGTTTACTAGATCATGTTTACATTATCCACATGTTCTAGGCAATACTATCTTGGATTTAAAAAAACTGTGGGTGTTTAAAGAGGATACTGCAGGAAAAACAAACCTCTAAATAAATAAAAGCCTATCTGATAGAGCTTCTGAGATCTCAATCCCTCCTCTCCAAGATCCAGAATGGAGGAGAAAGGGCTTCTGTCACGGCAGGTGGAATCACTGAAGTATCTACTCTCTTGCCCTTTTTGTCTGGAAGCTTCTCCCAGGGATGGAATCACTTTCTGGAGATGCAGTTTCTGCATCAAATAGGGTGCATTTATTAATTACCTTTGAGCAAAATGAGTGAATTTTTGCACAAACCATTAAACTATGTTTTTGTTATAGCTAACATTAAAATGGAATTGATAAGAGAAAACACTCTTACTCCTCTTAAAAGTATAATGAAATGTGTAATACATTTAGCCATCCATCAAAACGCCCATCACACACATTGCTGGCCTAGAGAACGCCTGACACGTCCAGACGGCAGCGAGAAGGTGGGTCCTCTGTCCCCTCCAGGAGCAGCGGGCTGAAGGTGGAGTGGCGCTGAAGCTCCCAGGGTGGGGGAGAGGATGGGGTTGAGGGTGCAGCCATCTGATTTTGATATGCAAGCCCCTCTTTGACTATAGCAGAGAGAAGAAAACTGCTGAAACATGATGATGTTTTGCTTAGGGACAAAATGGTTTCTATTGAAGACCCGCGTGAACTCATCTTGAATGCCCACATGGAAGAGCTCTGTTTAACGTCCTCAGAACAGGTGCTTTTCAATGCACAGGAGCCAGTCAGCCATAAAAATGTGCACACCGCACTAATGGGGACTTCCATATAAAACAATATTAAAATCCAATGGAAGAGATTAGGCTAAGAGTGGAAATGAAACTAGGCATTATACTATTAGGCTGCAAATTGTGGGGTGAACATTACTATTAGGCCCTTGCTGGTCTCAGGGGACTGTTGGCCTCTGGAGGCAACGGGCATAAAATGCTGATCTGAATATCATACCTTAATGCATATGGAGGGATTCGATTACATTTATCATGAACCTTCGCAATCTCAAACTTTGATTCGAATAAATCAAAGAGCACTGTGAGTGTGAGTTACGGAATGGCAGTGACGGTTTATGCTATTCAACTGACAGCCTGTGATTCAGAATCCACTGCCTGCCTCTCAGTGTGATGCATGAAAGAGGGCTGCTGGGTTTGGACACTTGTCCCACGGAGAAGTGAGCCCGTTTCCCTTTCCTGGAATTGGACTGGCGCTGGTGGTCCTGCTAACACAGTGGGGTGGGTTTGGCACTATGCTGGCACTTGGCCTGACCTTGATGAGGACCAGCCACTTCCACCGTGGCCTCTTGAGTCAACAGGTGGGCCGTTTGAGTGCCCCACAGGGGAGTCCACCTGGGGAGGCTCTGAGGCCACATGGAGAGGGGAGCCCAGTAGGGCAGTTTTTCAGCAGCTTCCCCTGGCCCAGCTGCACCTGCAGAGGGCTTGGGCCATGCCAAGGCCTCAGCTGCCCTCTGAGAGCATCGAGGCGGCACCGTCGCTGCTGAGTCCTGCCTGAATTCCAGCTCACAAAATCCTGAGACCTAATGAAGCTGCTGCTGCTTCAGTGCTGAGGTTTGGAATCATTTGTTCTGTAGCAATGCAAAGCAGGAACGACTGTGCCAGCGGCTGTTTCATGTCCTTCCACTCTTCCTGACCTTCCACAGAGCAGTTATTAAATATATTGGTGACCACTCAAGTTAAAAACATGTTCAATGATTCTTGAAAAAAGGGCCACTCACATAAACTTTTGAGTATGAGGTTAAACACACACCTGATTCCAGCAAGTAGGCACGAAAACCACCAGGAGAAGCTCAAGCTCCCAGACCACAGGGACCAGTGCTGAGAGCATTCTGGAGCCAGGCGCCGAGGCACCAATCCCAACCCCACCCTTAATAGCTTTGCGATCAAGGGCAAGTGGCTTAGTGTCTCTGTGCCTCTGTTTCCTTGTTTGTACAAGAGTGAGAATAATAGTACCTCTTATTGTTATCAGGAAGATGAAGAGAGTTAATATTTATAAAGTGCCTGGCACAGAATTAGTGCCGTGTGTTTGGTATAAAATTAAAATAAAACAGGCCAGGTGTGGTGGCTCATACCTGTAATCCCAGCACTTTGGGAGGTTGAGGCGGGAGGATCACCCGAGGTCAGGAGTTCAAGACCAGCCTGGCCAACATGGTGAAACCCTGTCACTACTAAAAATACAAAAAATTAGCTGGGCGTGGTGGTGGGCACCTGTAATCCTGGCTACTCGGGAGGCTGAGGCAGGAGAATTGCTTGAACCTGGGAAGCGGAGGTTGCAGTGAGCACTGCAGGCTGCACTCCAGCCAGGGCAACAAGAGTGAGACTCCGTCGCAAAAAAAAAAAAAAAAAAATTAAAACAATTCTTTTCTTGATCCTTCTTCTGAAAATACTTTCCCCTGCAAACTAGTGTCCAAGGCTGGCACCTACACTAGGTGACTCCCAGGCCCTCACTGCATTCTAAACCATTTCCCCAAAATGTCTGGGTAGATGACAAGGCAAATAACTCTAGACACCTGTTAAAGAAAAGACACAGCATAGCCCTGTGGTGGGGCAGGGTCCTTGCTTGGACTGGGTTTTGCTGAGGGATTTAAGTCCGTGACTCCTCGATGCTGGGCCGGCCCGGGGCGGTGGCCTCAGAAGGGCCTGCAGAGCTGTCCTGCACCCACGAGATTCTTGCTTCCTGGTCTACACTCTCACAGGTGACTCTCAGCACAGTTAGGACTCGGAACTACTCATTAGGGTAATCCCAGAAAAACATGTCACAAAACTAACAATTTTCTTTGGAAAATAAGGCACATTATAGAATCTAAACTTAACCAGGATCACCAAGGGAGGATTGCTATTTTAATTCGGGGAGAGTGCAGGTCTTATATTTGCCAATTTCTAGACTGAGGTCAAGAGACAGGTAATGGAACCATCCCTGTGGAGGGATTATCCCCGGGCCATCCTCCCGAGAGCTGCACCCCCCTGCCCCGGCCTCTCCAGGGAGGGCTGACTGCAGACCCACGTGCCCGCCATGGGCCTCCTTATCTCCCAGCCCCAGCAGCTGAAGGACAGTCACCTGCTCTAACAGTGGAAGATGCATTTTCATGGCTAATCCCAAACCAACCCTCAAACCCTCTCATCTGTCTTGTGATGTGTCTCAACATCTTACGTGTTCAGGAGATGCGCTCATGCTGTGTGAGTCACTTTCCAGGTCATAAAGCAACACAGCCACATGGCAAACGGCATCTTCCGAGGGGCTGAAAGCTGCTTTTTGTCTACCTTCCTACCTCCACTTTCAACCGCCACGTTCCCTCCCTGTCATTCTACCACCCGCTCTCCCAGGTTTCTTGCTGTCTGATTACCCAATTCCCAGGAATGAAGGAAGTTTTTAATATTCTGAAGCTGCTCTTCAGCCCTTCCCGTAAGTCCTCCTGTGACAACTTCTGGAGAAGGGAGTAGAAAGAAGGTTCATGTCAAAAACTGCTCATCAGCTCCAGCTCCAGCAGAAGATCCCATAAAGTTGTTTACTGCTCTCACTATCTTTGCGTTCAGCCAGAATCAGGAAATTCGAAGCCGTCTTCCCATGAGGATATGGCTGGAGCCTGGAGAACTCATTTCTCTGGAAGTTGTCACATGAGGACTTGAGCTGTGGACTGAAGAGCAACTCCAGAGTTGGAGAGAGCAGATCCGCAGAGTGGGGGCACATTCCTGACAGGTGAGTTCCATCCCGTGCCCTGTGCTGGGGCTCTGCTCCTCTCTCCTGTCTTGGCTGGCAGGGGCTGCCCCTGGGGTCGGGTGGACTCCACCAATGAGGATGCCCCAATCCTGTGCTCTGGTCCCTGCCTGTGACCCAGTGGAGCTGGGAGCCCCAGGCGGGCTCAGCACTGGGACTCCAGGAGCCTGGCTGTGCCCTGGGCACTCCTGCCCAGCACCCTCCCAAGACTGTGGCTCCATGAGCCCAGGGATGAGTCAGGCGCTCAGCCATCACTGAGCCCAGCAGGAGAGGAGACTTGAAAGCAGGAGTGTCCCACAGGAGGGCACATCATCCCCAGCCCTGACAAACGACCAACCCTTTGAGTCCCCAGCCTCAAGGCTGCAGAGTTGGCAGAAAGAAGGAGACGGTTCCAACGTGCTCAGAGTGGCTGGTAAAGGGTCTTTCGGACCAGGGGTAGCAGGCCTAGGACTATTTCTCTGAGAAGAGGACATCACCCAAGAGCAGCCACCTGGTACACTAAGGTTGGAGGGACGCTGAGCTCTTAACCCTGATGGGCAGATGGCAGTGCCCAGGCAGGCAGTGGCACCTGGCGGGCACTGGGCAGTACCACCCATGGCCACGGCCACTGTGGGGGAGCAGGGCTTAGGGCAAAGCTCAAACATGTAGGTTTGGAGATAAATAGAACAAGTCAGTTTCTCACCAGGACATACAATGTTTAGGGAGAATTATGGAATCTCTCAAAGGTAAATTCTCTCACTTTGCATTTCCTTACTGGGTAATGAGATTGCGCATATTTTCATGTGCTAATTGGCTATCTGTATCTCTTCAGAGGTAAGCAGGAAGAAGAATAATAAATATTATAATAGCACACACACAGTTTATTTGCTTGCTGATATTTCAGTTCTGCAATATTATTCTTATTCCTATAAATAATAAATATTATTCCTATTCCTTCATTTAGGAATATTAAAAACTTCCTTGATTTCTTTATCTCTCAAAGGTAAATTCTCTCTCTCGCTTTCTCTAGTTCTCTTTTTAAGAAGCAAATATTCCTTCCACACTCAGAATAAATTCAGGTTCTGTGTGGGTTGGTTGTATATACAATTTAGTTTAAATTCATATGTCACTGTTCTTCAATTAAATCTCAGAATAGGGGAGGAGAAGCACCTTACAGCAACCGGTACTGCAACTCTCTCCGGGATTGAACGGTTCTTCACCAACTAGAGTGCAAGAAGCGAGAATCAAGTCTACTAGTATTTTATGTGGATGGAAAAAAACGCATGTTTTTTAAACCTAAATCTGGTGATAAACTGTATTTGAAATCCTTTAAGAACTGAAGTATCAGCCCAGGAATAAACTGTGTGTGTGCTGTCATAAAAATAGTTCTTATAACCTTGCAAACTTATTGGTCAGCATTTTTTGTTTCTTTAAAAAAAAATCATAGTTTTATTCTTGCTCTAGACTGGATTTCCATAAGTAATAAAAGATGCTAGTAAAACACGGAAAGCTTTTAGGAGCAGAGGACAGAATATGAAGGAAAATGAAAATAAGAATTGCACAAACAGGCTCATTTCAAAGGCATCCCCTTTCTCTGCAGAATCAGAACAGGATGCGGACGGTAAGGCTTGAGGGCAGCCCGGAGGCTGTCCCAGCCACACTGGGCTCCTCACCTGGGGCCCTGCTGGCATCTGGGGTGGATGATTGTTTGTTGTGAGGCAGAGGCTGCCCTGCGTGGCGGGGTGTTTGGCCTCCACCCACTAGATGCTGGTAGCATACCCTGCGTTGACAACCAGACCGTCTGCAGGCATTGGCAGATGTCCCGTAGGGGCAAATCACACCTCATTAACGGCCCTTGGTCTAGACACAGGAGTACTAGAGAGGAAGTGAAAGCTGCCAATCCATTTCCTAGTATACTTGGTGGCATCACAGTTTTCATAAACACACTTTTTATATTTTATTTATTATTTATTTTTTTTATGATGAAGTCTCACTCTCTCACCCAGGCTGGAGTGCAGTGGTACAATCTCAGCTCACTGCAACCTCTGCCTCCTGGGTTCGAGCAATTCTCCTGCCTCAGCCTCCCGAGTAGCTGGATTACAGGTGCTCGCCACCACGCCCAGCTAACTGTTGTATTTTTAGTAGAGACAGGGTTTCACCATGTTGGCCAGGCTGGTCTCGAACTCCTGACCTCAAGTGATTCACCCGCCTCAACCTCCCAAAGTGCTGGGACTACAGGCGTGAGTCACTGCCCCCAGCCAAGACACTTTTTTTTAATCAAAACTCTACTTTTAACAAACTGTAGAAATGATCCCTGAAAGTATAGTCTTAAAACTCAACTTTTAAAACAATAATTTGAAAGAAGGGACAACACTCAGGAGTAGAGACTGACTGGAGGTGGGAAGTTACCTCAGTCCTTAAAACAAGTGCCTCCTGGGCGGCAGCTCTTAGAGATGACACGGAAGCATGAACAATGGAAGAAACCACAGATCAGTGAGACTATTAACATGGAGAACCTTTGACACTGTCGAGAAAGGGACAGACAACCCGGAGAAGTGGTGAAAATATTTGCAAATCACATCTGACAAAGATCATGTATCCAGAATATGTAAAGAATTCCTACAACTCAACAACAAAAAGACAAAAACCCAAGTTCGAAAGATGGGGAAAAAATTTGAATAGACATTTCTTTAAAAAAGATACACAAATGACCAGTTAGCACATGAAAAAATGCTCAACGTTATTACGCAGTAAGGAAATGCAAATCAAACCACCATGAGATACCACCTATAGGATGGCTAGAATCAAAAAGACTAATGGCAGCTGCTGGTGAGGATGTGGTGAAGTTGGAATTCATGTACATTGCTAGTGGGAAGTAAGTGGACTCTGTGGAAGGAAGTTTGGCAGTTCCTCAAAAACTGAAACATAAAGTTACCACATGACCCACAACTCCACTCCTAAGAATACACCCAAGAGAAATAAAAACAGATGTCCACACAGAGCTTATACAGGGATTTTCATAGCAGCATATATATATATATATATACACACACACACACACACACACACACGTATATATATATGCACACACATATATACACACACACACACACACACACATATATATATATATATTTTTTTTTTTTTGAGACGGAGTCTCGCTCTGTCGCACAGGCTGGAGTGCAGTGGCATGATCTTGGCTCACTGCAAGCTCTGCCTCCCGGGTTCACGCCATTCTCCTGCCTCAGCCTCCCAAGTAGCTGGGACTACAGGTGCCCGCCACAACGCCTGGCTAATTTTTTTGTATTTTTAGTAGAGACGGGGTTTCACTGTGTTAGCCGGGATGGTTTCGATCTCCTGACCTTGTGATCCGCCCGCCTCGGCCTCCCAAAGTGCTGGGATTACAGGCGTGAGCCACTGCGCCCGGCCCATAGCAGCATATTTTATAATAGCCGCAAGGTAGAAACTACCTAAATGTCCATCAACTAGTCAATGAATAAATAAAATATGAGATAGTCCTACAGTGGGATATTATTCAGCAATAAAAAGGAATGAAGGACTGGTACGTGCTACACCATGGATGAGCCTTGAAAGCATTACACTACGTGAAAGAAGCCACTCGCAAAAACCCGCCTTTTCATGTAAGATTCCATAAGTATGAAAAGTCCAGAACAGGCACATTATAGACACTGAGAGTACATTAGTTGTTATCTTGGGTTGGGGAATAGGATGAGGTCGGGTGGGGTTGGGCAGTGGCTGCTCATAGGTATGGAGTTTCTTTCAGGGCTGACAAAAATGTATTAAAATCAGATTGTGGTGATGGTTGCACAATCCTGTGAATGTACTGAAAGCATGGACATGTACACACCAGTGCGCACCCAATAGCCAGGACCCAGTGAGATGCTGACTGGGCATGCGGCTCAGGGAAGAACCATGAAGGACGAAGAATCCTTCCTCCCTGCAGCAGCTGGACCAGGTGGTCTAGGGGACGCCATGTGGCTCAGAAGGATGAGGAATCCTTCCTCCCTGCAGCAGCAGCTGGACCAGGTGGTCTGGGGGACGCCATGTGGCTCAGAAGGATGAAGAATCCTTCCTCCCTGCAGCAGCTGGCTGTCATAGGTGGTCTAGGGAATGCCATGTGGTTCAGTGCCAGGATCCCAGACTGGTTTTGAAATGTGGGGAATTAACATTTAAGGAGACTAACTATTCTCTTTAACTAATTGCTAGTCTGGCTATTCTGCTTCGGGATAGAGTATTTTTTTTTTTTCTTGAGACACAGTCTTGTTCCGTCACCCAGGCTAGAGTGAAGTGGCACAATCTTAGCTCACTGCAACTCCACCTCCTGGATTTGAACGATTCTCATGCCTCAGCCCCCCGAGTAGCTGGGACCACCATGCCCTGCTAAGATTTTTTTTCCTATTTTTAGTAAAAACAGGGTTTTGCCACGTTGGCCAGGCTGGTCTTGAACTCCTGACCTCAAGTGATCTGCCCGCCTTGGCCTCCCAATGTGCTGGGCTTACAGACGTGAGCCATCATGCCCCACCTAGAGTGGTTATTTGAATGGGTTTATGAGTAAAGGTTCAGTAAATACTTCCTGATCAACCCTGAGGACCCAGAGGAAAATTACAACGACGTCCAGGACCCTTTTCTTTGACCTTTTCTTTCGACAAAGTTTTGACAAATTTTGATAGTATCAGAGGAAAACACAGGAAGCACTTTTGATAACATGAGTATATCAGAATTCAGGATTTGTTTTTAAAGAAACTACACAGGAGAAATAAAAACGTGTCCACATAAAAAGTTGCACTTGAGTTTTTGTTTATAGCAGTGTTATTCATGATAGCCAAAAAAGTATAAACACAAACATCTACCAACAGATGAATGGGTTAACAAAATGTGGTATATCTATACAATGGAATATTACTTAGCTATATTTTAATATAATAGATAAAAAAGAATAAAGCACTGATATATGCTGTAACATGGATGAATCCTGAAAACATCATGTTACATGAAAGAATCTGGACACTAAAGATCATGGAAATCATTCCACTCAGACGTAATATCTGAAAGAGCGAACCCTACAGACAAGAAGTGAGCCGGTGATTGCTGAGGGCTGTAGGAGGGATGGGAGGGATTGCTAGAAGGCACAGGTTTCTTTTGGAGGTGAAGTCAATGTTGTAAAATGGACTGTTGGGATAGTTGCACGTATCCAGTAAACAAGACTGCATTGTACACCTTAAGTGGGTGAATTGTATGTCATTTGAATTACATCTCAATAAAGCTGTTTTTTTTTTTAAAAAACCCATAAACGCTCAGTTTATGGGTAGTTAAAAATGAAACATTGTAGCATTATTGAAAGGGCATTTGGAACCACATGTTGGAGGGAACTCAGGAAGCCATTTTCCCACAGACAACATTACTTAGATTAGTAAATGGCCCTTTCAGTTTAAAGCCACACTCTTTGTGAGATCATTTTGTAGTGTAATTAAGATGGCAGTGTGTAAATAATGAGTACTGTGAAGCTTGTCAGAATCAAAATGGAGTCACTTAGGTTAAAATGCTGAAAAATGAAGCCAGGGAAGGCCACGAAGGGAGGATTTTCATGCATAAATAAATGCCTGATGACAAGAGCTGCTACAAAAGACTGCGAAAACCACAACCCTGCAAAAAGACCATCACAACACCGCCCCCCCCGCCACACCACACCACACACACACACACACACACACACACACACACACACACACTTCCGTGAGGACAGTTGCCCAGCAACTGCCTGTCCGGCCTCCAGCTGGCACCGCCCTTGCTATTGATCCTTGTAGCCAAGGATCATTATGTCAGAACAATGTATAATCCTCCTTATTTTTCCTTAAAAAAGCTTTGTCTTCTCTCACCTCCCGGAATGCACACATAGCTTACCATGGCACATGTATTCCCATTGCAATGCAATTCCTAGATAAACATGGTTTTTTAGAGTCTTTCTGTTTGTTATCTAGGTTGACAATACAAAGAAATGTGCTCAGAATATTATTTAAACACTGTCTTCTAGAAATTACAGCCAAGCAAACATTAACCAGTGTCACCATCAGACTGTTTATCAAGGTCTGTTATGTAACTGGACATACTTCTATTTTAGGAACACAAAATACTCTGCCATTTATTCCTGGAAGCCACCGCTCCATCAGCTGGTTAAGTAAAATAAGAAGGATGATCACATTAAGAAGGGGGAGGGGGGAGAGAGAGAGAGAGAGAGAGAGATTGATTCAGTGTGGCTCTTTTACTACAAGAGTTTGATAGTTGAGTGAATTTCAAGTTTGAATAAAATGCACTTAAAGCTAATTCATGTAAGGTTAAGGGCCGTTATTCAGTTCAAAAGAATATTGCACATTATTAAAAACAGAGGAATGCAATGGAATACTCCAATCTTCTTAATTTGATGGTGAATACCCTTCCTTTAGTTTCATATAATTAAAAAAAAAACAGTCCTACTTAATTCCCCAGAACATATTCCCCTGTGCCTACATGTGTTTCTGTATTGAACTGTGTCCTATAATGCAGATGTGGTAGAAGGGCAATAGGTCAAATATACAAAGAAAGATCTTTGCTCAAAAGACAGTAACAGAGAAAAAGGATGTACCCTTCTCTGAATGTGTAGCTTGGCCCTGCCAATCTTCTTATCTCTTTAGTTTCTCTCCCACTGTGGAATAGGCAGAATGATATTTTCTATCTCACAGGGTCACTGTGAACATTGAATGATCTCATGGCCCTTTTAGGGCTCATGTAAGGCTCATGACAGTATCTGGTGCTCAGCTAGCGCGGAGCCAATGCCACGTGTCACCATTATGTTTTTACTGTCATTCATCTTCTGATTGTTTTCCATAGTCAGGCCTTTGGAAAGGTGAACATAAAATCTTCTTAAGTAAAAACCAGGTTTTAATGTGAGCATCAGTGCAATAAGTTTTTTTTTTTTTTTTTTTGAGACAGAGTCTTGCTCTGTCACCCAGGCTGGAGAGCAGTGGCGCAATTTCGGCTCACCGCAACCTCCACCTCCCGGTTTCAAGCAATTCTCCTGCCTCAGCCTCCTGAGTAGCTGGGATTACAGGCGTCCACCACCACGCCGGCTAATTTTTGTATTTTTAGTAGAAACGGGGTTTCACCATGTTGGCCAGGATGGTCTCGATCTCCTGACCTCGTGATCCACCTGCCTCAGCCTCCCAAAGTGCTGGGATTACAGGTGTGAACCACCGCGCCCGGCCCTCAGTGCAATAAGGAGAGAGAGAGTGACAGACAGACAGACAAACAGAGAGAGAGAGAGACTGATTCTAACTGCATCTGCATTCTAGTTCCCTTACCTAAAGGAGCAAACTCAGAACGCAAAATGGAACTGCCATGATCTCTGCAGATGCCTTTCTTCAAAGCTGAGTTCTGCTATCCCTGTGATCAGAAAGATGAATCATCAGAACAGCAAATCTGTTCCAACTTGTCCTAAGAGCTGGAGGAACCCAGACCAGGCTAATGCTTGTTCCTACCCATTCAAGAGCAAAATTAGTCACCCTGACTTTATTAAGTAACTGCATGTGTTCCAAAGAGTTCATGCATACAAGTGCGAATAGATGCCAACCATCACGATCAATTAGGGACAATTCCTCATTTTCAAGAGTCTAAACAGGATATTCTCTGCAAATCCACATTCTGGAGAAATGTTGTTTTTCAGGCCACAGATGTTCTCTAGCCTTGTAGTGGGTAATCAAATCAAGTTAGAATATGGTTACACGAAGATGCAAGTCATAAAAATACTGAAAAACCTCTCTATGGAGCATTCAACTCATTCTCACAGGTCACACAACTAATCTATCCAGGAATAATGCAGATTAAATGGGTTTCTCTGAGTTATTCATGAAACAATACTTCTATTTTAAGCGCTAAGGGAATTATGACTTCAAAGAAAAATCAATCTCCTAGTCTTTATAGTTTAATGCACATTATTACAAGCTCAAGAACAAACCATAAAAAACCGATTTTCTTTTACATGTTGAGGAGTTGGCAAAAAAGGCATGAGCTATTATAATGTTCCTAAACAGAACATCTAAATATTTTGTATTCCAACAATGACAGGAAAAGAGTGTCTTAAGAACAGCTCGTCAAAAGGAAGCAGTATACGCTCCTCTAATGTTCTCCAGACACCACGTCATAGTTCACTTCGAAACGCATTGCAATAAACCACTTTTTAAAAAGACTAAAATTGCCACGGAAGAATAGGCGATCCACCAAATGTTACATTCAATCTGTTTTATTTGAAAAGTATAAAAATAAATGGTTCATCAATCACTACAGCCCCTTTATTAATTCCATAGAAAAAAAAAACAACAACAACGAAGACACATGCTTTTGGATGCGAAGCACTGGCAGAGCCCTTGCCACCGCAAACGGAAAGAGGGAGGGACTCCTGACCCATCCAGGAGGCGAAATAGCCCCGCGGCAGCGCCCCACCCCTCTGCCCTGCCCCTTAGGGAAAACCCCCGCGGAGCCTGGCGGGGAGGAACACGCGACCTTCGCACTCACCTGGCGCGGCCAGGTCTCCCTGGCCCCAGAAAAAGGCCAACATTGATGATGACCTTACCTTTAAAAGAAAATAAGACGTTTGTATTCCCCACTCCCATTTTTTTCTTTTTTTTCTGCTTTGGCCACCCGCGGCAGGTGGTGCAGCAGCCCCGCTCTGAGCAGGGATCCGCGGAGCTCGCCAGCCCTAGACCGGATCCCAGGGAGGAGGCGCGGCCGGAGCCAAAGCGCAGAGGCCTCCCTCCCTCGCGCGCCGGGTCGCACTTCATTCCTGCACAGGCAGAATCATCTGGCTTCTGCAAAGCAGTCGCGCAGCGCTGTAGGGTGAGGCCGGCGTGGGAATCTAGGGAAGGCTGGAGGCAAACACCGCAGGAGGAGGGGAGGGGAGGGGAGGCGAGCCGGGAGGCCTGGGGAGGGGAGCCTGGGCGCGCCCCGGGCAGCTCCTCTTGGGCCGGGTTCCTCCTTCCAGGCAGGCGCTGGGATGGGGCCTTCTCCTCCCAGGGTCGCCCTGGGGACAGGTCCCGGGGCAGCTGGGAGCACCCCACGCACGTGGGCTGGGATCCCCGCTTCCCACTTGCGCGCTCCTGCTGCCTGGGAGGCCACCGCTGACACCCCGCGGGGCAGGGGATGGGGCAGGGGTCTCCGGGGACTTCCACAGCCTATGTCCACGCGGCGCCTGGAGGGGAGCGGGAGGAGCAGGCAGGTTCCCACCCTCCGAGCCCAGGCAAGGAACGGCCTTGGCGAGGGAGCCCGGGCCCTCCAGGCCACACCTACGGGGCTCCTAAGGCCGGGTTCTCGCCCACAGCAGAGACCCTGGCCACGCATGGCCACCTGGCCTCCGGGATGCGTCTTCGAGTGCTGGGGCCTCAATAAACAAATACTGTAGCCTGGGTGCTATAAACCACAGAAAACCCTTCCTACCGGTTCTGCAGGCTGGGAAGAGGTGGCTTTGGTGAGGGCCCCGGGCATCCCTCAGGGACAGTGCCTTCCAGCTGCGTCCACGTCCAGCAGAAGGGGCGAGGGAACCCCCAGCCCCTTTAATGAGGGCAGGACCCATCCATGAAGGAGGGGCCTGTGGACTTAACTGCACCCCAAAGACCCACCTCTTAACATTGTCACGTTGGGTGCTAGGTACCAACGTATGACTGTTGGGGCCACCAACCTTCAGGGCACACCAGATGCTCAGTTTTTAATGTTGTCACAGGCCCATAACCTTCTTACATACAAAAAAATTGGGAAACATTATTCTGGTATGATGCATGCGTATGATAATAATCACATGCAGATTAAAATGTTCTAGAGATATTGTAAATCATTAGCATTGGGTAAAGTTGCCATTATTAAACAGTTTTTTTGTGCTTCTTTATTTCTCTAAAACAAACTGGTTTTTATAATAATACAAAAGATCAGTAGGATAAAAAAATTTTTTTTGAATAAAACTTTACAAATCCACCTTTTATATTCAAATCATTAATGATCCCTGCAGTGGGTTGTGTCCCTTTTCCCCCAAAAATAATATGCCCAAGTCCTAGCCCCTAGCGCCTTGAAGATGTCCTTATTTGGAAACAGAGTCTTTGCAGATTTAATGAAGTTAAGGATCTCCAGATGAGATCAGTCTGCATGGGCTACAAGGCCTAAAATCAAGGCCTGAGTCTATGTGTGGACACTCCCCTGCTCCGATGGACAAGGCCCAGGCCACCCACCCTCCTTGTCACAGGGCCTGGCGCAGTGGTGCTCACCTTGCATCACAGGCCTTGGTTCCCTGACAGCTGGCGGAATTATTCACGTAGCCTGTCACATCCTCCCACGGGACACAGGGCACCTGCCTTCTTCATACTACAAAGGACACAGAGGGCACTGCCTTCTCCGAACTACACGGCCTGCCTTCCACAGCCCCTGGGTGTTCATTCCATTCCTAGGTGTGACCCCTGTGTGGCCCTGGCTGGCAGGCCCTGTCTCCCTCCCTCGGGCTGTGAGTGACTCACACCTCACCTGGCCAGTGTCAGATGTCAAGTGTGCGGCCATTTCCATGGCCCCAGGGCAGGAATTCCTGCCTCACCAGACCCGGTTATCCAGGTATGCCCTGATCCAATGACTAGTGTCCTAAGGAGAGAAGACAGAGAGCTACACAAAGAAGAGAAGAGGCAGGGAGAAGGCAGGGGCAGAAACTGGAGAGAAGGGACACAGCCTCAAGGCACAAAACGTGGCAGGAGCCTCCAGAAGCCCTGAGGGGCAGCAGGGGTTCTCCCACAGAGCCTCCGCCTCAGGCAGGGGAACATGACCCTGCCCACACCTTGATGTCAGACTTCTGGCCTCCAGGTCCCTAAGAAAATAAATTCCTGTTGTTTTAGGCATTCAGCATGTGGCAGTTCGTGGGAGTAGCCGCTCTTGGGCTCTTGGAGGCTACAGTACTTTTCAGGCCGGAGGGTCCCATCCTGCCGTGACTTTTACGAATATTTTCTTCTTGGTCTGACAGCAAAAATACAGCATAGGGAGTCTGGCTGGTGCATCTGCCTGAAATATCTGCAGGAGGTGATGAGAAGTCAGTTCAGGCCCTTGTCTCTTCTTGCCCTAGCTCCTAGGCATGCATTCCAAAACCCAAGGCTCAGGGGTGTCCCCACATCACCTAGAATGGCATCTTCATCTGTGTCCCTGGCTGTGACAGGATAGTCAGACACTCACAGATCAGACAGTACTGCTGGTACACCTCCAAGTCTTGGTGGGATTTGCTGAACTGTGACCTGCAGCTTTGCAGGTGCAGGTGAAGGCAGCGGCCTTCTGTGCAGTGTGGCCTTGCTCTCCCTGGTCAGCAGACACATGGAGACCCACCTGTCAGAGGGGCCTCAGCCTTAAACGAAGGTGTAAACTGGCCTCGGGGAGAGTCCTGGGGCCAGTAGTAATGTCTAGCCCCCGTTGCCTGAGGTTGAGACAAACGTGCTTTCCTCCTTTTCAAAACAAAGTCGCAACTCTAGCAAGCATGAAATTAAACGTTACTAAATTAAAATCAGAGACATCTCTGTACCCTCACATCCTACCATTTGCCTCAGCCGACAACGTGCTATTCACACTCACGTGTCCATACCAAACAACACTGTTTGGATCCATGCTTTCACCAGCTACCACTCTGAGTCTCAGCTCCTCTTTACAGCAAAACTTCTCAAAACAGACTTCCATACACACCAATCCAATCTCCTCCTGCCATTTCCTCGCCAACAAAACACTGATTGGGTTTTCACCACTGAGGTGGCTCTGTCCCTGCAGCTGTGACCTCCCGGTGCACCCGCAATGCCAGTCCTCAGTCTCCATCTCTCTTAGACTCCCGGGTGTCTGATGGCCCCATGCTCTCTCCTTGGTGGGACGTTTCCTAACACCTCACTTTGGACACGTCTATCCTCCCGGCTCTCGGGCTTTCCTTATCAGCCTCACCTTCCTGACCCCGGGATGGTGAAGTCCAGGCTCAGCGGCGGACTCTCCTCTCTGAACCCATGTCCTCTAGCACTGTGTCTGCTGTGCTCCCCCTGCCTATCTGCAGGACAACCGGGGAGTCTCAACCTAAATGACTCTCCCCTCGTTCCCCTGGAGGAGAAGAGAAGGGGCGACCTCACACAGGACCAGGGCCGGACGGGGCAGAAGGGAGGAAGAGTTCCCGTGCTGGCACAGAGGTGGCAGGGGGAGGCAGCAGTGCAGCTGGAGCCCAGGCCTGCTGTGAGAGGGCAGAGAGTGAGCCTGGGCTGTGCTCACAGGACATTCCTCAAACTCATTCCTAAAAGAGGTAAATTCCTACCACACATTCGAAAACAACATACAAGCTAGCCCTTTACGTGAACATTTCTAGACACTGGTGTTTTGTTAAGTGCCTCAATGCAATTATGAGATCATACAGTGAGGTTGCACACACAGCTAACAATGATCTACACTGCACTTATCCTAAATCACTGTGGATAATTAGTATAATTACAAAATTGCCTGACTTACAGTTTGTATTTGGTTATATATGAATTGTGCTCAAGCATAATTTAGGATGCATTCAATAAATTATTTAATATTTAATAAATTCTTTAGTAGCAAGGACTCTGTTTTCCAAGTATCAAAGGCTGCAGAAATGTAATATTGAATTTTATTTATAATTATATGATAATTACATTTTAAAATATGATAATTAGATTAATACAGACATCAAACTACAGTGAAGAGAATGACAGGTAGGAACCACCCAGGTGCAGAGCTAGGGCTGAGTGCGGGAAGAGGCCACACAGTGTTCAAGGGCACTCGCCACGGATGACGTCTGCAGGGCAAGAGAAACCACACACACACACACACACACACCCACCCACCCACACCCCTATACAGGTATACACACCACAAACACACATGCACACATGCGTGAACACACATGTATACACCCCCACATCACCATACATGCAAACACACCACATACACACATATACACACCACAAATACATCCCATACATGTATATATGCCACACACACACCACACACACATCCTCATACATGTATACACACCACAGACACACACCCGCACATGTATACACACCACACACCCATACATACATGTACACACGTGCACATACCACATATGCACAGTTACAAACACAGAGATATAATTTTTCACAAACATATTCCATTATATAAAAAGTCTCACTTCCAAATTTAAACTTTTAAAACCAGATTGCCGAAGATAGGGAACATCATTCTGAAAGCTGGATTTTTTAGGTTTCATCTCATTTAAAACATTTTAAGTGCATTTTATTAAATATAAAAAAGTTCTTTCCTAATAGTAAAAGCAAGCACAGATTTTAGACGAAAGGGCGTGCTTTCCACTTCCAGAGTCTAAAATAAACCTGTCTCTGCACAGCTGCAATTACACGGCGGCGTTTCCGAAATGACCTGGCACAGTGCGCGGCGCCTCACATAGGCCCAGGGCCGCGGCCAGCGCTGAGCAGACTGGTGACTAGAAGCAGCTCCCCGTCGGGCTGCACCCTCCCTCTGTCCCTCGCGGGGGCATCTGCAGAAGGGCACTGAATGCGCTCCCCACCCCAGGAAACCCAGCCCCTCCACTCTTCCAGGAAGGAGCGTCGTCATGGCCACACAGGCAGGGAATAACTGATGCACAGAATTCAGCCGGGCCGCACTCAGCACCGCGCTCTCCAGATGCAAACGGACACACGCAAACCGGCCCCAGACTCGAGAATTCGTCCGCAGAGATGCATCCACTACAACTCAAACATCATTCCACCTTAAAAACCCTGCTTAATGACATCAGCCCTGCTCTGCCGGTTTTGTGGCCTCTTTGACACAGGCCGAGATCCTCCCTTCTCTGGCCTCCCCGCTGGCTGCCAGATCTCACCAAGCCACAAGTTACAGACGCAGGGTGCAACTGAGGAACATGATCAGTGAAGGAAGAAATAAGGAAGGGGGAGCTTTACGAGTCCAGCTAAAAACAAGAGGACAAACTAGCCAGACCCCTCGGAGAAGCAGGCTCCTCATTTCACGAAATCGGCCGTTTCCTTCAGCAGCTCCCCTGACCCCCGTTACAGTCTGTGACGATGACGAGAGACACGCCTGCTGCCCTGCTCAGTGGGGAACACACCGGCCCCGCGTGCGTATTTCGCTGTTTCTGACTTCACACAAAGAACTGTTGTTATGTTTCCATCACTTACACGCAGCAACCAGCATTCAATGTTGTGCTCTCAAAGTCTGTTTAAAGTTGGCTGCTTGCAAACTGGGCCATAGTTTCTGACAAAAATGATGCTGGTAAGCTAACTCCCAGGCCGAGAATGCCCATGCTGTGGGCAAAAGAACAGTGCCCGCCCCTGGGTTGTCTGAGCAGAAGCTGGATTGTGTGCCTGGAGCCCTGTCGCCCTCAGCCAGACCCGGGGTCGAGGCTGGGCCGGCTCTCCGGGAGCATCAGGGATCCGGTTGGAGAGAGGCTCATACGGCGGTCCCAGGGGCCACCTCGAGGGGGTTGACCGGAGCTGGGTCTGGGAGCTGCAGCAGAGGGAAGGCGGCATGAGGAGAGAGCCGCAGGTGGGGCGTGTGCACAAAGTGCAGGTGTGTGGAGGCCCTGTGGGTTTACATTGCCCTGAGGCACCACTTCACGATCACCCCATTATTTTTAATAAAGGTTGTGGAGAGGCTGCCCTTGTTTGCTAATTACGCCTTATATCTTTAATCATTGCATTCCAACTTAACAAAGGGATTTTAACAAAGGTCACCGTTTATCAGATGAAGCCAAATGCCCACTTCCCTGCCTCCAAAACCAGAATGACCTTCAGGTGTGCTTTCCACCAAGCATGGACGAGAGACTTCCTTCGTGAATCTCCTCCAGAAGCAAAACATTACTGACTCAAAACGTTTGAGAGGCTGCTATCAAGGGTGAACCTCGTAAGATTGTTCTCTGATATCACTAAGAAATTCTGCATGTCAAACACAACATTCACAAGAAATTCCCACGGGCGGGCGCTGCAACTGCTGGACACCCCGCCCAGCAGCCTGAAAGCACGCTCACGCCTTAGGGGAGGCTGCTGGCTCCCAAATGCAAACACAGTTTCATAAAACCACACCAGTACCATGCCTTACGCTCATTCTCAAGTCAGACATGGCTCCATTTGGGGTTTTTCTTACTGTAACCAGGTTATTGACTATTCACGGGTTTTTAAAGGGTCTTTTTTTCTTCTTTTTTTTTTTTTGACACGGAGTCTCGCTCTGTCGCCCAGGCTGGAGTGCAGTGGTGCAATCTCGGCTCACTGCAACCTCCACCTCCTGGGTTCAAGTGATTCTCCTGCCTCAGCCTCCGGAGTAGCTGGGATTACAGGTGTTCACCACTACACCTGGCTAATTTTGTATTTTTAATAGAGATGGGTTTTCACCATGTTGGCCAGGCTGGTCTTGAACTCCTGACCTCGTGATCTGCCTGCCTTGGCCTCCCAAAGTGCTGGGATTACAGGCGTGAGCCACTGAGCCCAGCCTAAAGTTTCTCTTTAAAAGGATGCCTTTTCTATATTATTTTATTCCTCTCTTTAGGAGCTCACTGAAGTTTTATGGAAGCACCACACAAGTCAGCAGGGTGGGCTTTGGGGGGTGCATCACATCCAGAGGCAGTCCACACAAGGTTCCGTTGCTCATAAGTGCCGGTTCCCGGACTCTGCAGGAGGCACACCTTAACGGGGACACTTTACTGCGGGTGCCACGTTAAATGACGACTGTAGGACTCTCCCACGTTGAGGTGAGCACAGGAGAGCTTACTTGTACATTTGTGCTATGGTTTACAGCACGCCAGCATTGTCTTTTTCTATTTGGGGCATTCATAAATGTGACTGTATTTTTCAGAGAAGTTTACCTCTGAACTCAAAATTAACTTTTGTATGATTTTGGGAAACACCCCAATTTTTCTCATGACAAACAGAGCTAATACCTGTCTAGTAGGGCAATGGGAGAATAAGGGTCGCCACAGCCAGCACACAGGAGAGCTCTGTTGTCCCAGGGGGGAGCCACTCGCAACTGTGGCCACTTCCATCTAAATCGCTTAAAAATATGACATTAAAAACACAGTTGTTCAGTTATAAGGGTCTCGTTTCGTGTGCTGTGGGCCACATGTGTCTAGAGGCTAACGTGTCACCAGGCAGCACAAATATAGAACATCTCCATTATGGCAGAACATCCCACTGGAGGTGCTGCAGGGGAGTGTCTTGATAGTAAGTTACCAACAAATGCGAGCTGTGACCACGTTGTGTGGCCATTTTAATGCACTTCTGCCTACTAAGAGATCGTCTAATATTCTGCTATTGAGTTCAAGAGTTTTCTAGAGGTTTGTCATGTGGGAGGTGTGTGTGAAAGAGTTCTAAACTCTGCTGAAGATAAGGTACAGTAAAAAGCCTGTCGGCACCCACACAATCTAAGAATTTTCCAGGCATTTCTCAGTGCCTGCATGTGTCCAAGTGTCAGGTGAGATCAGTGAGTGTCTTTAGCCCCTACTTTTCAGTTCCCTAAGCCTTTAAACATATATTAAATGGCCAATTTAAGAATTACATGAGTTCTCAAAAAATCTGCTTATGTGACTTACCTATAAAGTAGAAATTTTACACGTACAGATCTGTCAATTGCCAGCACACTGCAGTCAGATCAGAAAGGAAGAATTTCCCAGGGAATTTGGCGCTCAATGGCATGACAGCCGTGTCACAGCAATCCAGGTGTGGGTTTGGGTGACCGGAAGGAAGTGACTTTCTGAGTGATCTGGCTTTCCTTTCTGTGAAATGGTTATGGTGACAGGGGTCGGTTTCAACACATAATTGCAAGAGGAAGTGTAAGGGAGGGACAAACAGCGCATTGGATTTGGAGGTTTGATGGGTCTGGGCTTCAGTTGCACCTCTGCTGTTCTCCAGGGAGGATGGATGGCTTTTCCTGCCCCCTTCACATTTATGTGCTCAGATGTCACCCAGTCTTGTGGCTTCTGGACCTGCCTCTGGGCAGGGGAATGTCTGGAGATGTTCCGTAGACACCCCAGGCAGTTAGGATTCATTCTTTTAACAAACAGTTCCTCAACGTCAGCACCCGCCATGTGCACGCACCATTTGGGCCTGAGGACACCTCCGTCAGCAAAAACAAAGTTTACGCTCACTGGACTTAATTTTACTGCAGAGAGAGATGATTGCATAAAGCAGCTGTGAGCCAGTGATGGCTTAAAATATAATTATTTTTCATTCCTGAGGATGATATGACAAGAACAGAACTCACTAAAGATGTTAAATACCCTGACAATCTCTTGCACGTAGGATAAAATGTTGCAGGATTTATGATTCCATAAAGGAATGGCCGTGAGAAAATAACTCCTAGTTGGAAAAAGTCAGTGACATTTCACAGCTGGGCTGTCAGTAGTTTTAAAGGAAAAGCATTTTTCCCATCAAAGTGAAAGATTCTATTTACATGTTGATGGAAAGAGCTGAATTGCTTCAATGCCTTTGTGTATATTTGCAAACTAAATGTCTCATTTCTCAGAATGTCATTTTAATAGTATCTGGAGAGTGTCATCAAGAAAGAGTTGGGTTTTAATGATAATTAAATATGGAGCAGATTCTGCAGGGGGTGTGATTGCCCCTGGAGAGGTGCAGAGCGTATGCCTCATTCCTCCTGTCTGCAGTTAGATTTGATGTGCAGCTTAAATAAAAAAAAATCAGTTTAATTTGGAACACCAAACAGACCAATAAGTTACTCTCCACTGTAAAATTTACATATGATTTTACAGGCTCTCAGATCTTATTTTTAAGTGTGGTATCTTTTTTCTTAAGCTGATTAAATAGAAAAATCCAGAAATATTGCTAGGCATCTTTGTAGAACCTTTTTGAGCCTGATATGACGACCAGGGAAAGCCCAGTGTCTAGCTTTTCTCAGCCCACCCACAGCTGAAAAGCAGGTTTCCAGACTTATTGCTTGTTAGGTTTTGGAATGTTTTGGAGCTCACCACTTGATTTCACCCATTTTGGGCAAATGTAAGTGTGAAGATAAACTACAAGTTGTGTTTTTATTTTTCAAGGTTCCTGGTTTACTGTTTCTAATTAGCAAGTCTTGTGAGTTTCATATGAGAAAAAGAAATAATAAGGTTTTCAGACCTCTCATCTTCCAGTTCATTCGCCTGTGAACTGAGACAGTGTTCAAAACACCAAAGTGAAAGAATTCAAATGGTGACAAATAACTCAAGGGCACTACAAACCCCTCCTTTGGGTTGGTGGGAAGTGGGGGAGCAGGGAGCACTGGGGAAGGGTACAGGGTCCCCAGAGACCAGGCCTGTTCTGGAACCTTCCACGGACACCCCCCCACCAACAGGGCAACACAAGTGAGCCCCCCACTGTGGGCCAACTCGGGGCAAGGACTCCCCTGATCCTTTGGATAATCGTTCAGGTAAATTCCCAAAGGTCATGGCTCACAGATATTGGGACCCCAGCTCTCTACCTGTGAAGATGGGGTCTGCAGGAGCCAGGCAGAGGGGAGCCCTGTGGCAGCTCTTCCTGTTGTGGACAACTTTCTCCTCCTGGAACCCATCTCTCTTCTTGGCTCTCCTGATAGTTTCCCTCCCTCTCAGCTATCAGTCACCTGGGAGGATTCCATCTCCTCTGCATAACAAAAGATGCCACTGACACTCTTTTCCGCAGGATGTTGCTGCTCTGGGCGATGTCCTAGGGGAGAAGGGAGCTTTGAGCTTCCAGGATTCAAGAGGAAAACAGCTACCCTCGGGAGACAGAGTCTCAGCCAGGGCCATCTGCAGAGCCAGACATCTTCTACACAGCCTGAGACAATTCCAACCTGTGTTAATAAATTGCAGCCTCACCCAGCGGGCATCCTCTCAGAAACTGAGATCTCAGTGGGATGTGTTAGGAGCTGCCAGCCACTCACAGAGACATGGATTCATCACAGAGGGTGGCTGTCTCCCAGCAATCGCTCTGCGAGTTACATTTGGATGGGTCTGCAGAGCCAGGTGTTTTGGAAGGCAGAGCTCTTTGTGGGATAAAGCTGGACTGGGTGGAGCCGGTATTAGGGGGACACCTGGACCCTACAGCCTTGGCGATACTGAGTGGGAGAGGTTTGCAGCAGGTGCCCCAAATCAAATCTTTTTTTTAAAAAAATACAGTATTTAAATATTTGCTTATGCTTGTCTCAACCCTGGGAAGTGGGGAAGGACACCCCTGTCTCTCCCTCTATGTGAGCCCTCCCCGTAGCTTCTCTTGCTGGCCTGTGGGCTCTACAGCCCCAGGGAGTCCTGCTTCTGTCCTGAGCTCTTCATACCCATCACTGCTCTGAGTGTGCTTTTGTAATTTTGTTGGTCTCCTGATTAGACTGTGAGGTATTCTGAGGACAGACACAAGGACTTCCTTTTTTTTTTTTTTTTTTTTTACAATAATAGCAATAAGAAGAAAATTAGTAACACCAAACAACACACAGCACTTGCTATGTACAAGGGGGTGCACCACACATGTGGACTCACTCACTTTACATAATGTTATCATCGTATCATGTTACCATCTTAAGTAAGCACAGAGAGAGAAAGTAACTTGCCCAAGATCACCCAACTAGCTGGTGGTGAAGCCGGAATTTTCATGTACAAAGTTTATCACTGTCCTATGCAGAGTGGGCACATAATAAAAAGTATTTTTAATATGTGTGTGTGGGGATGGATGAATGCAGGAATGAACAAGCATTTAAAACATTCCTTTCAGTCCTAAACAGCTAATTTTCACCTGCATTTGGAAAGAGCACGATCGATCCACTCATGAATTAAAAACAGGCTGTGTGTTGTCAGAGAAAATTCGTGGCAAGACAGCTTGATAAATGTCATGACACCTGCAGGGCTCAGCCACAGCTCTTGGTTCAGAAGCTGTGCTAAGGTCCCAGGTCTGAGCCTTTACCGTAAGGGCTTGGGAGGGCTTTGAGGCACCGCCAAGGCAGGGCAGAGTGGGACGTGGGGCTGGATGCCCTTCGGCAAACATCACTCTCACCGGCCCTAAACGGCCTCTGAGTCTGGGCAGATTTAAACGGGCCGTTCCTTGTTCCTCCTCCGCGCTGCATTTTTATCCACGGCAATCCTTACAACTGCATTTATTAGCCTGACCCACTACCCCCTCCCCTCTTCCTTCCCCCTCCCTCCTCCTTCTCACTCCTCCTTCCCCCTCCCTCTTCTCCTCTTCTCTCCCCTCCTCTCCATCCTCCCCGTCATCCTCCTTCCCTCCTCCTCATCTTTATCGACCCCAACTCACTTCATACAAGGGGAGGGGGAGTGTGTGAAACATTGGACCTGTAAGCATCTCTCAGGGAAAAATATTGGTAATTTACAATTTTTTCTGACTTCTTTAGAAAGTGCTTATTTAACGAGCAATGGGTACCATGCACAAAGGGGATGGTGAACTGCATGACGTACACTATACGGGGGGTCTCAGTGTGTTCTGCCTGGCTATAGATGGCAGGGGGCGTGGGCACGGCCAGGGTTGGAGCTGTGCTGCCCAGACCTACGGTCCCAGCCACGTGTGGCCACCTAGCACCTGAGACGTAGCCAGGCCACACTGCACCATGAGATAAAATATATCCTAGAGTGTGAGGACTTCATGGGAGAAGAATTGTTAACCATTTCATGAACAATTTTTATATGGATTCTATGCTTACATGACATTTGAGGTTTCTTAGGTTAAAGAAAAGACATGACATTAAAATGATTTCCCCTGTCTCTTTCCTCATTTCCTGTGGCCACGAGAAGACTGACGCTCCCACGCAAGGATCGTTTCTGCCCGGCTGTGCCACCTGGGGCTCCAGGCCTGGCTTTGCTCTCTGGCTTCCCCACCATTGGCTACCTGGCCTCGGGCAGGCCCGGCCCAGCTCTGCGACTCAGTGCCTGGGAGAATGAAGATGATCCTTTGAGGGTCCTAAGTATGGGGAGGGCTGCGCAAAGCCATGACTCAGCACGTGGGAGATGAGCGCTCTGCAGATGCACACCTGCCCTGGGGGGAGCCGCCAGCTGGGGCCTGTGGCAGGAGGCAGGAAGAAGGAACCTTGCACAGGAAGGGCCCAACCAGGGTCTGCAGAAGGGAAACCAGGTCTGCTGTCTCCTGAGGACAGGGCAGAGACTGCGTGTGGCTGCTGGTGTGGAGTCCGTTCCCCAGGAGGTGTCAGACATGGCGGCAAATGCCAATCCCAGGACTTTCCTTCTCTACTCTAATTGTGCAGCCGCTGCTGGGGTTTATCAAGTAACACATGTGATAAGCTTAACTGTGATCCTCCTGAATCTATACGTGGATGTCCTAAACCTCACTGCCTCACAACGTGACTGCATTTGGAAATGGTGCCTTTAAAGAGGCCATGACATTAAGATGAGGTCCCACTGGAGTAGGGTGGCCCTGAGCCAACGTGATGCTGTCCTTCTAAGCAGAGATTAGGACACAGACACACACAGAGAGACGACCACTGGAGGACACAGAGAGAAGATGCTTTCTACAAGCCAAGGAGAGGCTGCAGAGGAGACCAACCCTTGGCACCTTGCTGTCAGATTTCCAGTCTTCTGGACTGTGACAGAAGAAATGTCGGTCTTTTAAGCCACCTAGTCTGCTATTTTGTTATGGCAGCCCCAAGAACTCATACAACATACAATGTAGACAATGTCTGCAAAGTCCCTGGCTCACAGGAGGCACTAATACAGTGTTAGCGCTGGCCTAGATAGAATTTGGGGTGTGTGTGTGTGTGTGTGTGTGTGTGTGTGTGTGTGTTTTGTGGTTTTTTCTTTTTTTTGAGACAGGGTCTTACTCTGTTGCCCAGGCTGGAGTGCAGTGGTGTGATCATGGCTCACCGTAGCCTCGACCTCTCCAGGCTCAGGTGATCTTTCCACCTCAGCTTTCCGAGTAGCTGGGACTGTAGGTGCACAGCACCATGCCCAGCTAATTTTTTGATTTTTTTGTAGAGATAAGGTCTCACTTTGTTGTCCAGGCTGGTCTCGAACTCCTAGGCTCAAGCAATCTGCCTGCTTCAGCCTCCCGCAGTGCTGGGATTCCAGGTGTGGGCCACCGCACCTGGCCTCGTTTGGTGTTTTGAACATGTAGTGAATCATCCCCAGGAGGCTTAGCTATCACCAGAAAACCCCAAAGAGTAAGCCCACAGCTCAGCAGATCCACAGCATTCAGAGAAAGCTGAGGGACAAAAGCCACAAGCAGCCTGGCACATGGGCACGTTCTGAGCGCTTGCTGACCCTCCCAAAGGTAACTGCCCAGCCCCTTTGATTCACACTGCCAAAAAGGAATGAATTCCTCCAGTAGCCAGTGAAGCCAAGTGTCTTACGTCCTAAGGACCAAGGACTGCCAGGCAGGCAAAGACTGCCTAAGACAGGGCATCCCTCTGTGGGTGGGTCTTGCCCCCTGCCCCTCTCCTGGCATTGAGGCACGTCCCTGGGTTCTCCAGGGCAGCTGGCACCCTTTCCTTCTTGGGTTCTGCCAAGTTCTGTAGTAAGATGGAGAACCAAATACAAAATGGGCAGAGTGATAGAAAGCTGGTAAATTAGTGAGGCAGGACCATTTGGAAACCAAATTTCCCTGCAACTTAAAAAACACAGGGAGTCAAAGGCAGAACAGGAGTTTCTTCGTTTCTGAGAAGGAGCGCTGTGCCCTGAACCTGCGCCTGCCTGGAGGAAGTTACACTCCATCCGCATGAGTGAATCATGAGTCAGGAGGGCAGGCTGCCCACTCCTCTGATGGGCGGAGTGCTTCTGCCTGAATCTGATGTCTCCTGTTCTGACCCTCAACTGGCCCAGGAAGGTGGCTCAACCACTTGTTACCAGGGACCTGCACCCCATATGAGTGGACTAACACTGCAACTCCAGAAAAGTGTCTTTTTTTCACCAATCAGAGACATTCCACAGTTAACCCTTTAGTTAGTTTCTCTTCCTCTTACATCCTGCCGTGGCTTATTCGGGATGAGAGAGAAGCAAATTTCAAAGCCCTGAGTCACTGAGGGCAAAACTTGCAAAGGAGACTGGAAGCTCCTGCAGGCAACAGACGAGGCCTCCCCACCACCTCCCCAGCAGCCAACGGCACCTAAAGCCTGCTCAGGAAACTGAGCTTTTATGTGAAAAAGAAGTTAGGAAATAGGTATGATTCATTTACTCTTTCGAACATCTGTAAGCCAGTTATGTGCTGGGGATGCTCCAGGCTTAGAGACGGAGGCATCAGAGAGAGGAAAGTTCCCTCCTTGATATAGGAGGGGAAGAAGTCGGATGATAAACAAATCACCAGGATCTGTATCAGAGCACTCAGCCGCAGGCTCTATGACAGCAGAGGAAAGAATCATCTAGTGTGGGTGGGGAGAGGTGGAGAAGGTGGCAGCAGGGTGGGAAGGAGGGGGCCCTCAGCAGCCTGGGCCGGGCAGTGGGGCAGAGGCAGTGTGTGGGGTAGACCGGGCAGCCCCCACCGCAGCTGCCCTCCCTGCTGACAGATCAGTAACCAGCACCTGAAACTGACAGAAACTTTCCTTGACTCTCTCATAAGGGGGAAAAATGCCTCCCAGAATCACACACAGAAATGTGCAGAGTGGTAGGTGACACGGCTGGAGCTCATGTCACGTTTTCTTTTGTGATTCAAGTTTAATGCTCTACTAAGCTATGCAGCATCACAGAACATGTACATGTACTTGGAAGGGCACAAAATATTTCCCATCAAGTTTAAAGGAAAGAAAAAAAAGCTCTTACTTCTTAAAACTACCTACAGGAACCATAGTTTTAACATTTCCAAGTTTTGAGGTTTTTAAATGATCAGAACTTTAAACATGAGATTTCAGAAAACAAAAGCCTCAGCATGGGCTTTGCTATGGCTCAAAATCTTACTCTGATAGCATTAAACAAATTAAAAACATATGTGGGTGTTTTACAGCGTCAAACAACAGGAAAGAAACTGTACACCACAGAGAGGTTTCTTGAAACTGGAGTTGCAAATCAGTCATTCTAAGACTTAAAATACCAACAGTGTTAACAGCCTAGAGGCCTCTGAGCAGAGCTGTTTTTTCCACTTTCACTTTAGGTGAAACTTAATCCTCCTGGTGCAGATACTGTATCCAAGCCATGTTCTTAATAAATTAGTAACTTAATACATTTATGGTTGTTATTGCTAATTATAATGCTGACATTATCAGTAATACAGTTTAAGTATGGGCTGAACAAAATAATGAGTCACCCTCCCATTCAACATTGACTAGAACCATTTACATATTTATAAAATTAGTCTTTCTAAATCCTTAGGTAAGAAACTAAATACTGTTTATCACTTTAATCAAGATAAAATATACACAGGAACAGTATATAGTCACCTACTCGCCTTCCATGGATGATTTGAAAGCAAATCATGGAAAATTACTCATGTGGCTGACATAGAAATTAAGTACAAATCAGAGAAGGCCCCATTTCTTCCAAGTTTATTATTACTATTAAATAAAAACGCACTACAGACCTCAGCGAAGAGGTCTGGAGACTGAAATTCAATTCCGTTCAATTCCGCGGACATTTCTAAAGCATCTGGGTGTAAGTCGGGGGTTCCCCTGACCCTCACCCCGGCCCATCTTCAGCAGCCGGACATTCTAGTGCACCACCATCTGCCTCGAGTTGGAGACACATAATTTTATGTTGAATTAAAGTACCAACGAAATGGAATAATTTCCCTTGAGGGGAAAACATGTATGTTTAAAAAATAAAAAATGTTGAAAAATCAAAAGTATTTTTGCATCAGAGCAAAGGAATTTCATAATCTCTTCCCTCTCCGAGAACCTCCTGATACTTCTGGGAACAATCACACAGCATGGACCAAGAGCAAGGGCCGCCCCCATACAAATTAGGGTGGGTCCACTGTTCTGTGCACACTGGCAGGCTTACTCCTCACAGTCTGAAACAATTCTCTAGTGTAGAGACAGGGGTAGGCAGAGAGACAGACAGCTAGGACCCCTGGGCATTTGTGGTCCTTGTCAACATCATTGGATCATCTGTCCTGAGCGTCTCAGTGGGAAAAGGGTCCAGAACCCCGATTCAGGGCACTACAGGGGAACCGAAGGCAACGTAGAGAATCCAGATCAGACAGAGGAAGCTGATGCCTTCAAATAAGGCGGACAATGGCAAATGCCGTGCTAGAAATACAAAGAAGATGAATTCTTACTAGCCGGAAGGATTCGAATGACTTTTAATTTGCAGTTTCCCGTTTAACTGTATTTTCCAAATGTTCCCTGACAAGGGTTACGAATGGGCTGTAGAGGAGCCGCCACTGGAAAGTCCAGTGACAGTGAGACTGAAGAAGGGCTGGAGCCAGAGGCTGAGGACCTTGGACTTTAGTCTGCGCTAAGGACTTCCTGGAAGTTCTAGGGGCAGAAGGGTGATGATCCAGTCAATAGAGGAAAATCCTGGCAGCCAAAGTACAAGACACATGGGAGCAGGAGGAACGTGGAACCTTGGCTGTAGAGCCCGGAGAGCTTTGAAAAATGCCCACGTCTGCATTGGGATCTAAGGAGGGCAAAGACCCTGGCAGGTCTGAAGTCTCTGGGAGATTCCAATATGCAGGCAGGCCAGAGCATGACCCCAAAGGAAGGAGAACTGGTGAGGAGCCAAGTAGCCGCACGCAGGAGAAAGGAGGTTATCGATCTAGGAGAGGGCCAAGGAAACAGCTCAAGTATTTCCTGTCCTTTCGCCAGACCTCTGGGATTCAGTGTGAGTTCTTCCAGAACCAGACCAGAGTGCAAAGTCAGAGCAAACTCCATGGTGGGTGAGAAGAAAGGAGTGGGACCTTCGTAGATGGAATTAGGTTTTTGAGCTAAAAGAAAGTCTGATGTGTTTCACTGTTTATGAATTGGTGTAAATTTTCATGCTCTATCAAACCAGCAGCTAGTTAGAGAGAATGCAGTTTGGAAATACCTTTTTCTAAAAAATAAAAATGTTAAAAAAAATCAAAAGTATTTTTGCATCAGAACAAAGGAATTTACAATCTCTTTCCTCTCTGAGAGCCTCCTGATACTTCTAGGACCAATCACAGAATGTGGACCAAGAGGAAGGGCTGCTTCGTCTTCCTCTCCTCCTGGTTTCCCTCTTTCTCTTTCTTCTTCTCCGTGTCTCTTTTTTCCTCCCTTTCTTTCTTCTTCCTAACTCCTTCCCTTCCTTCATTCCTTTATTCCTTTGCAAGGTCAGGATGTACCTACTGCCATGCAATCTTCCTGAATAAATTAATAATTAATAATCAATCGTAATAAATCATAATTAATTATTAATAATAATTAACAAGGACCAGGCTTCCACCCAGCTGTCAGGGAAGAGTGTAGCAGCAAGAGCCCATGCCCGTAGCCTCTGACACACCAAGGGGATTTGTGTTTAATAAGAAAACAACATGCACATGTTTCGGATCAGCTCACGTCTTACCGTACTGGCCTTCTCGGCATTTAATTCTCGTTTGCCTGCGTGGTTTCCCATCCTGAATGGATTGGCTCTTCAGAGGCTAAAAGAGAAAGAGAAAGTGTCAGCCCTAAGTCTAGTGCTCTTAGAGTTTTCGATGTTGTTTTTCCATCAGAAAGACAATCCTGTGATATATGTAATGCCCATTTTTGAGAAGACGAAACCAAGGCCCTGAAAACAGAAGAGACACGTCCAAGTCATCTTATTAACACATGCTATCTTTCCATCCCATGCAAAGAGCTAGAAAACAGAACCGCACCAACATCCAAATTCTGTTCAGTAACACACTTCAACCTGTCTTGAGAAATCTTGCAGATCTGTGTATATGTACAGAAATATCTATCTATTCATCCACCCATCCATCTATCCATTCATACCTATGTACACACACAGAGAATTATATCCCATACTCAGGTGCATTGTTATGAGATGAGCTGAGATGTCAGAAAGGTGCTGACACTCTTCTAAAACTAAAAGGTAGTAAGAAGCTATTCATGCTCACTGCTTTAAAGAAACCATGTGAGCACAGAAAGAGCCAACATTAGACCAAGGACAGCTTAACAGACAAGTGTCCAAAGAATCTGCAGAATTTGTAGGGAAGATAAAGATGGATTTAAAAACCACATTACTCCTCATTTTTATTTTCTAACCCAAACCTTAGCAGCACATTTATGATTTTTCCCCAAGATATGCAAAGAACGGAAGAATTGAGCCACACCCATTCCAAGCAAATTGCTCCTTCCAGCCTTCCTGCGGAACCTGCCCTGGCCTTGGGGCTCTTCAGCTGAGGGCCACTGGAACCATCAGCCCAGACCACGCTGCAGGTGACCAGAGTCTTTAAGGACAATGACAACATGTTTTCCATGATGGATGTATTCTTTTGCAAAAAGGTGTGAGTACCCATTCTCCTGTAGAACCCAGGAACAGCTTTCCTTGAGAGGGAACAAGATGAACTGTCTTCTGAACACGGGGAGAGAGGACTCTCCAAAATAGTAGATACACCCGAACACAATGCAAATTGTGTTCCTCAAAAGTCTCTCTTTAGAAAAGAGAATTGCCTGACAGCTGAGCTTTTCCATCTCCCATGTTACCGGGGTCCCTTTTTGGTGGCTCAGGAAGACTGGCTGAGGACACTTTTCTGCAGGCGGGCACCCCCATCACCCCACAGCCACTGGAAGGATTGCTGAGAAGAGAAGCAAACGCCTACAGCACAGTCGCCACTCCCGGAGTCCACCTCCCTCACGTGTGTGGGAGACGACTAGCAGCCGACCACAGACTGGAAACCCCACCCACCTTCAGGGTGTGTGATGAAACTGGGGCCCACGATAAGACTTCCGGTGAGGGGCTCGTGCAGGGAGATTTAAAACACGTGTACTTCAAGCAACTTAGGTCAAAGTGCCCACAGATGAGGCTCTGCGAAATCAAAGACGCGGTTCTAGTGATGATATAAACACAACCCACCTGCAAGAATCAGGTGCCTTCCCCATGCTTCATGGCATGAGAGTGAAAAAAGCAATAATAGTTTGATATGTATGATTTTAAAAACGCAAGGCTACCTTTGCGGATGATTTCGGTGTCCAGTGTGATTCTACCTTCCCAATTTATTTAAATTGGACAACCAAAAAAACCTTGAAGGGGCATTCTTCTCATTGGGAAATGAGGGTTTGTTGCACATGTGGTGCCTTACTGGATAAGAATGGGTTAACCAAGGGAAAGGCCAAATTCACTGTGTCCTTTTAGGGTCTAAGAAAGAAGGGGTGTGTTCCTTGTGAGGTGTCGTTTGAACCCTGGGTACACAGGGGCTGTCATTCCCTAATTCTGCCTCTCTAATTCCATGTGGTGTTGTTTTAACTAAATATTAAGAGCTTGCAGGATGGACACACATTATAGAATAAAAACATGTCAAATATCTGTCAATCCATCTTTCTGTTTAAGAAATAAGAGCTGGTCTATTCAAAGCTAAACACAGGCAAAAACAGGTAACTTCCTTTAGTTAAGGTTGACAACTTGGACCTTTGGGGGCATTTTGCCCATCCAGACATAAATGAACCTCCTATCACCGGCTGTGTTCTCCAAGTGCCTGTTCCTGGCCCAGGCATCATCTCATCTCTGCCTCCTGTGAGCCCTCGCCTGCCCAGTCCCCTTCCTGTTCCCTGGCTCTATCCGTTTCTCACCCTCCTCCTCCCACCTCCTTATGCTGGGACTAGGCAAACACAAATGCAACACTCACTCCTTCCAGGAAACAAAGCTCCAAGGACTTGTCCCAAATCAGAATAGTGTGGGCCATGTAAATATTTTGGGACTTGCTGGTAGACAAAGAGAGCTATTTTTGGGCAAGGGGCTCTTGAACGCAGCTGAAATCTGTCCACAAGGTGCTGAACTGCTCCTTGGAGAGGGGCCATGTTTCTTCCGAATCAGTTTGTTCTGATCAAATGTTGTCATGCTTCATAGCACAACTCTAGGTTACGCTTGGGATGATTGATCTTAATCATGATTTAGAAAACTCAAGAATACTGGACACAGAATTGGTGAAAATAACTCAAGTCCAGATCAGACTTTTGAATACATCTTGTTGGATTTGACTAGTTAGACAAGCCTACTTACTTGCATTTGACTGGCCTCTCAGATTAATATAAAGAATATTTATATGAATCACTGAGGGTTGGTTAATTCTAGCCTTAAATGCAAAATTTATATACTAGCAGGAAAAGAAAGACAAGAGGAACAAAACGACAACTTGATGTGTGGGAGCCCCCATCAGAGCCGTTAGTGGAAATGGCCCCTGAGCACCGGTAAGTGAGACGTGTCTCAAGGAACTATGGTGGGAACGACAGAGCATCTGGCTGATAATCACGAGTGACTGGCAGTCTGCCTTATTAGCTTCTGACACTCTGCCCCAGTCTGCCTTTTAGAGAAGAGCTCGAGAAGGATGAAGCTCTCACTGTCACGGGGCTAAGAGCTCAGCCTGGCAGCTGGTTTCTGTAATGTGCTGAAAAGATCCATCTGCACACAAAAGCAGCTGCATGCTTGGAGGAAATCTTTTTTATTTCATTTTTTGCAATTAATCAAATTGAGAGAGCCAGAGAAAAATTGGGTAAACATGTGAAATGCTGCAAGGAAAGTCAGCTGACTCTGAAGCATCTCTTGGGTAATTAAAGAAGCCTTTTGTAAACTAATAGAAAAGGAAAGAGAGGGAGGAAGAACTGAGCTAGAGCTGTGGGAGGGACAGACTTTCAGATTCCATCAGGACCGCTGAGACTTCCGCGGTCTCAGTTGGTATTCAGTTCTAGATCCGATTTCCAGCCACTGGGATGACTGGACACTTTGATAATGTCTGTGTGATTATCAACACTTAGTGTTACCTCGAGGGTTAACATTGGGCACAGGCAAAGTTAGTCACCCAGATTTACTAGGAAGCAGTCCACTGTTGTTGACTGTTAGGCTCTCGTTTTTAATAATGTACACCTAAAGCAGCTTAGACTACATGTCACCTTGGTGGAACCACAGGATAATTCAGCATAGATAAAACTCACTAGCCTATCTGTGCAGGGAAATAGCTCCCAGCTGAAATGCTGGGGAACAAACACCTTGTTCCTAGGTATTTTACTGATTTCATTCTCTAGGTAGTTCTGACTTTCTACGGTGAAAATCAGGCAGGTGAGACCTAGGTCTCAATCCAGGTTCCATCTGGGTGACCCCGAACAAGACTCCACTTTTCTGAGCCTCAGTTTCCCATAAAGTAGAGGTAATAAAACTTGCCTTTCTGCACTGGTGTGAGAATGAAGCCCATGTGGGCTGCAGGGCTGGGCAGGGCTAGGGTTAGGGTTGGGGTATGCTGCAGGCGTTGCTTTGCTTTCTGTCTTCCTCTTACCTCCACCAGGTCCAGGGTTCCCTGGGTGGGTGGTGAGCAGCTGCAGAAACATCGCTACCTACTTACTATCACACATGTTCAGAGACCTCTAGATGGCTTCCCACATCTAGATGCATCCACTCCTAAACTGACAAGGTCAAGGGAAGAAAAAAGGCTAAAAACACCAGCTGCCCAGAAGTTACATCCTACAATTGCCTGTCAACAAAGCTCTTGATCCAACACACACAACTGAAGCACAGGGGAAATGCAACTGCTGCTGCTTTAAGACCACACAAAGTGTCCTGGGGTGTGGAAGGTGAGGAAAGAGGGAAAAAAGTGAAGAGGAAGGACATTCACGAGACAGCCATGCCCCAAACGCCAGACAAGTATTCAAATATTAAAATGTGAAACTGGCTGTTTTTGAAATAATTGTGAGTGCAATTTTACAAGCAATGGGATTATTGTGAAATCCCTTGTAGAAATAAATGCATCGTGAGATAGAGAAGACCTCAATGCCAGTCTTCCTAGATAGTTGGCACTTGGTTACCCAAATCATCTTACTCCCACTCCCAAACCTGCAAAAATGTAGGGAGCAAACATCGTGCCTGTTGAGGGTTAGGCTGACAAGCATGTCAGGTGCCATAATGCAAGGTCAAGTTTATGATGGCGTGGAATTCATCATATGCTCTCCGCACTTCATTTTGTTTAGGCTTATTAGCAAAACATTTGCATTGTGTAGAGCTGCAGGGTATACCCATATTATAGGACACAGATCACGCTTGTGTTACTTTTAGACTTAGGATTCTTTGGACGTTGTTTTCATAACATGCTTTTGATTGCACAGTTTTTTTTTGAGTCCATGTTCAAGAAAGCAATCCTAAAGTAATGTTTCTATGGAGATAACAGGATTTATTTTACAATGATTTGCTTTATCCCTCATGTTTCTATAAACCTAAGTTAGATAATTACAGGAATAACCCTGTAAGCTTCATTCCCATTTTACAGTTGAGAAAGTTTAGAAGACTGAATCTAGCTATGAGAATGCCTCTAGGAATATATTTTAGTTATGAACAGAGTTATTTACATTTTGAATGTCCCATGTGGAAAGTATGACAGTAGGCCTAAGACATTCTACATTCCTAAATTATTAATCAATACAATAAGAGAAGTGTGCAGTGGTGAGGGTCTCAGAAGCGGATACGAGGCAGCGTGATGCGGTGTGGGGACCGGCCATCAGCACCTGAGAACTTCTTAGAAACACACATTCTTGGGCCCTGAACTCTTTGCTTTCAGAAGCACTACAGGTGATTTGTGTTCGAGAACCTTCTTCTTATAGATCAGGGGGCAAAAACCTATGACATATGTGAATTTTTTTTTTTTTTTCAGAATAGAGATTTCCCATGCTTGTGTCACAAGGACCTTCTCCCCAGTCCCCCACCTTCCCTTCTCCATGTAGTGAGAGAACTGCCCCTCTCCCCACACCACCTGCCTTGCACTGGCCACCTGGCTGCCCTGGCAGGGACTACATTTCCCAGCAGCCCTTGCAGCTGTTGCTGGTCACCGCCGGACAAGGGGCCTTTCTCCATTCCATAAGTGTGTATGGAACTTTTGTTCTAAGACCACTTCCCTAGGCATCAGATAAATTAGATAAGATTTTTTTTTCTGTATTTGGAAACTGTAACATGTTATACCTAAACAGACACATGAGAATATATTATAAAACATATAAATTGTGGTTAATTTAATAAAATCTAACCAGCAGGATCCACTTGGGAAAGTCTTAACTTGTGCCTCTGCTAGTAGAATTTGAAGAGCCCACCATGAAGGCATCTTTTTCTGCTTTCTCTGCTTTTTAAAATCCCAGGAGCAATGTTTTCGACATCCCAGGTGCTTTGGAGTCTTCGCGGTGTACGGGACCTTAAAGCTGAGCTGGCTGTATTGCCTCGTGGCTGCTCCAGTCCTGTGCTAGACCTCTCGCTGGGTCTCGGGGTTCTCAGCGCCTGTTCAGAAAGCCTGGCAATGTTTGCCTGGGAGGAAAAGCTCCATAAATACACGCTGAAGACACGACTCTGTGGGTCCGTCAGATGAAACACAGCATCACCCAGCATCCACCGAGGAGCCCAGTGCTCATGGGCACGGTTCTGTATTTTGGAGGTGCCATGACTACAGCTTCTTGAAGAAGGCAACTAAGGGAAACGCTACTGTGGATCTGCACACATCAGAAAAGGCTTCTCTGACCCCTCAACTGTGTGCAAAATAATAAAGGAGATACCATGTAGAATTCAGGTAGAGAGAGGTGCAGACCCAGTATCCCAGGAAAGGAAAACCTGAATAAACAGTGGAACTGTGGAAATTCCAGAGGATTGTCGTGCCCCTTTGTAGAGACGCTAAAGGCCAGGCAGGGGCAGCAGCAGAAGGCTGTGGGCTGCAGGAAGGAGACCCCCACGGGAGGGCCCTGGTGTCGTGTGAGCCCTGGGCAGGTCCACTCGGTCTTGTGAGGCCTCTGCCTCCTCTCCAGCACCCAGGGCGGGATTCACCAGGGCCACCACCAACATGCTGAGACCTGGTGATCTCCTCAGCCGTTGGTAACTGCTTGGGAGACCACGCCCTGGCTTGGCAGGCTCAGTAAGAGCTGTAGACACCGCCCACCCTCCCTGCAGAGAGAAAACAGCCCCTCACCCCTAGAACACGGACAGTGACAGCCTCAAGTCGGAGGGGCAGGCCCTATAACTCTGCTTCTTTGACATTTGAAAAAGAAATCCTGGAGAACAAATTTCAAAGAACAAGCAACTCATATATAAAATAAAACCAAAGATATCTGAAAGAAAATAAATGAAACCAAGTGACGGGACTTCTCTTCTTTCACTATCCTTGTCTCCTTTCTCTCTCCCCCGACGTCCCTCCCTCCATTCCTCTTCCTCTTATTCTACCAATACCCAAGCACTGAAGACTGTGTTCTGCAAGCAATCATTTTTATTTCTCAAACCAAAAGTATGATTGTAACACTCTGTGTTCGGAGCATAGTACACAGCTACCAACGTCACCAAAAACCCGTAGAATGAACACCGTGCACACGCACACACACACACACACACACGTGCGCGCGCGGCAAAAAGAAACAGCTCATTTCGGAGCTGAGGACAAGGCGTGGGAAGAAGACGCGTTTGGTTTCACCCAGGCGGGTGGCGGCAAAGCTGTGGGATGCGCGCTGCACACTCCTTCCGTCATCCCGTTCCCACCTTCCACACACACCTGCGGGAGGTCGGACATGTCCTGATTGCGTGTTCATCACGATGGCAAACCGAACATGAGGAGAACGCCACTGACGCTGGGTGCGCCGGCTTTCCCAGCCCTCGTGCATAACGGGGAGGGAGATGCAGAAGTTTTTTCCAACATCGGTGCAAAGGGGAAGCTGAGGTTTTCCTATGGAGGAGGGTCAGATCCCTCTCTTCCTCATCTCCCTCCCCCTCCCCCTTCTCTGTTTCCAGCTCCCTGTGGACTCTGTCCCACCCACAAGCTCGAGGCTGCTGCCACATGGAAGGCCGGGAGAGAGACGGGCGGCCAGGACAGGGGCCGGCTGTTTGCAGGGGAGGCATGTGTGTGGAGAACGCCTAGGAGCACGTGGGTGGCCACGAACCCTGACCGTGCAGGTCGAGAAACTCTTCCAGGATAGTATGTGGTGGATCGTGTCTGCCTAAAAGGTATGTCCAAGTCCTGACCCCAGGACCTGTGAAGGTGGCCTGATTTGGAAGGAAGGTTTTGTAGATGTCCTCAAGTTAAGATGAGGTCATCCTGGATTACAGTGGGCTCTAAATGCAATGACTGATGTTCTTACAAGAGAAAGGAGAGGGATTTTTTTTTTTGAGACAGAGTTTCACTCTTGTTGCCGAGGCTGGAGTGCGATGGTGCGATCTCAGCTCACTGCCACCTCCGCCTCCCGGGTTCAAGCAATCTCCTGCCTCAGACTCCAGAGTAGCTGGGATTACAGGTGTCCGCCACCACACCTGGCTAATTTTTTGTATTTTTAGTAGAGATGGGGGTTTCACCATGTTGGCCAGGCTGGTCTCGAACTCCTGACCTTAGGTGATCCACCCATCTCAGCCTCCCAAAATGCTGGGATTAGAGGCATGCAGCACTGTGCCTGGTCAAGGAGAGGGAATTTTGGACATAGATACACGGCATTTCACACAGGGAGAAACACCACATGACAATGGAGGCAGAGATTTGGAATGACATGGCTACAAGGCCAGGGACACCAGGGATTGCCGCAGCCACCAGAAGCTGGAAGAGGTGAAGACAGAGCCTCCTGCAGAGCTCCCACTCTGCCAACGCCTTGACTTTGCACTTCTGGCCTCCAGGACTGTGTGTGTGTGGGGGGCTGCTTCTGCTGTTTCAGGACGCCCACCTGTGGTGCCGCCTTGCAGCAGCCCTACAGGGTAACATGCAGGGAAGTGGGAAGTAAGTGGAGACTTGCAGGATGCAGAAGGTGCAGGTGAAGGTGCTGAGGAGGGAAACAGCGTTCTGGGCAGAGGGCACGGCTGTGCAAAGGCCCTGTTGCACAGACACTGTGAGTGGAGTTTGAGTGTGGCATGAAGTGACCTAATAGAACAGAATCTGCGAATGCACGGGGTGCACTCATGGGGGGATTGGGGGAGTGACTTAGACCACGCACACAGACAATGTTCTTCACCCGTTTTGAACAGTGAGTCAATTCTGCCCATGAGCAAGTCTTCCAGACTGTTGGGCCCTAGACGAAGAACGACCTGCAAGCCGGGAATTCTCTGCAAAGGACAATGTCAAAACTCATCTGAGGCATCCATGTCTGTCCTACAGCAAGCTTCCCCGTGACACTGGAGGGACCTAGGCTCCCGGCAGTTTTCAGGAGCCAGCCCTGGGCTAGGGGCTCCACAGTACTTGCAAACAAAGAGTTCCAAAAACCCAATTTGCATTCACCCATGTAAGAAGTGCCTGATAAGGAAGTAGCGTCTCTATTTCCTGGGATGGGGATTTTTGCTCTGGGGTATCAGATAATATTATTTGTAAGCTAGTCATCACCATCCTTCGTTTTCTTCTGCCTTAGCAGATTCAGGTAGATTTATGGCACTGACTATCACTGCTTTAAAGTTATCAAAAATCACTTTAAAAGAAAATGACGAGATTGCAGAAAAGTGGAGTTTATTGAAAATCTGACTGTGGTCCCTTGAAGTTACTGCTTACAGGATCAGCTGACTTTGGAGAGAAAGCCATTATCAGAATCAAGCAGCAAATTACTGGCCCCAGAGTTCCTAGCTTGCTACAATATCAGCTGTCTAAACCAAAACAAAGCATTTTGTTGAAGCGGGGAAAAAAAGGCAGATCAAAGAGTAGCTCATCCACGTGTCAGTTAGATTAGCATTTGAAATTCCTTGTGAATGTATCCACATGTTTATGACAGGCATGGTGTTCAGCTTTAGCAGCATTATGGGGAGTTACGAAATTCTCTGTGTAAAAATAGCGAGGTCATGAGGAAACCACTCTTGCTGTGTAAGTCCTGACAAGCCATGCCAACACCGTCACGCTGGGACTGGCCTTCGGATGGCACGGGGAGGGCAGAGTCACGCAGGCACACGTGACACGCCCTTGCTCTGCGGCCGGTGGGATCCCTGGTAGCTTCGCAGTCATGTGGGGCTTAGTCACAGGAGCATAGGTCAGGTCCTGCTGAGCCCCCTTTCCAAGTGTGCGGTGCGCAAGCCGCCCAACCCAGGGGCCGGCAGCTGGGACAGGGCGAGCAGTGGGCTGCAGGGAGGAAGTGGGGAAGGCCTGGGGGCAGACGTGCCTGGGCGAGGGCCTTCCTATTCCTGCTCTCCCTGTCTGCTCTGAGGATGTGGGCCCTGACCTCCTTATCTGTAAAGCCCTGATGGTGGATGCAGCTTCCTGGAGCTGCTGTGGAAACCACTGGTTAATATTTTACAGGTCGCTGGGTTACAAACTGTCAAGTCAGAGGAACACTACACGCTGGCACCAGCTGCTCCTCTGTAGCCACCCGTATGTCCCTCCTGAGCCGTGGCAGGGAGTGACACCTTTGCCAATACCACCATCCACAGGGTCAACATGACCCCGGGCCCTGGTCTTAGTAACTAGAGGAAACACACCGACTTCAGGCATTGCTCACAGCCAGAGCTGGTGTTAACTGAAGAATGTTTTAATTCACCTGCCGAGGAACTCACACATTCCTTGCCAGCAGGCACAATGGCTCTTGATAGCCTGTGTGCAGGGAACAAATGTGTTGGCCCCATGCTCAGGCCATGCGTACACATAAGAGCTGTCGTCTGGGTCTTGGCTAAAATAAACTGAATCTTCCCGAAAACACAGGTTCCTATTACGGAGTCCATGATAGGAAAGATGTTCAGCTCTGCTGCTATCATGGGGAAGTAGAGTGGTTGATCTGAAATCTCCAGATTCTAATCAAGGAGAAGAATGCTGTGCTGTGGCCACAGACCCCACCGTGGTCTCAAAGAAAACCTGGATCAGAGCCCATCTTCTGATCAGTGCCACACCTTCACATGGGTGTGCAGCATTTTACTGGGTGACTGCCTTTCAGAACCTTCTGGAATTTTCCAGATCCTTCCAGATTGCAATAAAGAAAAAGAATGCAATGTGTGGTCATTAATCTCAGCATGGTCCTGCAGAAGAACTGGCTCTGAGCTGATCTCCTAAGGGGCCCCACGTCTTCACATGGGTGTGTAGTATTTTACTGGGCAACTGCCTTTCAGAACCTTCTGGAATTTTCCAGAGCCTTCCAGGTTCTAATCAAGGAAAAGAAGGCAATGTGTGGTCATTAACCTCACTGTGGTCCCTCAGAAGACCTGGCTCTGAGCTGTCTCCTGAGGGGCCCCACATCTTCACATGAGTGTGCAGCACTTTACTGGGCAACTGCCTTTCAGAACCTTCTGGAACTTTCCAGAGTCTTCCAGGTTCTAATCAAGGAAAATAAGGCAATGTGTGGTCATTAACCTCACTGTGGTCCCTCAGAAGACCTGGCTCTGAGCTGTCTCCTGAGGGGCCCCACATCTTCACATGAGTGTGCAGCACTTTACTGGGCAACTGCCTTTCAGAACCTTCTGGAACTTTCCAGAGTCTTCCAGATTCTAATCAAGAAAGAGAATGCAATGTGTGGTCATTAACCTCACCATGGTCTCACGAAAGACCTGGCTCTGAGCTGATCTCCTAAAGGGCCCCATGTTTTCACATGGGCATGCAGCATTTTACCGGGTGAGTCCTTAACTTCGCAGGACACATTAGAAAGACAAAGGATGCTAGCAAGTGACAATTATATTTAAAGAAAAGGGCAGGAGACACAGCATGAAACAGAATGATGCATTGAACAGAACTAGATTTGGGCTCAGGAGAGCTTGGAGAGCAGCCAGCATCGACGGGGCGCTTACTATGGGCTAGGTGCTCATGCAACAGGTCAGAAGTATAGCTTCTTAGTCCTGTCTACTGTACAAGGAGGCAAGTGCTATTATTATGCTCCCCACTTTACAGACGTTGAAACTCATGAGGTTTAGAAAGCCCGAGTAATGCGTGACCAGCCTGGCCAACACGGCGAAACCCCGTCTCTGCTAAAAATACAAAACTTCACCGCGTATGGTGGTGCATGCCTGTAATCCCAGCTACTGGGAAGGCTGAGGCAGGAGAATCTCTTGAACCCAGTAGGCAGAGGTTGCACTGAGGCACTGAGTCGAGATTGGGCCACTGCACTCCAGCCTGGGAGACAGAGTGAGACTCTGTCTCAAAAAAAAAACAAAACAAACAAAGAAAGCAAGCCCAAGGAACACAAGTCCACACAGCAGGACCTGACACCAACACCAACAGGTCGGAGCTGAGCTGTGCTCCTGGCTGCTACGTGGTTTGTGACTTCACCAACCTGATGACCTGGTCTTTGGTTTCTTGATACTTGAAGTCCTGGATTTCTTACGGAAAAGACCTCCTTCAAAAGGCTAGAGGGTGCTTTCTCCTTCACGTCACATGTATGCTCTGAAGACTCAAAATATAGTAACAACTCCACAACTCATTTCCTTCTACATGAAAACTATCACAGAGTAACAATAAATTATGAAGAACTATAGGAATTTGTCATTAAGTGAAGTATCTTTTAAAACTCTGTTATTAAAAATGGCATTTAAATGAATGATTCAATAATAAACACCTAGCATGCATGGTGTATGTTATGAACATAAGACTGCCACTGAGCTTGCATTCTGAACTTGAACTTTTCGAGTGTTTTCTGCATGCCATTAAATTTCTACATGATATTTTTGGGCCTAAAAAGATCAGTAGCCTTCAAAAGGTGACGATTTATTATCACTAGGTAGAGGCCTTATAATTTTATGCCTACATCAAAATCAAGATTATCCAGGAAGGCTTTTCACAAGGGGTAAAGAACAGGGTTTGAAAGATGCAAACACGTTGGCAGAACACATTCATAGTTCCGTGGCTTGCCTGATAGATTGTGACTGTCCTGAAATTATAATAAAGTGTCTGAACTATTGATACTTCTCCAGAATTCCAGTATCTGTGGATGGGTTATTTCCTAGTTGACCCTGATCTCAGATTTTGAATGAGGTAGGTAACATCCTGAGACTGCACAGAACCTCTGAGCAGTGGGTTGGAGTGGGATAGGGGACGGTGCGTTGGAGTGGGATGGGGGTCAGTGGGTTGGGGTGGGACGGGGGTCAGTGGGTTGGAGTGGGATGGGGGTCAGTGGGTTGGAGTGGGATGGGTTGGAGTGGGACAGGGGACAGTGGGTTGGAGTGGGAGGGGGGACATTGGGTTGGGGTGGGACGGGGGTCAGTGGGTTGGGGCGGGATGGGGTCAGTGGGTTGGGGTGGGACGGGGACAGGGGGTTGGGGCGGGATGGGGGACAGTGGGTTGGGGTGGGATGGGGACAGTGGGTTGGGGCGGGATGGGGACAGTGGGTTGGGGCGGGATGGGGACAGTGGGTTGGGGCGGGATGGGGACAGTGGGTTGGGGTGGGATGGGGACAGTGGGTTGGGGTGGGATGGGGGACAGTGGGTTGGGGTGGGATGGGGACAGTGGGTTGGGGTGGGATGGGGGACAGTGGGTTGGGGTGGGATGGGGACAGTGGGTTGGGGTGGGATGGGGTCAGTGGGTTCGGGAGCAGGAGGCCTGTGTCCCACCCCATCTCTCCCCTAGGGTGGATTGGCCTCAGCCCGACTGCTTGGTCTCTCTGAGCTCCACCCACCACCCTCACAACATGGGCTGGATTCTGGGGGCTTTGCACCCAGCAGTTGGCACAGGACAGGCCTGTTCAGGTTTTAGCACAGTCGGCCATGATCCGTGAGCTGCTGACCTGGATTTTTCCCACTGGAGGCCAAATCCAAGAGGAAATGCAGGAAATCTCCCGTGTGAGTGTCTGCCCTGTGCTCGGCACCAGGGTTCACAGACAGAGACAGTGCGGAAAGCTGGATTCCAACACACAGGCCACCCGCCCCACCCACACACACACTCCACAGACACCACACACACACACACACACACACACACTACACACCACACACACACACACACTACATACCACACACACACACCACACACACACTCCACACACCCCCCACACTATATGCATACCACACACACCCTTCACAGACACCACACACACACCACACACACACACTCCAGATGCCACACACACTCCACACCCCCTACACACTATACGCACACCACACACACACTCCACAGACACTACAGACACACACCACACACACACTCCACAGACACTTCACACACACCAGACACACACCACACACACAGCCACAACACACCACACACCCATGTGCACACACACTACCACACATGGTGCTCCTTCCTGCTGTCCCAGGGCGCTGGAAGGACACACTCACACTACCCTTGGCTGTGAGACGCTGCCCGGCAGACACACTTTCCCTTGCACCCTGTCTGTGAGGGCAGCTGACAGGGGAAAGCGAAGACCACAGTTGGTCCCACAGGTCCCTGAGGTGGAGCTGGGGCAGCCATGGCTTGGAGCTGTGTAGTGGAGGTGTCACTTGCCCCAGCCCAGAACAGGCAGGGGCTTGGGGACCTGGAAGCCTCGGGAGAGGGCCGGAGGTGTCCTGGAAGCCACCAGGACCCTGTGGGGTGCTGAGAAGAGCCACTGTGTCACTGCCCGAGCACTGTTCTGCTTCCCCATCCCCACGTGTACTCCATCACCACCCCTGCCACAGGAGAGCACACCCAGCCGGGTCTCTGTCTTGTCACCATGGTGTCCCCAGGACCTAGCACAGTCCACAGCACACAGCAGGCACATGGTACACAGTAGGCACACAGCACATGGCAGGCACATGGTACATGGTAGGTACATGACACACAGTAGGCACACAATACCCAGCAGGCACACAGCACACAGTAGGCACACAGCAAGTGTTTGACAAATGCCTGTCAAGTGGATGAGAGAATGGCAAGGGAAGTGCTTGCTCTTCCCTCTTACCTCAAGCCGCGCCCACACAGCTCAACACCCTCCATGTGTGTCTGGAGAAGAGACCACCTGGTGAGCCCCAGGGAGCCGAGAGCAGGAGCCAGGACTTAAGGCTCCTCCCAGAAAACCGAAGCCTTGATTCTGGAGGGACAAGGGACACCCCAAGGGAAGTGTGTGAGCCTCCTGAGGAAATAGGGCTTGGCACCGAAGTTGGGGTGCTGCGGAAGAAGGGACTCAGAGAAAGTCAAGGTGGTCGTGGCTGTGGACCAGCTCCCTTCCCTGAGCTTGAGGCTGAAGCCTCAGCTGCAAAGTCCCCAGGAGACAGAGAGGGCCCTGGGGCAGCCACGGGAGAGGCCTGGGCGCAGTGGGAGCAGCTGCAGTGGCCCAGGCCACCCCCAGGTGACTCTCCTCCAGGGCAGACAGGGACCCTAACAGGGTGGGACAGACCCCAATGTCTCCAGAGACAGAGCAGGACCTGCAATTTAGGAAGAGCACAGCCGTGCTCAGCCCACGAAGCATGAATCCCGCCTTGTCTCGGGTGAGGTATGCTAAAGGGTTCGCTCTCGCTTGGTGCGAGCATTCTTCTGTGAATCCATTACGGGTCTCAAAGTCCTAATGCAGGGAACACACGCTCCCGTAGGCTTCTCCCAACGCTGGCAAAATAGAAACCTCTAAAATCTGGTCAGCCCTCGCGGCATCTGGTGCAGCTGTGACCGGCACGGCCAGGTGACCTCAGACGCGCTGCACACACCTGGGAGGCTGCAGAGGGGCAGCTGTGAAGTGGGGCTGTGACGCCCAGAGGCACTCAGGCATTCAGACCTGCACTGACCCGGGACAAAGACCTCAGCGTGGGGTGTTTTTCTTCCTTTCAGGAAGCCCCCCAGGCGCTGATTTGGGCCTGAGCTAGGCCTGCTTGAAGGAATGAATGAATGATGAATGAATGAATGCCCTCTGCCTGGCTTCTCCCTGCCAGTTTTCATATCTGGCTTTCTCTGGGCCTCCAGACTATTTTACAAAACGCATTGTTAGTCACGAGGTCTATCGCACCAGCAGCAGAAAATTCCAGAGAGAGTGGCAAGAAAAGTTCACCCGAGAAAAGGATGGGGAAATATTGGGATTCGGAAAACCACGTTACCGACCTTTGGAGCTGTCCTCTGAGCACAGGTGTCATGGTAATTAAGTGTCACTCCATGGAAAGAGGTCAGGAATAAACCTGTGTGTGTGCAATCGGTAAATTTTTCAAATTCCTCTTCTACACATGTTGTAAAAACAAACGAAGTTGAATCTACAAGATTTAGGACCCCGTGAGGATCAACCCATACAAAAATACCGCCAGGACCTTTTCTATGTTCTTGAGCAAATGCAGTTGTTTTGTTTTTGAAATTGTGTGAAACGTAATCCACATTTTAATGTACCTCCCATTAAAATTTAAGGTTGGGCACAGTGGCTCACGCCTGTAATCCCAGCACTTTGGGAGACCAAGTGGGAGGATCCCTTGAACCCAGGTGTTCGAGACAAGCTGGGGCAACATGGAGAGACTTTGTCTCCACAAAAAATAAAAATACAAAAATTAGCCTGGTGTGGCAGTGTGAGCCTGTCTGTGGTCCCAGCTACTCAGGGAGATTGAGGTGGGAGGGTCGTTTGAGCCCCAGAGATTGAGGGGTCAGTGAGCTGTGATCACACCACTGCACTCCAGACTGGGCAACAGAGGGAGACTGTGTCTCAAAAAAAAAAAAATAAATAAATAAGATTTTTACTTTAAGTTCCTATAGTACGTGTTATTTTGGTGTTGCTTATCTAGCCGTGTGTTTTAGTGTTAGGACTCTTTCCTAATGAGGCTTTAACCCTGGCATTTCACATACATTTAAACATGCGTGTTCAGGAAGGCTGCTGCCAGGCCTCAGCTCTTCTGAGTTCTCCCGCCCTGCATACACCCATTTTCAACCACTAGTCTGAAATGAATAAGGTGAGCTTCTAACATCTTGCTTAAATCCTCCTGTCTTCAAATATGTCTCGGCATATGAAAATAATGACAGAATAAAAGAGTCATCATCTCCCTTTAAAACTCACAATGCCTTTCATACAGCAATCTAAAATGATATATTGAAGCTGTCCACAGACGTGCTATGCCTGTTTCTGAAATACAATTGATTTATATTTATATTTATATTTCTCTTTATATTTCTAGAAAGACCAGCTGTAGCTGGTGCTCACACTTCATAAATCTTGCTCTCAAGCTGTCCCAAGGTTATTACATTTTCAGATAGCCGAAAGAACAGGAATAAAAACACCTGGAACACACAGCCTGCCACAACCCCATGTAAGAGAAAACCAGCTCCTCAAATATGTGAGAGTCTTTGTTGTTGTTGTTTTTGTCAAATTACTGAGTTAATTTATCTGGTATTTTCAGGCAACAATTTAAGCTGAATAAATCATGCCAGGTCTTTAGCTTCTGATTGGTGGAGAACAGATTTAGACACATGACTTCTGGAAAGTATAGGCTCTTGCTGTGTATCAGTTGGATGATGATGAGTAGAACTGGCAGAATCCGCCTCAGTTTATGCAACAAGTATTAGGGACTGTGCACTATGGTAGACATCAGTGGGGGCTAACACATGTTTTAACAGTTTTCCAGAACAGACGTTTGCAATGTAGCATTTAAGCCCCTTGTAAACAAAATGCTACCAAAACTGGAGAAGACAGCCATCCTTTTTGGAAGCTGTGCAAGGAAGGAGACAGCTGAGAAACAAGGGCAAGGAGGCGACTCCAGAAAGGAGTGGACTACGCCAATGATGAGCTGGGAATCCCAGCTAGAGTCTCAGCTAGAGTCCCGAGAAGTCTCTCAGATGGGCAAGCTGGGAGACGCTCAGGCAGCTCCCGGGACAGTGGAGGCCAAGTGGGAAGTGAACTGCGGCATAGAAGACAGCAAAACGTTACACTGTATTTTGTTTCTTTCTTTTCTTTAAATTTTTTATGAGACAGAATCTTGCTCTGTCACTCAGGCTGGAGTGCATTGGCGCAATCTGGGCTCACTGCAACCTCCGCCTCCCGGGTTCAAGCAGTTCTCCTGCCTCAGCCTCCCGAGTAGCTGGGATTACAGGCGCCCACCACCACGCCTGGCTAATTTTTGTATTTTCAGTAGAGACAGGGTTTCACCATGTTGGTCAGGCTGGTGTTGAACTCCTGACCTCAGTTGATCCTCCCGCCTCGGCCTCCCAAAGTGCTGGGATTACAGGCATGAGCCACCGCGCCCGGCTAGTATATTTTCCATTCAACATAATTCTGCCAGTTCTAGTCGTCATCATCCAGTCTACTCTACTCCTCTACCGAGCACAACCCCCTTCTTTAGAAAGCCAGCAGCATTTTGTATACATGGCAGGGTATTGAGCAAATATTTTGCCATGGGAAAATTACTTGGGAACTTCTAAGCTTCCTAATAAAACTATAAGCACTTCAAGGGCAAGAATGACATCTATTTTCTCTTAACATACCCTGAAATGGACGGCATAGTATTTTTGTACACAGTAGACACCAAGGAATTTTTAAAAAGTAATGGTACGTTTGCTGTATGTGAGGAGCCTACAACATAGTTCTATAATTTTTTGCTTTGATAGCAAGTTTAGCAAACATGGTAGCTTTCAACCATACAAGAAAGATGAAGAAAATGAGTATCCATAAACGTTCCTCATCAGATGAAGACTCACGCAGGACATAAAATGTTATTCTCTAAATATGGAAAAAGCATCAAAAATACATGATGCAAATAAAAATAAACTGTCAACAAAAAGCTTTAGTATCAATTAGTTATTCTAATGCAAATTCAATTTATCAGTGAAACAGAAAGGACTTCCTGATCACATGAAAGCACACATTTGAGAGCTTGTGTGGGTCTATTCAGATGAGCTGTGTCGACCTGGAAACACCGAGGCACTCACGGTCTGTTTCCTTCCTTCACTTACAGCAGCAATCCTAAGTTAACCCGGAGCTCATTAAAATACATATTCCTGGGCCCGACCCCAAGACTGTGGGGTGGTATGCCAGGGTGGGCCTAGGACTCTGCATTTAATTTGAATTCTCAGTGTAATGTGTGCAGGTGGCTGCAGACCACAGGAGCCAGCTTGTCCCCTCTCCTGGTGAGCAGGTCAGGGGGCCACGGCAGATGCTTGGCTTGGGAGTTGGGCGTCCAGCCACCAAGGCAATTCTGTCCCTGCTAGGACTCTAAACTGATCCAGGTAGCTTTGTTTTGTTTTCCGTGTGTATTGACCTCTGGAGCTTTAGGTTTCTTAATCAGGCTCCAGGTGAAAAGCAGATCTGAGTAGAGCATTTCTCTGTCTCTCTGGGTTGGTGGTCAGCCGGGAAGCAGCCTAGGGCACCTGCACGGAGTCTGCGGGTGGAGCTGCCCTGAGCTCCATCCCTTCCCAGCACAGGGCATTTTGCTCTTGCCTGCAGGGCAGCATGGGCACACCTTCCTACCTGGAAGGAGCAGGGCTCTCTGGGAGCATCCCGTGTCACCAGATGCCCCAAAAGACGGGCCGCAACACCAGCAGTCCCCTGAACTGCTGAGAAACCTCCCTTTCTCCAGCCTCCTGCCTCCCCCTCATCTCTGCCTCTGGGTCCTTTGTTTCCATGTTCTATCTCCTCTTTATTACTTGCCTTTTTATACATTGTATATGTGGTCTCTAATGTAAAATTAAACAGGTAATTTGGTTAATCACTTACTATGAATAAAACTTCATTTTCTTTCTTGACCTTTGGAAAATTGGGGAGCTGAATATTAATCCCTTTACTCTTAAAGGAAGTGAATTGATGTAAACATAAATCGCTAGAATAACTCTTCTGGCCACCACGCCTCCCACCCCCCACCCCGTGCTGGCCTCCTTTCTTGGGGCTCAGTAGCTGCTGTGGTCGCTGCCTGCACCTCCTTCCCCAGCTGCACCCCCGGAAGTGGGGGTTGGACGCGGGGCAGCTGGGGCCGCACTGGCCTGGGTGCCTGTCTCAGGTGAGTTCGGAGGGGATGGGAGAGGAAAGGAGCAAAGTCTCCCTCGGGGCCAGTGGGGGAGAGCCCACCCACAGGAGATAGGAGATAGGGCTTTGGGGACTTCCTGAGGCTGTTGAGCGGGCAGCCACACTTTACCTCCAGAGTTTCTGAGCCAGGTCGCCTGCAGAGTGACAGGAAGTGGGGCCCTGGTTTGCTGGCCTCTGTCTGAATCATGCTAGACTGCTCTTAGAGGCCCAGCTCATTATAAATCCTGGCAGCCAAGAAGGAAAAAGGGCTGGATCCCCATACAAATTTTGTTCCTTAAATCTTTTCAGATTTAGCTAGATTCTCATGGTTCTTCCTCAAGTCATGGGCTCAAGAGTGAGGTTGCAAACACCTAGTTAATCCCCAGGCCTGTGCTGAATCCAGCCCACTCCTCTGAGGTCCCGGCTCCTGCCCGTTTCTGCACGCTTCTCTTTTTAGATCAATTTCTTTATCCTTCCTTTCTGCACTTATATTACTTGAACAAATGACAACGAAGAGGAGGGAGACTGTCTCTCCTGCCCTTTCTTCTTCCTCTCCTTCGCCTTCCTTGTCATTGTCATGCTCTTACCAAATTTCAGTAATTTCACCTCCACACCTGCTTTCAGATTCCTTTGTGGGGCCTTCTAATCTTCCTCTCTAACACTTCATTATCGCTGGTGTCATTTCCCCCCAAACTTTACATTGGTTTATTTATTGCTAATATAAATTACTAATTAGTTCGAACATATTAAAAAGCACAGATAATAATCTACAAGACAACTGGCTTATCCTTTTCATCAAAAAAAGTAACACATTCTGTTATTTGTATAAAATCTCAAAATATTTTTAAGAAATAAAACCATGCAGAGACAGCCAATTCCCTCCCCTCCCCGAGATTAGAAGATAACATTACCTGGCTTCTATATGTCATATAATCCCACGTAATCATGACCACATGTTCTTTTGTGGATTTGAAAATTTTAAAGAAATAGAATAATACTATATATATTCATTTGCAGTTTGCTGGTTTCCATTCAACACTGTTATTTAGAATTTTGTCCATGTTGATACACAAAGTCTGGGTAGTTTAACTGTTGTAAGTAAATCATAGCGTAAATCTATAGCCCTACTCATGGGGAATTAGTGTGTTTCCCTCCTTTTTTTTTGTATCAAAACTTTTACTCGATAAAATATGTACACCTAGTTCAGTAGTGCTGAGAGGGAATTCATACCCTGAAATACTTATATTAGAAAGCAGGAAAAGTCTCAAATCAATAATCTAAGATCTAATTCAAGAAACCAAAAAAAAAAGAGCTAAATATATACAAACAAAGTAGAAGGAAGGAAATACCCAAGAAAGAAATCCCCAGGCCCACATGGTTTCACCGGAAATTTCTACTAAAACAGTTAAGGAGAAATTTATGGCAATTTTATACAATCTCTTCCAAAAGTTAGAACAAGTGGGAACACTTTCTAACTCATTTTATGAGGCCAGTTATCCTGATACTGAAACTAGCAAAGACTATACAAAAAATGAGAACTATAGATCAATATCTCACAAACACTTAGAGGCAAAAGTCCTCAACAAAATATTAGTAAAGTGAATCTAGCAACACATAAAAAAGTTATATACATGGCTAAGTGGAATATATATCAGATACTCAAGGGTGGGTCAGCATTAGAGAGTCAGTCAATCAACTATCCATCATACCATGAAGTCAAAGAAGAAAAATCTCATGAACATATAAATTGTCCCAGAAAAGACATTTGACAAAATACAACACACATTCATGAATAGACATGGACTATTGACTTGATAAAGAACATCCATAAAAATCCTATAGCTACATCATAATTGGTGGTAAAAACTCAGTGCTTTGCCCTTTAGGTCAGAATAAGGCAAGTTCTTGCAACTCTTATTGAATATAGCACTGGACATTCTAACCAGTACGGTAAGATAAGAAAAAGAAATAAAAAGTATATAAATTGGAAAGAAGAAATAAAACTATCCAATTTGCAGATAACATGATGATCTACATAGACAATCCCAAGAAATCTACCAAAAAAAATCCTCCTAGATCTAATAAGGCAGCTCAGTAGGTTGCAGAATGTGGACTGACACATAAAAATTACTCACAGTTCTACCTACTCCACAATAAACGTGGAAACTGAAGTTAAGACACAATGCCATTTAGAAATGCCCCAAAGAAAATAAAACACTTATGTACACTGTAAAGAAATTTCAGATTCAGAATCTGTGCACTGAAATTTATAAAACATTGATGAAAGAAGTTAAAGAAGACCTAATTACCCATAGAGAGACAACCTGTGATCATGGATTGGAAAACTCAACACAGTAGAACTATTAATTCTCCCTAATCTATACATTTGAAGAAATTCCTATCAAAATCCCAGCAAGGTTTTTGCACCCATAAACGCGCTATTCTAAAATTCATATGGAAAGGCCCAGAACCTACAATAGCTAACATAAGTTTTATAAAGAATAATAAAGTGGAAGGAAGTCACTCCACCTGATTAAAGTTGACTATGCAACTACAGTAATCAAGACAGTGTGCTCTTGGCAGAGAGACTGACATATAGACTAATGGAACAGAATAGAGAACCCAGAAATAGACCCACAGCAATAAGTGGAAACGGTTTTTAGCAAAGGTGCAAAAGCAATTTAATGGAAGAAGGATCACCTTTTCAACTAATAGTCCCGGAGCTATTGGACATTCGTTGGCAAAACCCAAACCAAACCAAAACAAATAAGCCTCAACCTAAACCTCACACCTCATACAAAAATTAACTCAAAATGGAAAATAGGCTTAAGTATAAAATGTGAAACTATAAAATTTGTAGGGAAAAAAGGAGAAAATCTTCGGGAACCTCAGGCTAGGTGAAGACTTAGACTTCACACCAAAAATCAAAATCCAAAAAAGGTAAAATTAATAAACTTGAATTCAACAAAATGTAAAACTTTCTGCAAAGGACTCTGTGAAGAGGGTGAAAAAACAAGATAAAGTGGTAGAAAATAATCACCGAGTGGTAAGGCCAGCATCTAGAAAATATAAAGAATTAGGAAAACTCAGTTGTTAAAACCAAACAATCCAATTAAAAAGTAGGCAAAAGACATGAACAGACTTTTCACTGAGGAGGATACACAGATGGCCATAAGTACATAAAAAGGTCTTGATGTCATTAGCCATCAGGACAATGCAAATTAAACCATCAGGAGATATCACTACACACTTATTAGAAGAGCTAAAATAATAAAAAAAAAAAATAGTGGCAATACCAAATGCTGCCCAGGCTGGGAAGGTCCTGAATCACTCACACACCGCCGGTGGGAATGCAAAATGGTGTAGCCATTCTGGAAAAGAGTTAGCAGTTTCTCATAAAATTAGACATGTGCTAACCATATGACTCAGCAATTGCACTCCTGGGCATTTATCCCAGAGAAATGAAAACTATGTTCACACAAAAACCTGTACAAGAATGTTCACAGCAGCTCTATTTGCAATAACCAAAACCTGGAAATAATCCAAGTGCCCTTCCTGGGTGAACGGTTGAACACACCTTGGTTCATCCAGATGACGGAACACCACTAAGTAATTAAAAAGAAACACCTATGGACATGCTTGCCAACCCGGATGGGTCTCAAGGGAATTGCGTTTAGCGGAAAAAGCCAGTCTCGAAAGGTTGCATAGTGTATGATTCCATTTATAGAGCATTCTTAAAGCGACAAAATTATAGAAAATAGGAACCATACTGTGGTTGCCAGCCTCAGGGAGGGGGAAGGAGGAAGTCAGCTTGGCTATAAAGAGTAGCATCAAGGATCCTGTGATGAAACTCTCCTGTCCTCTGATGTGTTGGTGGTCACATGGTTCTACATGGGTGATAAAATTACAGAGAACTAAGCGCACGTGCATACCACACACACACACACACACACACACACACAGAGCAGTCTATAAAATGAGTACATGTAAACTGGTGGAATCTGAAATCTGAACAAAGTTAATGGGTTGTATCAATGCTCATTTTCTAGTTGTGGCATTGTACTATGGTTTTGTAAGATGTTATTGTTGGGAGAAACTGGTGAAGGGAATTGCATGTGAATCTACATGATCTCAAAACAGGGTTTTACTACATTGCTTCAGTGAATATCCACTGTGTGTGTCTTATGCACACAGACCAGGTTTTCCCTAGAGGAGATACCTAGAAGTGGAATTGTTAGATCTTAGGATACACCCACCTTCACTTTTTCTAGATTATTCTCTAACATCTTTGTTCCTATTTACATTCTAGTCGAACTCATGTGAGGTCTAAGTTTTCTACACCTTCTCTAATATTTGGTATAGTCACAATTTAAATTTTTTTCCAGTACCGTAAAGGTAAAAAAAAATCTTTTTGCCATCTTAGTTTTGAATTCCCTGATTCCCAGAGGGTTAAAGTCCTTTTCTTATTTTATCAGTCCATCTGGGTTTTCTCATTAGTCTCATATTTTACTCTTGAGTGGCTTGTTTCAAATTACCACATTTTAGAACTGTTTCTGTATTCTAGATCCTGGCCTCACATAGGTCTGTTTCTCCTCATCTTTTAGATATCCACCTATTTTTCACAATGGTGACTCAGACCAACGCAGTGCTATTCACAGAGTCCAGAACAAAAGAACATTCGGAATGACATTTTTACGCTTTAATGGCTATTGAGTGTGAGACATTACTAATAGCTTTGGAACATGCACTCGTGGTTGTTGCTGGCATGTGGGAGATGTTGCTGTGGAAGGCAGCTTCAGTCGGCCGGGGAGATCAGCTGCCTTCTGGCTGGCCTGTCCTACAGACGTCCCACAAACCTGGCCAGCCCACCTCTGCATAAGCCATTCCTTGCCATGAGTCTCTAATGTGTATCTCCACCTGCTTCTGTTTCTCTGGATGAAGCCTGTCCACTACAGGTTTTGACAGAGATTTAAAATCTCCTGTAGAGACTATTCCAGCTACTCGCCTGGCATTTCTGCTCAGCTGGCATTAGGGCCTGTGGCATGAGCACTCTTCCCTTAAACAGCTCCAGAGCTTCCTTCACGGGTTCCAATGGGCCAACAGAAGTGTCTTACTACTTAATGGCCACTTATTTAAAATTATCCCAAGAGTAATTAGAGGCCAGGCGCGGTGGCTCATGCCTGTAATCCCAGCACTTTGGGAGGCCGAGGTGGGTGGATCACTTGAGGTCAGGAGTTTGAGACCAGCCTGGCCAACATGGTGAGGCCCCATCTTTACTAAAAAACAAAAACAAACAAAAAAACGCAAAAATCAGCCAGGTGTGGTGGTGCGCCCCTATAGTCCCAGCTACTGGGGAGGCTGAGGCAGGAGACTGTTTTGGATCCAGAAGGTGGAGGTTGCAGTGAGCCGAGATTGCACCACTGCACTCCAGCCTGGGTGACAGAGCAAGACTCTGTCAAAAAAAAAAAAAAGAAAAAGAAAAGGAGTAATTAGAATATTTTCTTTTCTTTTTTATTGACAACTAAGAAAGCTAAGGAGAAGATGATGAACAAAGACGGATGACAGTAGCCTTATGGTGAAATCATTCTTGAAAGGAAACCTGTGTGGGACATCTCTGGGTACACTCACTCATCATTGGGGTGGAATTTTAAAAGGAGGAACGAGGAGCACCTTTGCAAGGCATCCTTCTCACCACGGCGGTGCAGAGCAGCAGTCAGGCGCTGGTGCAGACTCCCCGGATGGAATCCCGCCTCTTCTTGTGTGCCCTTAGAGTAACTTAACCTCTCTGGGCCTTGTTTCCTCAACAGTAAAAAATGAAGATATGAATAGGATGGTGACATCCAGTGAGGGCATCCTAGGGCCGTCCCGACTGTTATCCGAGGTGACAAACCGCTCTCAAAAGAGAGTCTGGCAACGTGCAAGCAGTCGATAAACACTCCCAGGCGACAGAAAAGGCACAGAGGCAGCTGCTCATCTTAAGCATGTCATATTTTTAAAGAACTTGGAGGAGGATTAAAAGTCAAACAAAATAACTTACAATTAACATTTACAAATTCAGGCAGAAATAGAAACATCACAAGAAAGTTTGGTCTCTTGTTTTTTTTTTTTCTTTTTTCCCCAGCGTTTCGTGGCTACCTTTAATCAGCGCACACAGCTAGGACCACCACTGACCAAACTCAAACCCGACGTTTTAAATCATGGAGGAGCCATGAGCTACCAGGTGTAAAACAAGCGACGTGTCTTACACTTTCTTATCTTTGGGCAGAACTGTGATACTTCTGGAGGATTTTCAAAGAGGATTTGAACAAAATAGCTTTGTTTAACCCGGAGTTAGTAGAAGTGGTTGTTTCAGAACAGTTAACTCCCTGGGAGTTACTCCAGCATTTACAGCAATTTTTAACTGTGTTCTTTTCCCTCAGATTTCTGTTTTTCCCACAAAAAAAAAAAAAAAACAAAACCTCAAAAAACAAAACACACACACGCGCGCACGCACGCGCACACACACACACACACACACACACACACACACACCCCCTCTGCCGCGGTACCCTTCCCCTGGCCTTCCTCCACTGAAGGGCGGCTGGGTTCCAGGCTCTCAGCCGTGACCACAGCCCCGGCCCCAACCGCTAAGGAGGTGCTCATCACTGGAGGTGGCCGCCAGGGAGCTCAGTGCGGGACCTGCTCAATCCATACGGTCCCCTGACTTGAGGGTGACCGTCCTTAAACTGTCCCCCGGAGCTTCGCCAGATAAAATGTCCAAAACACACACTGGAGTTCCCTGACGTTTCCTTCCTCTGAAAAACTCTCTTTCCAGGCGGGGCGTTCTGTGGTCAGACGAGGCAGAGGCCTCCCCGGAACGAAGTCCACGCCCCCTCCCCACCCCAGCACCCAGCGAGCCCACGCGCCCCTCACCCACGCGCAGAGAAACCGAGCACTTGTTGATTCTCACGTTGTTGCAATTGGAAAACGGAACAAGGAACCAGAGCTCGCCTGTTTCCAGCCAGAGTCGCACGGGGGTCCCCAAAGACGCTTGAACCTTTTCCCAAGCCCCACTCCACCTTCCAAAACGGGGGGGCTCAGGTGGACGCGAAAGGACACAAGGCGCTGCCCCCAGCACCCCGGAAAATCTAGTGTGGCGGCAAATGACCGCAGGTCACACACCCCGGCCTCGGGGGCCACGGAAAACGGACGCACCCGGCCCAGGACAGGCAGTGGGGCCCAGGAGGGGACTGCCGGGAAGACCCGGGCGGGCCGGCGGGCGGCTGCGGGCGGCGCACGTGGGCCCAGGTGGGCGCAGCGACGGGCCCGGCCGAAGAGCCCGAGACAGGCCCTGCGAAGGCGGAAGCCCGGACCCGGGCTCTCCTGGCCGCCCCTGGAGCTCAGAGGGAGACTGCGCTTCGCCCCGGGGGCAGGGGCAGGAGCGCGATCGCGCGCGGGGCCCCCGGGGTGTGATTAGCAGGCGCCGCGAGCCGGGAGGACCCCCCAGCCCGCCCTGGCAGCCAGCACCCTCTCCACACCCGCCCAGAGTGGCCGCTTTTGACCGCCGTCCCCTCCCACCCTAGACTCCTCCCCTCAGCCCCACGGCCCGAGGCCGAGCGGTTTCAGCGACCCTGGGACCGCCGGGCCTGGCTGGAGTCCACCCCTGGACACCTGTCAGGGTCGGGCCCCGGCGCTGTAAACCCGCGTCTACACCCGCGCCCAGCCCCCGCGCAATGGGGATCGGGGGCGGCGACTTGGGTTCGGGTCAGGGAGGCCGCCGGCTGCTACCTGCTCGGCCACCTGCTCCGCTGCCTAGGTTCTCCCTGCGCGTCCCCAGCCAAGAAAGGGACCCGGAGTCCGGGCGTCGGGATAGCTCCTGTCCCCGATCTTGCGCCCCCGGCTCCCGCGGGGCTCCGGTCCGGGGTCCCGCCCAGGTCTCCGCGGTCCCCACTCGGAGGGGCACAGAGACAAAGGCGGCAGAGCAGCCCGCCCGTCCCCGAGGGTCACCCACCGGCGCTGCGCTCGTTGCTCCGAGGCCGAGGGGCGCCGCGGGGTCCAAGGCCCTGCTCCGCCTGCCCAGGCCCGGGCAGGCTGGTCTCGGCTTCAAGCGCCCACGCGCGGGGTCCCCGGGCAGCCTGCTTCGCCTTCCGGGGTCGGGAGACAGGGGCCGCCGGGGCCGGAGGCTGCTTCTCTCTGGCGCGCGGCGGCGGTGACTGACGGCGGCGGCTCCGAGGGACGGGCGCGCACCCAGCTCCCCGGCCCCGCCTCCCCGGGCTTCCTGCGAGCCAGGTAAACACAGGCCGATCCCGCCGGGCCCGCCCCACCTGGACGCGGCCGCCGGCGCCGCCCCGGGAGCTCGGAGGACCCCGGGCCCGCTCTGCCCACGCGGAACTTGGGGGGCGCACGGGGCCCACGCGCAGGGTCAGACCTCGGAGGGGCGGCCTGGAGCCTCGCCCGCTGCCGAACTGGGCTCCGAACTGCGGCCCGTCGACCCTTCCCGTTCGGAGGCTTGGCCTCCGAACCCACCCCGACCCCGACCTCGACCTCGCGGGAGGGGTGCCAGGCCGCATCTCCCCGCGTCCTCAGGGGCTGGAAACCCCAGAAACTGCCGATAGACTTGGCGCAGCCCCGGCCCTGCAGGAGGAGAGTCAGCCCGGCCTGGAGGCGAAAGGAGCCGGCAGGTCCTCCCAAGGCACTCCCTCCCTCCCCTGGAGCCCAGGCCAGGCCCATGTCCGGCTGGCAGGTGCTCCTCTGGGAGCTGGGAGCTGGGAGCTGGGAGCTAGGGGCGCACCTTCTCCTGCAGGACCGGCGCAGGAAGCGTGCGCGGAAAAGACAGCAAAACACGCGCAGGTGCGAGGAAGCAGCCTGGTCCTGCAGCCCAGAGACATCGTGGTCTTCGTCGCTGTCTTGTTAAAAAGAAAAAGCCTGCTGTTTAGCCGTGACTCACCTGCACACAGATTTAGTGGTCAGAGATCTTTCTCTGGATTCTCAGCCTCCTGATGGTGGAAGAGGAGGAGGTTGGGGGAGTCCCAGAATGAGGCCCCGCGTTCCTCCTGACCTACACCCCCAGTCAGGGATCTGGATCTGGAGCTTCCAGGGGACCTGGAGCAGCCTGGGACCCACACAGTTTGTTAGGAAGTGAGGGAGAGGGGTGAGCGCTGTCCCGGCCCGCGCTGGGAGGCGGGACTCAGACTTCAGCACGGGGTCGGGGTTTCGGCCTAAAACCAGCCTCCCCCAAAGCCCCGGAGGATTTAGCAACTGTCTTCAAATGCTGGCAACTGGAAGAGAAATACTTCCACAACGACGCAAAAGCATTCAGTCTGGTCGTTTCCTCAGGAGAGATTTTCAAGTGGAGGGGGCAGGAGGGTTCTGAGACTTTGAGGCTGAAGGTGAGGAGGGAAAAGGGTGCCAAAGATAGTGTGTTTCTCCAATTTTTCTGCCCCACAACCTCACTTTAAGTCAAGGATGAGCGGAGTGGGCGTGGGAGGCTGGACAGCTGCCCTAGGAGCACGGGTGGTGACAATGAACCCGGGTGCACCCAGGTCCCAGCTCAAGTCACTCAAAGCTCAGGCTGGGGAAGCTGGAACACTAAAATGGGTCCCATTTTAGATACCTGCTTTAGCATCAGAAACAGCTTTTCCTCCCCAAAATATCTCTTGGCTTTATCTCAGTGACTCCACAGGGCGGGGCCACCTTCCTGCCTGCAGATGTCCCTGTGTGCTGGGCTCTGGAGCGTCCCTCAGGCCACAGTGACAGCTGCACACGCGGCCTTCTGTTTGGTGCTCCTTCTGCTGGTGTTACAGTGGTTTCCTGAAACACTACATATGCCAACAGTCAGCCCTACAAATGTCAGGCTCCACAAGTTCCAGTTAAAAGTCTTTTTAAAGTATTTATGAAATTTCACCGTGCATATTTTGTTGGGATAGAGTGTCCACACAGATGGGCAGCCAGGCAGTTTAGAAAAGTCATGGATTCTTCAAAGAAAACATGTAGATAATACTATTTAATAAAACAGTGGATTCACATTTGGATCAACTGGTCTTATCTTGGGGGCTTTCATGCCCTCCCGGTTAGAAAAAGGACCCCAGGTTGAGGACAGTGGATGGAAGAAACAGAGGCTGGCATTTCACTGTCGAGAGACAAACTTTCACATGAAGATGTCCATGTAGCCCTCAGCAAAGTGACAGAGATTCGTTGTGCTGAATAAAATTGAAAGGCATCTTTTGACAAGTAACCCATCAAAGCCTCATTGTGTCTTTGACATTTCTAAGAAAATCACATTGCAGTTACCCCCATCTTTCACAAGGTACCGGAGAGCAGAAAGTTTGACCTATCCATCATCTCATATGGCAGCAAATAGCAAAATGTTTTGTGCATGAAATACACTCAATAAATTTTTGTTAAGCTGAATTAAACTCCAAATTACCCAAGCTAAAGGAAGTAAATGAATCTAAATAGTTTCCAACAGACCTCAGACTGCACGAACTTTGAGTTTTCTTTAGTTTCCTCATCAACAGATTTGTCTTTGTTATGATGTTTTGCTTAGGAAAGGACTGAACTTTTTTTTTTCTTTCTTTTTTTTTTTTAGATGGAGTCTTGCTCTGTGGCCCAGGCTGGAGTGCAATGGTGCAATCTCAGCTCACTGCAACCTCCGCCTCCCAGGTTCAGGCAATTCTCCTGCCTCAGCCTCCCGAGTAGCTGGGATTATAGGCAACCGCTACCATGCCCAGCTAATTTTTGTATTTTTAGTAGAGATGGGGTTTCACCACGTTGGCCAGGCTGTTCTCGAACCGCTGACCTCAGGTGATCCACCTGCCTGGGTCTCCCAAAGTCCTGGGATTACAGGCCTGAGCCACCACGCCCGGCCAGGACTGAATATGATTTTCAGACCTGGTCTAAACCTCTCTGAGCCTCAGTCTCTTCATCTGCAGTGTGGAGGTAATAGTCATCCTCATATCAGGGCTGAACACTCTCTTTCTGCAGCTCAGGCATCGGTGGATACCCAGGTGTGGAGGTCTCCCTCATTCATCCAGGGGTTGATCACAGTTGTTTCCAAACAAGTGGTACTTCAGAGGAATTCTGGGCTGGCTCTTCAGACGTTACATCTATTCGCTCTGTTGCAATATATATTCACAACCTCGCCAGTGGGGCTTACTTCCCACGTGAGGGTGTATTAGTCAGCTCAGCTGCTATAACAAAATACCACAGACTGGATGGCTTAAAAACAGATGTTATGCCAGCTCTGGAGCCTGGAAGTCCAAGATGCAGGTGCTGGCGGACTTGGCGTTGGGCGAGAGCTTGCTTCTTGATTCATAAACAGCACCTTCTCTATGTGTGTCGGGTGGTGGAGGGAGAGAAAGAGGAAGGGGAGGAGACTGGGCTGTGGCCTCTTTTTCTTATAAAGACACTAATCCCATTGTGAGGCCACCCTCACGGATTCAATCTAAGCCGAACTATCTTTCAAAGACCCCATGTCCAAATACCATTCCCTGGGGGTTGCGGCTTTGACATATGAATTTTGGGGGGATAGATGTGCAGTCCTTAATAGAGGGTTAGATTAAGACATAGGGAAAAAAAGGAATGAATACTCAGCTTCCAATCTAGTTAACAGAGTTCCCTGCGGGGGGTGGTGGAATGAGTGCCAGCCTCCCCAGGAGCTGGGAAGGAGCTGGACTGGGCAGGAATAGAGTGAGGGATAGGAGAGCCTTAGCCAGGTCTGTGGGGTGGGTGGGGGTTGTGTGTGTGCTGGACTTTGTGCTACATTTGATGCTCCTATAACAAGGGGATTAAATGTGACATCTTAATAACCAGCCCCAGGAAGCAGCCCGAGAGGACGGGAGGGTTGCCGGGAAGTCCAGAGCATGCACAGTGTGAATGTGCATGGGAGCCATGGCAGACCCCAGAGGGAGCCAGGAAAGGCTGTGAGGAGACAGCGGCCCTGTTGCAGGGGTGGGGTCAGCAGCCAGCTCTGAGGGAGGGAGACGGGCCCTGGAGGGAGGGGCTCAGAGGCAGGGTGAGTGGGAACCAGGAGGGCTTGGCCCTGGCTTTGGGGACCTCCCACTTCTGACCCAGACCTGCCTCCACGGTGCCCCTCCTGCCTCCACGTTCTTCCTGTACCAGGCTTCCTTTCTCTGGAGTTTGTCCTCAAAGGTGGAAAAACTGTGTTTCTACAGTGAAAGTTCACTGTTAAGGGTTGAACTGTGTCCCCGAAGAGAGAACTCGAAGTCCTGACCACCTAATACCTGGGAAAGTGACTGTGCTTTGAAATAGCCTTTGCTAGTGTCATCAGGTGGAGATGAGGTCCTTGGGGGGGTCCGGTGCGGTGGCCATGTCCTTGTAAGCAGAGGGGACACTCAGAGGGAAGAGGCCACATGGAGACAGAGGCAGAAGTGAGAGTCATACATCCCGGAGCTGAGGGATGCTGGGGGCAGCAGAAGCTGGGAGAGGCACGGAGGGACCCTCCCCTGCAGCCCCTGGCAGGAGCACAGCGCTGGCCACACCTGGATTTCATACTCCTGGCCTCCAGACTGAGAAGCTACATTTCTGTTGTGAAGCCTCCCAGATGGTGACTTTCTGTTACAGCAGGGCCAGGCAACGAGAGCCAATCCCTCCAGGGGGAAAAACGGGCGTCCGCGCGTTCACTCTACAAAGCCTTTAGTTAAAGTGGAAATCAAGCAACTTGGCCACAAAAGTCATGAGGTGTGGGAGGAAGGTGAGCAGAGGAGACTGAGGAGGACCACAGGGCAAGGCCTTGGGAGCCATTGTGGGGAGTGAGGTCAGGGGTCAGAAGTCAGGGCCTCTGCTGGTTCCCATCCATGGCTCCAACCACCCAAACCTCCTCTCTGAAGCTGTGCCCAGACAGCCCAGGGCAACACCTGGCCTCCTCTCCCCACCTGCAGGCTCCTAGCGCCCTCCAGGTTCACAAACCCCGGGGGACAGTGTCAGGCCACCCCACAGGAGAGACCCACCCCCTGCTGCCTGTGCCTGGTTCTTCCTCCCACAGTTAAGACCCCAAAACCACCCTGAGAGGGTGTCATCTGCTACTTCCTTCCCAGAAGACCTTGGCCTGAATCTTGTCATTTAGTGCCTTGCGAACGTGTGCTACACTCCTGACATATGCCTAGCACTGGGCCTTGGGGGCCCAGGAGCTGGTCACAGAGATATTTGGGCCAGTGGTCGTGTTAAGGCCAGTTGCAAGGGCTGGCAACAATAGCAGTTTGAGGGGAACTGGAAGACCCAGAGGGTGGCCCATGAGCCCTGCCCGGAAGTCAGGAAGACCCTGAGGGTGTCTTTCGAGGTGTCCTGGGGGAAATGCCAGGTGGAGAGGGGCAGAAGGGGCATTGAAGGTGTGCCAGGTGGAAGCACCAGCCAGCAAAGTCTCAGAAACATGATGTGCTGAGGAACCATGGGGTTTTTGGAGCACAAAATGTGTGACAAAGAGAGTCTGAACGTCCGAGAACATCAGAGACCGAACAGCAGCTTGGAGACATCAGCTGGGGCCAGGCCGTTTTGGAGCGGGCTCCTGCCAAGGAGCTTCAGGGCTGCCCTTGAGGAAGGAGAGGTTTGAGGCCAAGGAGGGCACTAACCAGAGGACGTGGGCCGGTGAGCATGTGGATGGCTCTGGGGAGAGCAGAGAAGTGGGGCGGGGGAGATTCCAGCAGAGAAAGCACTAGGGAAACCCATAGTCATTAGTGAGACCCAGGGGCGCTTCTCTCATTCCCTGCACTGTTTTAGGAGCCTGGTGCATGAGCCGTGAAGTCCTCACGGTGAGCGGCCTTCAGAGGAGCTCACGGATTCTCCATGCTGCACAGGGTAGTGACCCCCTGAGGGTATCAGCGACACTGTGAGCTCCTCAAGGACAGGCATGGGGCCACCGCTTAGCTACTTCAAGCACTCAGAAGAGTGCCTGGCACACAGGAGGCCCTGGATAAATATTTGCTGGATTTGTTGCAAGAAAGGGCTAGAGTCTGGCGTGGGCAGCAGGCATTCTGGCTGCATACCAGACTCTGTACCAAAAAAAAAAAAAAACAAAAAGGTTAGGAGACTGAGCTCCTCCGGTTGGTCTCTCCCGGCCATATATTTATGTCTCTTCTTGGATTAAGCATTTCATATTTTTCTGCAACTTCGTTTCTCCATAGCTCAAGTGAAACGGGATTAGGTGATTATTTGACAGTTAGCAAATATCATAAGCCTTGAGGACACACTAATATTTTCAAGTGTGTTTGGTAATCAGGAGTTATGGGAAACTGACTTAGTATTTAAAGCTTTTGGCTAAATTGTACAAGATAAATGAAACTCAGTAGTTTTTTACTGAAGTGAACTCTCTTTTTGGCTTTGTACTGTATTATCTATTAAAGTATCCAGTAGTAATGGGTGCAAGTGAAAGATGCCAGCATGGTGTTCGGTTATTCCGGATATCTTTATTGTTACTGTTTCTGGGACTGAACATTTATATGTAACTGTTCTTACAGCAATCAAAAACAAAAATTTTAGAAATTCATCTGGTTAGGAAAATACATTTGCTTCTCTATTTGCAGAAGGACGTGTGCCACAGCTTATTAAAATAAATGCAAATTAATATACAGCCTCATTGAGCATGGATTATATCATATAACCAGTGATTTTAGCTTTTTTTTTTTTTTTTTTTTTTTTTGAGACAGAGTCTTGCTCTTTCTTCCAGGCAGGAGTGCAGTGACGTGATCTCGGCTCACTGCAACCTCCACCTCCTGGGCTTAAGCGATTCTTGTGCCTCAGCCTCCCGAGTAGCTGGGACTACAGGCGTGTGCTACCATGCCTGGCTAATTTTTGTATTTTTTTTTTAGTACAGATGGGGTTTTACCATGTTGTCCAGGCTGGTCTTGAACTCCTGACCTCAAGTGATCCACTCGCCTTGGCCTCCCAAAGTGCTGGGATTACAGGCATGAGCCACTGTGCCCGGCCGTTTTTAACTTTATGGTAACATAATGTGTGGTCAGGTTTACATGGAGAAAAGCAGTCTACACTACTCCAGTTTTTTTTAATGTTAAATTTCTCTATGACACTGTATCCTAGGTCTGACATTGCAGTTCACCAAGGAGCCATGTCTCCCAGGCAGAATGGAGATCCATCTTTCCTGGCCCTGCCTCTCCACCTTCTCCGAGCCAGCATTCTAGTTGTCTCCAGGAATGATCTCCCTGACCATCCAGGGCTCAAACCCTGAACCTAGGAATTGTCCCAGATGCTTTGCACCCCCATGTACCTGATCTGTTGACACATCCTGTCACGCTGTCCCCCAAACTTCCTTGTTCTCTGCATGTCCGTTCTTCACCTCGCCCAAGCTGCCCTGAGGCTCCCCAGGCTGCAGTGGCTGTTTCAGTCCACACCATGGAGAGATGGGTTCTTTAGCCCTGCGTTGGTCATGCCACATCCCTCACTTGAAGTCCTGCAGTGCTTCCCATGTGATATGGTTTGGCTGTGTCCGCACCCAAATCTCACCTTGAATGTTAAAATCCCCATGTGTCAAGGCCAGGACGAGGTGGAGAGAATTGAATCACAGGGGCGGTTCCCCCTTACTGTTCTCATGATAGTGAATAAGTCTCATGAGATATGATGGTTTTATAAAAGGCAGTTCCCCTGCACAAGCTGTCTTGCCTACCGCCATGTAAGACTTGCCTTTGCTTCTCCTTTGCCTTCCGTCATGACTGTGAGGCCTCCCCAGCCATGTGTAACTGTGAGTTCATGAGTCCATTAAAGCTCCTTCCTTTATAAATTGCCCAGTCTTGGTGATGTTTTTATTAGCAGCATGAGAACAGACTAATACACCATGGCCTTTAGAAGAAAATCTATACACCTTCCCTGGCTTGGCCGTGCCCCTCAGAGCCCCCTCCGATACACCCTCTGTGTCTCATGCTTGCCTCCCGTGTTTCTGCCTCCCCTGTGTCTGCTGAGCTGTTTTCTCTTCCCCAAAAGCCCCCAACACTGGCCCATTTTTCTAGTCATTTGGGCCTCTACTTAGAAGTCCCTTCCTCCTTCAAGGGGCACAGAGTTTCTCTTTTGTAAGACAAGGAGAGTTCTGGGTGTGGAAGGAGCTGATGGCTGCAGGAGGATGTGAAATTGCTAATGCCACTGAGCTGTGTGCACCTAGACGTGCTTATGAGGATTGATTTTAGAGTGTGTGTATTTTACCACAATTTAAAAAAGTCCTCTCCTAGTGAGACCTATCCTGGCCTCATGTTTGGAAGCAGCCGTCTCATCAGTGTCTCACGTCACTGTGTCATCTCTGCACTGCACTGACAATATGACCTGGCACCTTCCTGCTTATTTACTGGCTATGCTCCACACTCTCAGCCTCCTGCATTAGCACGTGAGCTCCACACAGGCAGGGGCCTCGCCCTTCCTGCTGACTTCTGCCTTGTCAATCCCTCTGGCAGGCGGGCCTGTAGTAGGGCTTCAGTACAGCACCCAAGTGATGGTCAGGCCCCATGTGACCCAGTCTGGCTCAGAGAAGCACAGTTTATCAGCTAAAAGGAATTGCAAGTGACTGTAAACTACCCTGGTTACTCCCTCAGAGTACAGGAGAGAGGGGAGCATGTCTCTAATGCCCACAGACTGGATTAACTACCCTCTCCCTCCAGCTCTGCTGCTTTCATTAACACAGGATGGTGTCTCCCCAAAACACTCTCCTCTTATGTTTAATTGAATCCTTTTCATTATTTTCTTTGATGGAAATGGAAGACTGAAGTCAAAATAGTTGAACAACACATGGCATTTACTATGTTGTAAGTGTTTTAGAGACTTCCATGATTTCATCCTCACAACATGATGCTCAGGGACACGGGGCCAGGTCCACAGCCTGAGAAGGTGAGCATCCACTCAGGGACATGAGGCCAGGTCCACAGCCCAAGAGGGTGAGCGTCCACTCAGGGACAAGAACCAGGTCCACAACCCCTAGAGGGTGAGCGTCCACTCAGGGACACGGGGCCAGGTCCACAGCCCGAGAGGGTGAGCATCCACTCAGGGACATGGGGTCTTCCTCACATACGTTTACTTTTCAAAATTACCAGAAATCTTGGCTTGGTGTGGTGGCTCATGCCTGTAATCCCAACACTTTGGGAGGTGGAGGCAGGCAGGTCACTTGAGGTCAGGAGTTTGAAACTAGCCTGGGCATCATGGTGGAACTCCTGTCTCTACTAAAAAAATACAAAAGTTAGCCAGGCGTGGCAGGCACCTGCAGTCCCAGCTATTTGGGAGGCTGAAGCAGGAGACTCACTTGAACCCAGGAGGCAGAGGTTGCAGTGAGCTGAGATTGCGCCACTGCACTCCAGCCAACAGAGGGCAACAGAGGGAGACACTGTCTCATTAAAAAAAAAAAAAAAAAAAGACCAGAAATCCCTTTTGCCCCTCCCCCCACAATGGCATTAAACTGAGTGCCACCCACATGAGGCCATCAGCTCCGAGCCCATGATATCTGGTCAGGTGAAGCTCTCTGCATCTTCTTGGGTGTGGCTCTCAGGTTTGGTGGTGGGATGGGGGAGGGAGCTACAGAGTAAGTATAAGTGGACTGCCATGGAGAGGAGGAGAGAGGAAAGCCATGGGCAACTCTGTGGTCCACGCAAGGACCCAGTGATCATGCCCCTGACTCTGTGTCTGTCTGTGATATGGTTTCGCTGTGTCCCCACCCAAATCTCATATTGAATATTAATTTCCACAATTCCCATGTGTCATTGGAGAAACCCAGTGGGAGGTGATTGAATGATGGGGGTGGATCATTCATGTGCTGCTCTTGTGATAGTGAATGAGTCTCACAAGATCTCATTGTTTTAAAAACGGGAGTTTCCCTGCACAAGCTCCCTTCTCTTGTCTGCTGCCACGTGAGACGTGCCTTTCACCTTCTGCCGTGATTGTGAGGCCTTCCCAGCCATGTAAAACTCTAAGTCCAATAAACCTCTTTCATTTGTAAATTGCCCCGTCTTGGGTATGTCTTTATCAGCAGTGTGAAAATGGACTAATACACAGTAAATTGGTACCAGTAGACTGGGGCGCTGCTGAAAAGATACCCGAAAATGTGGAAGTGACTTTGGAACTGGGTAACAGGCAGAGGTTGGAACAGTTTGGAGGGCTCAAAAAAAGACAGAAAAATGTGGGAAAGTTTGGAACTCCCTAGAAACTTGTTGCATGGCTTTGACCAAAATGCTGATAATGATACGGACAATGAAATCCAGGCTAAGGTGGTCTCAGATGGAGATGAGAAACTTGTTGGGAACTGGAGCAAAGGTGACTCTTGTTTTGTTTTAGCAAAGAGACTGGTGGCATTTTGCCCCGGCTTCAGAGATTCATGGAACTTTGAACTTGAGAGAGGTGATTTAGGGTATCTGGTGGAAGAAATTTCTAAGCAACAAAGCATTCAAGAGGTGACTTGGGTGCTGTTAAAGGCATTCATTTTTATAAGGGAAGCAGAGCATAAAGGTTTTGAAAATTTGCAGCCTGACAATGCAACAGAAAAGAAAATCCCATTTTCTGAGGAGAAATTTAAGCTGGCTGCAGAAATTTGCATAAGTAATGAGGAGCCAAATGTTAATCCCCAAGACAATAGGGAATATGTCTCCAGGGCATGTCAGAGTTCTTCACAGCAGCCCCTCCCATCACAGGCCCAGAGGTTGAGGAGGAAAAAATGATTGTATGGGCCAGGTCCAGGGTCCCTCTGCTCTGTGCAGTCTAGGGACTTGGTTCCCTGTGTTCCAGCCACGCCAGCTGTGACTAAAAGGGGCCAAGGTACAGCTCAGGCTGTTGCTTCAGAGGGTAGAAGCCCAAGCCTTGGCAGCTTTCATGTGGTGGTGAGCCTACAGGTGCACAGAAGTCAAGAACTGAGGTTTGGGAACCTCTGCTAGATTTCAGGAAATGCCTGGATGCCCAGGCAGAAGTTTGCTGCAGGGACGGGGCCCTCATGGAGATTCTCTCCTAGGGCAGTGCAGAAGGGGAATGTGGTTTTGGAGCCCCCACCCAGAGTTCCTACTGGGACACCACCTAGTGGAGCTGTGAGAAGAGGGCCACCATCCTCCAGACCCCATAAAGGTAGATCCACTGACAGCTTGCACCATGTGCCTGGAAAAGCCACAGACAGTCAATGCCAGCCCTTGAAAGCAGCCAGGAGGGAGGCTGTACCCTGCAAAGCCATAGGGGTGGAGCTGCCAAAGACCATGGGAAGCTACTTCTTGCATCAGAATGATGTGGATGTGAGACATAGAGTCAAAAGAGATCATTTTGGAGCTTTAAGTTTTGACTACCTGCTGGATTTTAGACTTGTGTGGGGCCTGTAGCCCCTTTGTTTTGGCCAATTACTCCCATTTGGAATGGCTGTTTTTACCCCATGCCTGTGCCCCCATTGTATCTAGGAAGTAACTAACTTGCTTTTGATTTTACAGGCTCATGGGCAGAAGGGACTTGCCTTGTCTCAAATGAGACTTTGGACTATGGACTTTTGAGTTAATGATGTAATGAGTTAAGACTTTGGGGACTGTTGGGAAGGCATGAATGGTTTTGAAATGTGAGGACATGAGATCTAGGGGGAGCCAGGGATGGAATGATATGGTTTGGCTGTGTCCTCACCTAAATCTCCTCTTGAATTGCAACTTCCTCACGTCCCATGTATTGTGGGAGGAACCCAGTGGGAGATGACTAAATTATGGGGGCAGGTCTTTCTTGCACTGTTCTTGTGATAGTGAATGAGTCTCATGAGATCTGACAGCTTTAAAAATGGGAATTTCCCACACAAGCTCTCTTCTCTTGTCTGCCACCATGTGAGATGTGTCTTTCACCTTCTGTCATGATTGTGAGGTCTCCCCAGTCATGCGGAACTGTAAATCCAATAAACCTCTTTCTTTTGTAAATTGCCCAGTCTTGGGTATGTCTTCATCAGCAATGTGAAAACGGACTAATACGCTTTGGAAAGGCCCTGAGGTGACGCCCCCAGGTGGCTCCACATTTTCTAGAGCTTTCTTATGGCAGAGATGTGGGGTCCTCCCGCATGTTTGCCTTGGTGGCCCCTGGCTCAGTTTTAGCATTTCTTTGGCAGTGCAAGGCCTTGACATTTAGACTTCTGCTCTGTTTGTTTGGTTTCAGTTGTTTAGTAACCCAAACCAGAGATCTTATCTAGCTATCAAGTTTGAGCCCAGAATTGGGAGGGAACCTCTGCATCCTGGCAACAAGCTTTCTCCCAGCTTCACTTTGCATTTAGTGGCTTCTGCCTCAGGTACATTCCAAATAATGTCCGTTGGTGGGAGGCAAAGCTCTGGCTGCTCACCAGCTGAACCTCTCCAGAAAGAATGACTTTCAAGGAAAGAAAACCTGATGGGAGGTGCATGGGGGCAGCATGAGGATCTGACTTCTCCCGACCTCTGTCCATGGTCCTGTTAAATCCCCACTTCCTGGCACTGCTGGTAAAACCTTGGCCTGGGGATAGAGAATCCTGCAAGTCTCTTGGCCCCAGAAGGTCAGATAACAAGGACCACATCTTCTGCTCACCAACCCATACCCATTTCTTCTCTGCATCACAGGTGGCCCCTTCCAAAGCAATCCTCTCTTTCCTGATTGGGCCTCACTCTCCACATTTTGAATTCTATGGTCCCCTAGTTCTGTAGCCTCACATCACACAAGTGCCAGCTCCACACACAGATAATATAGCTAGATGTTTAATTTTAAAATATCAAGGATGGCCAGTGGCTGCCCCTTCTCTGCCTCCAGGCAGCCAATGCCATGTTTGAATGGCTGTTGGTAGGAATATTCCTCTCCTGACCACGTTATTTATTGGTTGGAAGTCCCAAGAAGAAAACCAACATTAACAAGGATGCAGGCAGTAAGAGGAAGCCACCGTATTTTGCATCACTAGAAGGTTCTGAGGATGCACTGAATTTGGCAGCTCCCGTGATGAGACGGGGGCCACCATCCCTCTCTCCATCTGTCCTGCTTCCTCAGAGTGTATTCCAGGTTTGGCAGGGTTCTCTCATGGCCCACTGCTGCCAGCAGCCCTGGGTGCCTTGTTCATACTCGGTCTTCAAATAAAACCTTGGGGCTCCCCTCAGAGGGGATCAGCTCAGGCTGTGTGGCCATCACCCAACCAAGAATGGCAGTGTGAGAAGGGATGGAGCTAGCCTGGTCACAACAGGAGTTCCGTGAGCCCTCCCGGCATGGGGGCAGCTTTCTTGGAAGGTCGGACTCACAGTCACACATGGACACTCAGGTGAAAGTGATTTTTGTCGCTGCTTGTGCAGAGATGCCGTATATCATGACACTCAGGGGCCCGTGTGAGGGCCGGGCCTCCTGGGCTCAGCCTCTGCAACTTGCTGGCTGTGTGTTCCTCAGTGTCTTCCCGGTAGATGGTGATGGTCACCGTTCTGCCCATATCCCAGGCATTGTCCTGAGGATGAAATGAGAGTCTGTGTGAGATTCTTCAGAAGTGCCTGGCACAGAGTGAAAACTGAATAAGCATTTGCTATGTATCTATGTATTTTCTATTTTTAAAGAAAGTAAACATTATTAGTTTCAAGAGCCCAGAGGAATCACAACTAGGCTAACAAATTATAGCTGAACAGAGGACATAGGGGAAGGGCTCCATTATTTATAAAAATGAAGAGTAAAAACAATAATGACTTTTCATGACCTAGTGGGTAATTACATGAGCACCAGAGGGCATTTAAAAAGCTTTTTCCCTTAAGTAGTTTGAACATTCTCTTTGAAACATGAATACTATGCACAGGATTCAGAACTGGTGACATCTGAAAAGACGCGAGCTTGAAGGGAAAGAGGAAAGTGGATGCTGTTAGTTCCTGACAGCTGGGGCTTGTCCTCTCGGTCAGAGCCACCTGGCAACACGGAGAGGGAGCCCACTTCCCCTGAGCCGGGATGTAGATGGGACCTGTTGATGTCAACTGCCAATAGCATGGAAGAGAGCGTGCAGGAACAGGAGAGAGAACGCACAGGTTTTCCTCCCTTTTCCTGTGCAGACCTGCTCCAGGGTCATACAACATCGAGTGCCAATCAGACAAGGTTCACCCCGTGGATGAAAAAAGAGCTACAGTTTGAAAACCTAGTGGGAAATCTAACTGACTCATCCCTGCCTTCCCAAGTATGTTCTGGGCCTGTTGTACCCGCAAATACCTCTGCCGTCCTGCAGATGGGCCTGAGTGCTGTAAATTCCCATGGGGTGGGGAGACATGACTGGTGCTCCCGCAGTGGTAATGCCACTGTAGGCAACTGAGAGTGACACACAGTTAATTCCTCAGCTCATTCACTTCAGGTCCCGAAACAGTCACCAGGTGACCCTTCTGCAAATTGGAGCAGCTTCATAAGCAGAGGAGAGAAGAAGCTTGACGACACCCAGGACGGATGCCCTGCTGAGCCTGGGCATCAGTGCTGGCTCTGCCCACTTCCTGCCCAGACTCCTGTGCTGTTTGGAGAAAACTGGGCAGGAGGTGGGAGAGGTCTTTGGCATAAGAGTGTTTGGTAGCTGAATAGCCTACTCATAAACGATCAGCCATTAGCCATACCTGTCTTTCAAACGTTATGTTATTCAAGCACTGCCTACTTATGGCTAAAAGTTAGAAAATGTAGAAAAACATTTTTAAACATAAAAAGCTCCAAATTATACTACTGAGAAACAATTATCTGAGCGTGGTATGAACTTTCACTTTTCACTCTTTTATTTATAAAACTAGAATCATGCTATAATTTTTTTGTAACTTGCTTTTCCACTTGGCAGAATATCGTAAGCATCCTCCCAAGTCAACGAATGGGTATCGATGTCCTTGATAAAAGTAACCATATTCTCTTTTTGGACTGGCTGGTTGGTTTCCATTCATTTTGCTGTGGAGCCCACTTCTAATGTGTGAGTTTAGAACTGGAAAGTCCTGGGTCTCTCATATTGCTGGTCCCTCCTTCCTTTTTCTGGTTTCATGGTGTTCTGAACGTATGCTAGACGGCGCTGGTTTGCAGAGCCACACCTGGAAAACCAGACAGAAAACAGACCTCTGTGTGCAGCCCCAGTCTCCACTGTCCCCTGGGAGAAAGAGTTCTCAGAACAGGAGGCATTTGCACACAGAGGTCCTCAGTGGGATGGGAATCAGACCTGCTGGTGTGTGTCTGGGAAGAGCTTGGAAAGATGTCAGGGGTTTACAGATCTGAGATGGTCTTAGGAGGGGAAGTGCACAGGCTGGGTGTCAGGCCCTGCTGCCAACTCCCCCTTTGATTTGTCACTTCCTCTCAAGTGAGTCACTTGCTCTCTTTAAGGCCAATTTTCCTCATCTGTAAAGTAAAATAGAATGTCGTGGGTATTAAATAAGAATTTGCATGTGAACTCACAATAAAAATGTGAAGAACCTGATAGAATTATGGTATTTGTGTTAAATCATCATCATCATCAAGTCTAGAGCTGCCTGTAATCCCAGCACTTTGGGAGGCCGAGGCAGGCAGATCACCTGAGGTCAGGAGTTTGAGACCAGCTTGGCCAACATGGTGAAACCCCATCTCTACTAAAAATATAAAACTTAGACCTGTGTGGTGGTGCACACCTGTAATCCCAGCTACTTGGGAGGCTGAGGCAGGAGAATCACTTGAACCCAGGAGGCGGAGGTTGCAGTGAGCTGAGATCACGCCACTGTACTCGAGCCTGGGCTACAAGAGTGAGACTCTGTCTCAAAAAAAAAGGAAAAAGAAAAAATAAAGTCTAGAGCTGTGCTATTTAATCTACTGGAGGCCCAGGTGAAACACACACTCTACACAGATAAATGCAGTCATGGTAATTTTGGCAATAATTATGAAATGCATATTGCTAGGTTGATCAATTAACTTGAATGAAATACCAGTGGGCTGACAGAGTAAGCTCAGCCCACATTCTAGGAGAATAGACCTGTTTCTTGCTTTCAGCAAAGCCAATGTACAAAAGTTCATAATTAGCCAGGCGTGGTGACTCACACCTGTGGTCCCAGCTACTCGGGAGGCTGAGTTGAGAGGATTGCTTGAGCCCAGGAGGTTGAGGCTTCAGTGAGCTGTGATAGCACCACTGCATTGCAGCCTGGGTGACAGAGTGAGATCCAGTCTCTAAAAAAAAATGTTCATATTTACCAAGAGGATTTAAAAACTGTGAGATTTCTTTGAAGTGCAAGGTCCCCTGGTTCATTTTAAGTGAGCGTTTATAATTCCCACCTGCCTTTATAAAATCACAGATATCAGGTATTTGGCTCAGAAGGCCCAGTGACTTGTCACATGCCATCGTATGCAGGACAGAAGATGGGCACTCTGTGAGGAGTGAGGGCGGTGGAGAAGCTGTGTGTCATCTGTTGCAGTGTATATTTGCATCAGAATGTGGGGTGTGCCTGTCTTCCAGCAAAGGCAGGGTTAATTCCCGAGGAGATGGTCCACAGCTTCCACTTTTTATTTCTAGTGTTTACAGGCTTTCACTAGAAAGGACTTGTGGGGACTTTAAGAGGAGCTCTACTGAAGAATGAGTGAGGCCCACACTCATTGGTGCACTGACTTTATTTTTTTATTTTTTATTTTTATTTTTATTTTTTTGAGGCGGAGTCTCACGCTGTCGCCCAGCCTGGAGTGCAGTGGTGCGATCTCTGCTCACTGCAAGCTCCGCCTCCTGGGTTCACACCATTCTCCTGCCTCAGCCTCCCGAGTAGCTGGGACTACAGGTGCCCGACACCACGCCCGGCTAACTTTTTTTTTTGTATTTTTTAGTACAGACGGGGTTTCACTGTGTTAGCCAGGATGGTCTCTATCTCCTGACCTTGTGATCCGCCCGCCTCAGCTTCCCAAAGTGCTGAGATTACAGGTACATTGACTTTAAATTTGATGATCTAAATCAGGAAATGAGACAGAAATGTAATCATCAAGTCAGCAGAAAAATAGTAGTTAAACCTGGTTAAGTGAGAGGTGTGTGCCCCCATTTTTCCTTGGGAAACATCAAAGAAAGTACCCACAGGCTCACCTCCCATCTTTGTATTATGTTTGTAGTACATCAATTGCATTTGCACGGTTCTAACTTTTCCAACTAGAACACACAGCAACAATAACAACAATTAGCTCCTTAAGGTTACATCCTGGAAATCATAAGAGGTAATTTGAAAGTGGTCTTGATTCTTCTGCTTGCTTGAGTAACTCAGGCAACTTGTTTAGGTAACCGGAATTACGACTTGAAAAAGCTGATTTAATGCCACCAAAAAAATCTATTCAAGTAGACAATACGTTCACAGGGCTTCGTATCATTAATATATTCACAGAGCATTTCCCCTTGAAAAAACTATAGGGTGTGATATGCATATTAGTGAGTATTATCATATGGGACAATGTATCAGTCAGGGTTCTCTAGAGAAACAGAACCAATAGAAGATAGCTATCTGTCTGTCTCTCTGTATCTATCTATCATTTAATCTATGTCTATCTGTCTTTCCCTATCTCTCTATCTCTCTGTCTCTATCTATCTATCTATCCATCTATCTGTCTATCTATCGTCTATCTATCTATCAAGAGATTTATTTCAAGACATTTGTTCACATGATTGTAGGGCTGGTAATTCTGAAATCCAAGGGGCAGGTAGGCATCCTGGAAAGTGGATCAGGAGCTGATGCTCAGTCTTGAAACAGACCTTCCTCTTCTCCAAGAGTATATGACCTCACCTACTTTTTTACTTAAAGTCACCTGATGATAGATATGAACCACATCTACAAAATATCTTTGCAGCAACCTTAGATTAGCATTTACTTGAGTAACTGGGTCCTGTAACCTAGCCAATTTCAAACATGAAATCTATTCATCACAGAAGGCATTGACAAAGTTTCATAAGAACATTTGGGAATTTGTGCAGTCTTTGTTTGTATGGACATAAAATGGTTTTAGACCATCTCATGGATTTCTTAATACAATGGACTAGAATTACACAAGCCCCTTTTCCTCACAGCTCTCAGAATTGCAGTTCAATATACTATTTAGATTTTATTGCTGGGGGACACAGATACACATGTTAAAATACATTTTTCATTTGTCTCCTACCCTTTATGAACTTTAAGAAAATAATTGCCTTTAGGATAGAAATCTGGATGCTTTAAAAAAATAGCATTTGGTAGAGTTGAGAGATAAAGTGCTTGAAAAGGCCGCCGAGATGTGTGTGCCTGACACACTGGCTCATAATGGTTTTTCTGTGCTAATGTGTGCCTCTGAACCTCTTTAAAATGCCAAATTATTCATTTCTTGGAGGGATGCAATCAGTTCTCTGCTGACTATTATGAAAAATAGAGACAGAAGCAAAATTTCAAATGCTGTTCTACAAAAATTATTTAATCATTTCTGGCCTATTGTGGAAATTCATGCGAGCTATTGAGTTGACGTGCAGCTCTGCAGACCAGCTTTGGCAGATGCAATCACAGCCAGTTTTATGAAAAATTCTGTTTATTCATCCATGCAATACATACTTTCATGACAACAAAAGTGCAGCTGAACTCTGCCTTATACAATGGCAGAAAACTGTTTGAACTTAGAGGCATTGGAAAGGCTCCACCTGCCTTTCAAATGGAAAATAATATCAATTTTCTACTGGCTGAAGATGGACAGTTTAACATTCTAACACTATGACTTTATTTTAAAATTTTGATTCATGATACAATGCAAATAGCACTGGGAGTGGTAAATGAAATGGAAACTATGAGCTAGTTTCATTTGAATGAGTGAATTTTGGATCTTCCCTGATCTGATTTCACTAGGGTGGAGGAAAGATCAGAAGTGAACCAAGCTCCTGGTGGGTGTGTTGGCAAGGAGGTGGGCTTCACTGGGAGATCAAACACACTGCACACCATTTTTATTCTTACCTCACACTTTTATCTGGAACAGACCTGATTGCAAATGTTTTTCAAAATCTAAAAACAAAGGTTTCAGTTTCATTTATATAGCATAAAGTGCGAATAATTCCAAGAATAATTACAGGACGTGCAAAGGTCCGGAAGTAAGGGAGAATGTTTAGTGAGGAGAGGAGGATTATGAAATAAGATAGTCTGTGAGAGGTTAGGAGGGGAGAGATTAGGAGAGCAGAGGTTAGGAGAGGGAAGATGCTTAAGGCTGAGAACTCTGAGATTTACACTGAGGACAAGGGCGAGCCATTAAAAAGTTGTAAAGTCGTAAGTGGGCGAGTATGACGAGATCGTATTTGCAAGAAAGTATGCAATACATTTTAAATACTTACATAAAACTATTGAAGCAAAAACCAACTTCTGGAATAATCCCCTCGGGTACCTTGGGTCTTGCAGCAGATGTCGGTTGATTTGCATGCGATGCTTGAGTTCCCTTCTCACCTGCCTCACCATCCATCACACCTGGAATATAGCGGTGTCTGAGCTTGCTGACCTTAGCCAGAAGGTGGGAGAGGCGGGGCACTGACCCAGGTGTAGGGCACCCAACGTCTAGGTGGAGCTGCGTTCCCTTTGTCTCTCCCCTTTGACGGCAGTCGCATGATGAAGGGCTCTGGTGATGAAGGGTGCTGTATGGAGGTAGCACCACACTGGAGCCACCCCCAGTGAAAGTAGAAATTAAGAACCGGCAGAGAAAGCCGCTCTGCAGAGAGAAGAGAAGCGCAGATGAGAGAGATTCAGGTGTCTTGGCGAGGGAAGGAACTGATGCCTGACTCAGAGTGAGGGAAACCAGACACAAACTGTCTAGAAATATTCAGTGCCCGTGGGGTCCAGCTCTGCCACAGAATATGTTTGTATGTATTACCTCTCGATGTGTTCAGGAACCCAGCGGCACTGGAGCTAATTTGCATGTAATTTGCATGCTTCTGATTCTTCCTTCGCCGCCATCCTTCACAAGTCAGAAATGGCCTGGAGAGCAGTTCCGCACGGGATAGGGAGTGTTTAACAAAGGAAGGACGGGGAAGTGTTTTTTTCTAACCAGGCCCACTACGAGGTTACAGTATTATTTAGAATTTCTTATTAATCTTTTAAATTTATTTATACTTCTCTTTCTTCATTTTTATTTTAATAGAGTAGGTCTAAGAGAGCCTTAATTTTGTGTAGCAGGCATTAATAAATATTTGTTGGCTGAATGAATATATTTTATTGCGCCTTAATTTAGTAATTTTATATTTTGAAAAGGATTTGAAAGAATGTTTGCCTACAGTAACAGAATTTGGAATATACATAGAGAAATCATAAAAAGCTGGAATCACGCAAAAAGTCGTATATCATAAAATATTCCGAATATTTGAGAGTAATGTGAAAGCATGGGGAATGTTTTGTGGTTAGTTATGTTTTTAAAATCCTTTTGAGTTTCATCCTGTCGTTATGAGAAATAACCTGGAAGATAGTATCTTAGTCATTTATTTCATTGACAGTGGGGAGTCTAATAAACAGTGGAGGAACTAAGTAAGACTTTTCCCCTGTCAATGATTTATGTGTTTATACAGGGGGAGATTAAAGTAACTGAATATGAAAAAAAATGTAAAAATTATCGATATTACCTTTAGCTACCTGTGGAGATCATGTACATATTCAAAAAGTTGTGAAACTATCTAAACCATTTTTTATAACTCATCATTTGGAAAGCCTGCCTACACTGCCGCCTGGGTTCTAGAACACCCCAGAAAACAGTGCTGGCTGAGTGTGTGCAGGCCAAGAGCTTGCTCCGTGCCCTGGGCTCTCAGATCTCAAGCCCGATCTCTCATCTTCTGTGTGCAGACATAACAAATGTATCATCAGTTCCTTCCAGAAATACATTATGTGTATCCTTCCAGAAATACATTATGCATAGAGAAGCAAATATGTAGCTAAAACACAGACCTATACATAGGCACTTTCCCCTTTCTCAACCCTTAAGGCACTACATGATATAAAATTTATATACATGAAGTTTGTAAGCTATTCCACATTTTTTTACACTTAATAACATATTAGTACTTGAGGAATGCTATGGTCTGAGTGTTTGCATCCCCTCCAAATACATACGTTTCCATTTGAATCCCCAGGGATCTCCTTTGAGAGGCGATTAGGCCATGGGGGTGGAGCCATTGCAAATGGGATTCGTGCCCTTATGGAGGAAGCCCCGGAGGGCTGGCTCTCCCCTCCCACCATGTGAAAACACAGCAAGAAGGCGCCATTTAGGTACCAGAAAGCAGGTCTTTACCAGACACTGATCTGAGACTTCCCAGGCTCCAACATTGTTAGAAATAAATTTCTGTGGTGAAAAGCCGCCCAGCTTATGGTATTTTGTTGTAGCAACCTGATGGGACTAAGGTAGGAAACATACTCACTTCTAAACATTTGTATAGAATTTTATTTTATGAATGTGATATAATTTATTTACCCAGAGTAAATAAATACTCGGATACTAAATATCTGAATTAGTGAGAGATATTTAGGTTATTTCTGATGTTTATAACAAATAATGATGTAAAGAAATACCTCACACCACATCACTTAACACACATGTAAATGTATTTGTAGAGGTAGTTGCTGGGTCAAAGGTTATACATATTATATTGATAATTAATGCCAAATTGCCCTCCTAAGAATCTGTCCCACTGTGTGTTGTCAAATTTTTCAGACTTGCTGATCTGAGAGGTGATAAGTTATCTTGGTACAGTTTTCATAATGAGTGAGGTTGAGCTTCTTTTCACACTATTAGTTCTTTCCATGTGAACTTTCTGTTCACTGCCTTTAACCATTTCTGCTTGAGTCTGTTGTTCTTCTTAATGCTTTGTAAATTTTTCTATGGATTAGGGAAGTTGGCCATTTGTGGCATGAGTTGAACAGGATGGTTCTCAGTTTGTCTTTTCACATTGCTTGTGGGAGATCTTACTCTTTTCTCAAATATTCAAATTTTTCAGTTGTGGTGTCTGATCTCATGACTGTCGCGGATAGTGGTGAATATCCATCTTTTGAGAAACAAGCAGAACAGATGAGATGTTGATGTTGTTTTGAACTAAAAAGAATATGGCTTCATCTTTAGCTGTGTTTGAAGACAATTCCCAAAGAGGAGCATTGACATGTGTTGAGCAATATCTTCAGCATGTAACTTCACGAGTCAATGGCGACAACTCCCCAGGATGACAATGGGGAGTGGCCATGCCCTTTTGTGCATATAAGCGATTGTATCTGTTAAAGTATTCTGCTGAATTAGCAGTCATGCAAAAGATCAGCAGGTACTCTCCACTGCGCAGAAGTGGGCTTGGCAGAGACACGAGTGTCTCGGGCAGAGGAAGTGGGTGCTGTGAGATGGGGTGGTACGGGGTGAGAAGGAACAGGGAAGGGGCTGGCCCCCTGTCCCAGGGCCACGAGGGGCTTTGAAGAGTTCAGGAGTGCTCTTTAAGGCAAGAGCAACAGGCTCTGTTGTAAACTTTATTTACACATTAAATAGAATAAATTTTATTTATTATTAGTTGAGGTCATTTGGGCAACGTCGCAGGTTGAATAGCGTCTTCCCAAAGGGTATGTGCGTGTCCCAATTTCTAGTGCACTGTGAACTCGACCTGATTTGGAGGCTGGGTCTTTCTTCGCAGCTATAATCAAGTTGAGATGATGCCATGCTGGACTGGGCAAGTCCTAAGGCATGAATGGGTGTCCTTGTAAGAAGAGAGGAATTTGGACACAGAGACACAGAGAGAGAGTGTCCTGTGACGGGGCGGAGACGGGAGCGGTGCAGCCGCAAGCCAAGGAGCACCGGCGACTGCCGGGAGACACTGAGGCCGGGGAGGCAGGGAACGGATTCTCGCTCACAGCCCGCAAGAAGGGGCCAACCCTGCGACACTTTGGTCTCTGACTTTTGATCTCCTGGATGGTGGCATGATACATTTCTGTTGTTTTCAGTCCCGGTTGCGGTACTTTATAATGGCAGCCCCCAGGAAACAGGTACCAGCCACAAGCATGAAAAACTGGCTCTGGCTAGCTCAAGCCAAACAAAACAAGACAGAAATACAAAATCAGAAAACAAGACAGCTTACAGGAACAAATAAGACCTTAGAAGGAAAGAAAGCTGGGAATGGCCTGGAGTTTGGGATCCACCCTGAGAGAATTCCTGTCCCGTGTTTGGTGAAGCTTCCCTGGCTGCCTGATGGCAAGCAGCTGACAGCGCATGAAGCTGCAGGCAGTTGTGATATTTGACTTGGTTTGGATCTGCGGTCTCCACCAAATCTCATGTCACCTGTAATCCCCAGTGTGGGAGGTGGGGCCTCCTGTAATCCCCAGCGTGGGAGTGGGGTCTAGTGGGAGGTGACTGGATCATGGGGGTGGGATTCTCACGAATGGGTTGTCATCATCCCCTCTGTGCTGTCCCCTTGGTGACAGTGAGTGAGTGAATTGCCCTGAGATCCGTTTTTAAAAGGTATACAGGGTGCACCTCCTGCCTGTCTCGTTGCTGCTCCTGCCACGTGAGACACCATGTGAGACGTTTGCTCCGCTTTGCCTTCGCCATGACTCAAAGCTTCCTGAGGCCTCCCCAGAAGCAGCAGCTGCCATGCTTCCTGTACAGCCTGCGGAACCGTGAGCCAATTAAACCTCTTTTCCGGCCAAGCGTGGTGGCTCACGCCTGTAATCCCAGCACTTTGGGAGGCCAAGGTGGGCAGATCACCTGAGGTCAGGAGTTTGAGACCAGCCTGGTCAACATGGTGAAGCCCCATCTCTACTAAAAATACAAAAATTAGTTGGGCGTGGTGTCGGGCACTCGTAATCCAGCTACTCGGGAGGCTGAAGCAGGAAAATCACTTGAACCTGGGAGATGGAGGTTGCATTGAGCCGAGATTGCACTATTGCACTCCAGCCTGGGCGACAAGAGCATCTCAAAAAAGCAAAAAACAAACAAAACAAAAACAACAAAAACACCTCTTTTCCTTACAAATTACCCAGCCTCAGACATTTTTTTATAGCAGTACAAGAATGGACTAATATAGTATTAAAAAGTGGAAACGACCGGGCAGCAGGTTGACATTTTGCTTGGTATTGCCGGCTCATGTTTCCGCTTCATGTCATTTGCATGGCGTTGCCGGCTGGGGGCTGAGGCGTGCAGCCAAGGACAGTGATGGTGGGATGAAGCGAAGAGGCTGGTTTTGGATTTTTTTTTCGGAGGTGTTCAATAGGAGGTGATGGTTGATTGGGTATAACATCAGGCTGCCTAACTTTGCCTCCCCAGGTAAACAGGCTTAACCATTGTTCAAGTCACAGCAAGCTTCAATTTGATTCTAGTAATTTGACTCGTAGCCAACCTATACAAATCCATGTCCCATTCTTAGATATATAAAATAATGCTTTGATAACTGAAAGAGGTTTAAGATGATAATTATAAAGATGGACCTAGTAGTTTTCTTTGTTTTAATTATGAAATATTTTGAACATACAGCAATGTAGACAAAATAATATAAGACATCTATGTGTCCCCCACTAAGATGAAATGGATGTGAGAGTTTGGTGTATTTGCCTCAGGTCTGTATTCTTTTCTTTCTTTTCTTTCTTTCTTTCTTTCTTTCTTTCTTTCTTTCTTTCTTTCTTTCTTTCCTTCTTTCTTTTCTCTTTCTTTCTTTCTTTCTTTCTCTCTCTTTCTTCCTTCCTTCCTTCCTTTCTTTCCTTCCTTTCTTTTTTTAATAAATAGCAACACTGAAAAAGCTGAAGCTCATTAATTCCTGCTCTCATTCTCTCCTCTGAGAAATAATCACTCTTCTGAAGTAAGTGAGTACCATGATCAGGCAAGCTTTTGCACTTGTATGATACTTGTTTGCTTCTAAAAATATCCCATACTTTGTGCTTTCCAGGTATTCTGTGTGTTTAAAACACATAAATTGCATTAGCCTATATGTGCCTTTATGTCACTTGCTTTTTGTTTCACATTTTGCTTTTGAGATGTAGCTGCTATGCACAGGTAGCTCCAGCTCACCCATCATGACAGCTGTCGTGTATGCTATTACGTGGATAAACCCTAGCGTCTGTCTTCCTCTGCTATGGACAGTCAGGGTTTTTCCACTTTTGAATGCTAAAGAGTCTGCTGCAGTGAACACTGTAGCTTCTGTCTCCCTTGTTCTCTGGGGCTTCTTTATTCATTACTAATTTTACTGATTGCTCACTTAGCTTCTTCTTTTGAAGCTCAGTGCCCATCTTTTTTCCTGACATATGTATTGATGACTACGAGTCTCTTTCCATCCTTGCATTATCCCACATGGATTTCATTTCTGCTCACTTAAAATAATCATTTTCTTTTTGGCTTTTTCTTTGGCCCTGATTTTGTGTGTGTGTAAAAGTATGTGTTTATATGTGTGATGTCCACATGTACATAGGGCAGGCTGTAGTTATCTTTTTGTCATAATTTTCTAATTTTATAGCCTCATGGTGGATGTGCTTCATTTGATCCCAATTCTTGGGTATTTGTTGAGAATTGCTTTGTGGTCTGCTTTGCAGGTGGTTTTTATAACCGTTCTTAGTGTGCAGGGAAAGAATGTGTGCTTTCAAATTGTGGAATGCAAGGTTCTTTACATTCTATTACATTAAAACGTCTTAGCTGTGCAGTGTCCATCTTCTTTAGTCATACTAATGTTTAAACATTTTGTTTAAAATATATTTTGGACATACAGAAAAGCTGTGAAAATAGTACAGAGATTTCTGGTATACTGGTGACCCAGCTTTCTAATATGAAGGACATACCTAACTGTTGTACAACATGGAAACCAAGGAACTCACTTTGGCACCTGCTATGAAGCCCTCCACAGACCTTACTCAGATCCCTTCAGTTGTCCTACTAATGGCCTTTTCTGGGGCAACATCCGGCTTAGGATTAGGTGAATGAGTTGCCTTGTCTTTTTCTGTCTTCTAATCCAGTGGTCCCCAACCATTTTGGCACCAGGGACAGGTTTTGTGGAAGACAATTTTTCCATGGATGGGGGTCTGGGGGATGTTTCCAGGATGAAACTGTTCCACCTCAGATCATCAGGCATTAGGTTCTCATAAGGAGTGCATGACCTAGGTCCCTCACAATAGGGTCTGGCCTCCTATGAGAATCGAATGCTGCCACTGATCTGATGGGAGGCAGAGCTCAGGTGGTAATGCTCCTTGGCCTGCCACTCAACTCTTGCTGTGTGGCCTGATTTCTAACAGGCCACGGACCAGGGATTGGGGACCCCTGTTCTTATTTGTGACAGTGTCTGAATCTTTCTTTTTTAAGATCTTCAGGTTTTTGAGGGCTACTGGCCAGTTATTTTGTAGAATGTTCATGTGCTGGGCTGAAAGGTGGCCTCCAAAAATCCATGTTCACCTGGAACCTCTGAATGTTACCTTATTTGGAAATAGGTGTAATTAACCAAGATGAGGTCATCCTGGATTTGGATGGGCCCCAAGGCAATGGCTGGTGTCTTCACACAAAGGGGGAAATGTGGCACATACACACACATAGCTTAGGACACCACGCGCTGACAGAGGCAGAGGTGGGAGCGAGGCTGTCACTAACGAAGGAACGCAGGTACTGCCTGGAGCTGGGGAGGAAGGACAGGTCCTCCCTCAGAGCCTTCAGAGGGAAGGCGGCCCTTACACCTGACCTCAGACCTCGGGCCTCCAGAACTGTGGGGGAATACATTCCTGTTGTTTTATGACAGAATTTCAGCTTTTTTTTTTTTTTTTTTTTTGCTTATTCATGATTAGAATGTATGTATATTTTTATATGAATAACACTAATTTTTTGATCATTTGATCTATTGTGTTATATGAAGATGTGGTTAAAAGGCTATTATTGTAGTAAATATCTGCTATGGTCCAAATACCTGTATTGCCCCTAAATTCATGTTAAAATCCTAACCCTCAAAGGGATGGTAGTAGGACATGGGTTGGAAGGGGATTAGATCAGGAGGGTGGAGCCCTCATGAATGGGATGAATGGCCTCATGAAAGAGGCCCCAGAGAGCTGCTCTGCACCTTCCACCATGTGGGGATGCAGTGGGAAGATGCTGTTTATGAACTGGAACATGAAATCGCTGGTGTGTTGGACTTCCCAGCCTCTCACATCGTGAGAAATTTATTTATGCTATTTATATGCAGTCCAGTTTATGCTATTTTGTTTTGGCAGCCAGAGTGCACTAAGATGAAGAGTCTGAAAACAGAGATTGATAGATGAGGACTTTGCTTACTTGCCCTATATTTAAACATTTTCTGACAGCTGGGTTTACTAACGTCCTCCAGTGTGTTCTGATTTTTTTTTTTTTTTTTTTGAGGCAGAATCTTGCTCTGTTGCCCAGGCTGGAGTGCAATGGCATGATCTTGGCTCACTGCAACCTCCGCCTCCTGGGTTCAAGTGATTCTCCTGCCTCAGCCTCCCGAGTAGCTGGGATTACAGGCACCCACCACCACGCCTGCTAATTTTTGTATTTTTTAGTCGAGATGGGGTTTCACCGTGTTGGTCAGGCTGGTCTCAAACTCCTGACCTCAGGTGATCCACCTGCCTTGGCCTCTCAAAGTGCTGGGATTACAGGCATGAGCCACCATGCCTGACCCGGGTTCTGATTTTATTTTTAAAGTGTACTTGTGGCATTTAACCATTTGCGGATACTCTTCATTCTATATGCGTTGCATATTCCCCAAATTGTGATTAATAAAGACATACAAAGTGTCTATTCTTTTTTGTTTTTTTGAGATGGAGTCTGGCTCTGTCGCCCAGGCTGGAGTGCAGTGGCACAACCTCGGCTCACACAAAGTGTCTATTCTTAAATCTTCACATCTGAGGTGACTAGAAGAGTATATTTAGGAATGGGACTTTAGAAAACGTGACGGCGAATCTGGATGAGAACTAATTAGTGCAACTCAGCATTGCAGTGGAGGTCAGTCACAGCATTAGGAAAGAGGCAGGAATTCCAAGCTCTGATTTTGCTGCTATGTAACTGGGGTGCATGTATATTTACCCATTTCTAATTCATTTCCCCTGTCACCCAGAATCTTCATACAAGGACTCATGGAAAGTCATTTATTTTAGGTATTCTCAGTCATCACTGGGCAAAGTTAACCTATGAAAGTCGGTTAATTTCCTTGTGTGTGTGCATCAAGTTCCCATCGTTTAAACGACAGGCTTGAACTTGATTTTCTATCTGCAGGGTCTCTTTCGGCTCTGGATTCTTAGGAATTTACGATCCTGAAGAAGGCGGTGTTTAGGCGCAGGCCACTGCGATCACCACTTTCTTATTCTGTTGTGTAATTATGGTTTCCTGAGAAAAGCGCTTCCTCCTTTCAGGCAGTCCCCTTTAACATGCAAATTTCGATGTTTCAGAATGATCTCCCTTTAATCCTAAGACTACAAAGTAAGACACCAGGAGGATGAATTATACGATGGGTTTTGGAGGCATTTTTAGCATGTCCTTCACTTAGAAATAATAGACTAATAATAGAAAGTAAGTCCCATCCAAACACAACAGAAAACCATACATTCAAATAACATGTCCAGCGCGTGAATTGTTGGCTGGTTCTGTGGCCAGAACAAGTGATTAAAAATTGAGAAACTGAAATAGTTTAAGATGAAAAATTGTGAAACTCAGGACATAAATACAATTTTTTTTGTACATTGGATTAGACAAAGACTTGAATTCTACTTATAAGTAGTGTTATTTGTTTAAAACATGCTAAATTTCTTTGTGTTGTAAATATTGGCACTAGATAAGAATGGCATAGCAGCCCAAACTCCAGACTTTAAAAGGCGGAGGGAAAGCTAATTTATCAATAATTATGGACAATTGACAATTAGAGATATTAGTCTCACCTGTGCATCAAAACCAGTTTTTTTTTTTTATTTTTTTATTTTTTTTTATTTTTATTTTTATTTTTTTATTTTTTTTTATTTTTATTGACATCAGTGAAGACTTTGGCATTTCCACGTGCAACATTCAGCTCAGTCTTCTTCTCAGCTGTCTTATTAGCAGCTGACAAGCTTGATCATCAGACCCTTTAGTGAATTACTTTCTTCACTTCGATAATTTTGAACTTTTACCTGAGACCTGTTCTCCCACATAATAGCAGGGCTGGAGAAATCCCCGCAGTGTTTTGCATAATGGGAAATGACTAAACACGTTCTCAGTTAAGTGCAACTTCCACTCTTCCTCAGAACTAATAGGATATATGTGTACATGAAAGGGAGTTTATTAAGGAGAACGGACTCACAGGATCACAAGGTGAAGTCCCATGAAAGTCTGCCTCCAAGTCGAGGAGCAAGGAAGCCAGTGGTGGCTCAGTCCGAGGAGTCCCAAAACCTCAAAAGTCGGGAAGCCGACAGCGCAGCCTTCAGTCTGTGGCCAAAGGCCCGAGAGCCCCTGGCAAACCACTCTTGATGTAAGTCAATTCCCCTTAATAAACTCCCTTTTCATATATACATAGATCCTATGAGTTCTGTCCCTCTAGAGAACCCTGGCTAATGCACTAAGTAGGTTGGTAAAATGCTCAGGTCCTGCATGCCCTTAAATCAGAGGTGACCAGGAGTATGGACAATATCTCTCAAAATATCAACAGTCTAGCTTCAAGAAACTTATTTAACGCTACTGAATGAAGAGTTTATTTATTAGGAATTCAGTAAGTGTCTGTGAATCCATGACGGGATGAGCAATTTCCTGTAGGTGAAGACACAGACTCCACAGGGTGGGGCTTCTGGCTGGCTCCTGGATAAATACGCAGCACCTGGAATGCCACCTAGCACACAGCGGTGCCTCAGTAAATAATGCTGGAATGAGTTAAAGTCGGTGAAACAAAATCATTTTTAGTAATCTATCTGCTCAGACTTTTATTAGCAAGTGAAAGAAACCCAACTTGAATAAGATAAGTGAAAAGGAGACAATGAAATTTAATAAAACAATGAAATCATGCCAGGGTTCATCTTCGTCCTTTGCCACAGAAGCCAGGGTAGCTGCGTGGGGGGCCATGATGCCTGTGGGCCTGAGGCTCATCAGAACTGGAACACCAGCGCTGTAGGAAATTCTCCCTCATCCTGGCCCCACTGGCCCCTATCGCTCCAGCGCCTGCCTTCCTCCCTGGCTGCTGAGAGCTTCCTAGACTTTTATTGCCTAGCCACAGTCAAAAAGAGAGAGGGCTCCCCCTCCTTCACTGCCCAAGTCTACACGTTCAGGGAATGGGGCACACTTTAGTAACAGTCAGGCTGAGCCCTGCAGTCACGCAGTCTTGAGTCAGGCCCAAGCCCATAACCAATCCTGGGAACAAAGCACACAGGAGTCGTATGGATGCAATGCACGTGGATGTAGCTTCCAGGAAACAGGCCGTGCTGCTCCCAGAACTGGTGGTGCTGGGCAGACAGCACACGTACGCCACGGGCAGACCTCCTGGAGACACTGTGGGTGAAAGGTAAATACTTTCATGAAGTGAATCATTTCTTTATCTCTCTGGGGATTACTCTTCTTGGTGGGCACAGGGAGAAACCATGTTGCCTGGAGTAGGGTGCTCCTTGAGGCTCCACTGAGGTTTTCCCTGCCTCTGGATGGGGGACTGATGATCTTGGTTTGAAAGTCTTTCCAGCCAGAACTCTTTCTGTCATGCTCCACTGGGACACACTGTTAGGGACTCAACAAGCATTTGTTCAAGCATCAGAATGGAGCCTGAGGGACCTAGATAGCATCATTCTATTTTAAAATTAGCTTTACTGAGATTAATTTATATGCCATAAAATTCCACCTTTTGAAGTATACAGTTCATTCAGTGATTTTTAATATATTTCCATCACTGTAATCTATTTTTTTTTTTTTTTTGAGACAGAGTCTTGCTCTGTGGCCCAGGCTGGAGTGCAGTGGTGCCATCTCGGCTCTGGGGACGCAGTGTGGTGGTTTGTGTTTCAGAAGAGGTCTCGTTGTTGAGGGAACATTTGAGAAAGATGAGACCGGAGGCAGAAAAATGATTGGGACACTTTCACAGAATTCTTGGGGGAAAATGATAAAAGTCCGTGGGTCAGTGGCTACGGAGACAGAGATGGGGTGACTCACCTCTCCCAGTGATGGAGACCAAAGCTCCTGGCGTCCAGGACAGGCAGGGTTCAGAGAATGTGGGAGTGGGCCCTGCATACTTAAAACAAATGCTAGCAAAAGAACACAAGGATCCCCAGGTATGCAAGTTGAATATTTGAAGTTTCGGCCTTTCACGGATGGGCTTCTCTTCTCAGAGACATCAGCCCCTGCTGCCGGCTGCCCCTCTTCCTCAAGCCTCGCTTCCCACCTCCGCTCTCTGGCCGCTCCCACCCCACGCACTCACAGTTAATCCGTCAGCTGGGCTGCCTGAGCCCCTCTTGCCTCACTCATTGTCCCACCTGCTCTAGCTGTGCTGGAGAGCCCGCCTTTCTGATGAGACGGGCTCCTCTGGTTGGCGTGTTGTGCACAGAAGTCCCTCTCTGCCGGAGGAAGGGCATCAAGGTTAACTCATCCAGACCCGGTGAAGCAACTCCGCAGGCACCTCCTGCAGCAGGACACGGCTAGGTGAGGCCGGGAGGGGCTGGGGGAGGTTTCAGCCCATTCACCTGCAGCCTCATCTCACTCCCCGTTTCCCAGGGAGGACCTGCTGCACAGTAAAGCTGTTTCCCCGTCTGGTGGAAGGCGCCCGTCAACAAGTGGCCACAACGCGGCATTTTGAACTGTAAGATCTCTGGGTTGAACGTGTCCGGCAGTCAGTCAGTTGGCAGGGAGGCTGAGGAGCCTTGGAACAGCTCCAGGGCAGTGGTGGAAGGACGCACCAGAGGAGCGGTGGGGATGTCTGTGGAAGTGCAGCGCTTGACCTCGCTGGAGTTGTCGGTGTTTTTGTTGTCTTGGGCATGAATGTTCATGACAGCCACATTCATAGTATCTCCAAAAGGGAGCAACCCACATGTCTCCCAACAGGTGAAGGAATATGCACAGCTCTGTGTGTCCACACGGTGAACGGTGCTCAGTAGTGAGCAGAGACGAGCTCCTCACCTATGCAGCGCAGGAAGGAAACTCACAATCATCGTGCTGAGTGACAGGAGCCAGGCCCAGAGGAGCTCTCGCTGCACGAGGCCAGGTGCGTGAAGTGCTAGAAAACACAAACTCATTTACGGTGGCAGAAAGAGGATCGATGGTTTTCTGGTCAGTATTTTTAAAACAGAGTTTAAGGGAATAAAGCTCCCTTCCACCCAGGATTTCCGCAGAATGGAAATAGAATGGCGCGGGAAGGGTGTGTGTGTGTGACAATTTATAAAACTATCCATAAACCAGGCGTAGCCAGCTCTTCTCATCTTGGGGGAGGATCCTGGACCCGCTACCCCACCGCGTTTTACTCATGCAGTGTGGACGCAGGAAGGCCCCTCTGCAGAGCGCGGTGTGCCCACCGCCATGTCTAAGGAAATGAGTAGACAGGGGCACGTGGGGCTCCTGGGAGGCGGAAAAGCAGACAGCAGCTTCCTGATGAGGTGACACCCGCTTCTCAGGCTGGGAGGCTGCCAGGGCTGTGGTGAATTTCTAGAAGGGAGGGGACCATGGTGCTGGGCACAGTCTACATTCCAGTCACGTCTGAATGGCTTCTTGTGTGTCCTTTAACTTGATTCTCACAGCAGTTCACTCTTCAGGGGCCCCCTGCCTGGGTTGGATCTGACCCCCTCCTACCTGGGAGGGGTTTTGGCTTTTGCCTCACTTCTCTGCACCTGTTTCCTTACCTGTAAAATGGGAAGGCGATGGCGAGTACCCAACAGGAATGCCGTGAGGATTGCGCGAGCTCATATTCTGGGGCCGACAGAACCACGCCTCCTTCAGGGTTGCGTGTCCAAGTACTTGTGGAATAAGTTAACCTGCCCAGTGAACACTGTGACCACTTCTCAGGTGACATCCACTGGTGCAGCGAGGTTCTGGCCCTCAAGGGGACCTAGCAGAGGAGACAGTGAGCAGATATCCTGCAGCCTTCACTGTGCCTGGATGCAGGAAAGCACAGATGCTGGAGGCTCCACAGGGGTCCTCAACACCCCGAGGAAGGGGTCACCAGGCCCCTGGGATGGTGGGTCACCCTATGAGGCTGGGGGAAGGCTGGTCCCGAGGAGATGGTGAGGTAGAGCAGGAGGAGCATCCCAGGGCAAAGGACCGGATGGCAGAAGATCAGGGGGTGAAGGGGAGGGCGTCTGGTTTAGGAGCCGAGTGGAGACCGCAAGCCTGGGCGTGCTGTCAGGACCAGCCTGGCAGTGCAGCTGGTGCTCATGGTGGGCGTGGAGGATGGGAACCAGGGACAGGCGTGTGAAGCGGGGTCAGAGAGCAGGGGCTTAGGGCAGAGCTGCTTGGCCCTCAGCATCCCCCCAGGTGGCAGAGGAGCCTTGAAATAAGCATTCCAGAGCTCCCATGCCGGGAATCAAATGAAATCATTCTGGGTGTGGCCAGAGTGTGCAGATGTCCCAGGCCCCCGAGGGATGCATGAGTTCATCGGGAGTCAAAGCAAAGCCTGCGCTGGACGGAGTTAAGCCAGCGGGGAGACTTTATTCTTGAAGGCGATTGCAGTAGGCGAGAGAGGCAGAGGCTGTCTGAGCTCAGTTCTGTGGACCGAGGGTGAGAGGGTGGAGTTTGTAAGAGCTGGGGTCTGGGTCTAGGCCATCTGTATTTCCTGAATGGCCCTCCCTGAAGGAAGAGCGAACTTTCTCCTGCATTCATCACAGGAGGGATGGAGGGAATCGCATGGCTTGAAGAGAAATGAGACTTGGAGAGAAGTGCGCCTTGAGGTTAGGGTCTGCCTCCCACCTTCCTCCCACAGAGACCGGACGTGGCCACTGTCTTCCTCCGTGATTATGTTTCAAAGGAATGACCGGCCTCCAGATCACTGAGAAAGACACTCCCTGGGCCTTACAACTGGCAAGATATGTCACAAAAGGCTTACATCTCCTTTCTCTGCCCCTTGTAAGGGGCAGAGAAAGAATTTACAATGACAAGTTTTTCTAACGCAAATGCTCCAAGAAAAGGCAGGTGGAGGTGAGAGTCAGGAAGAAGCTTGGCTGAAGTTTAGTCAAGGTTAGGGGCAGGGTGGGGCGTCTCTGTCACAGGATTGAGAACCGAGTGCCAGGCCAAGGATGAAGATTAGCGGGCATCTGGGAGGAGACCACCAGGTTCTAAGCTACAGGGCAGCCTTGGGTAGTAGGATCCAGAGCTTGGAGGGGGGCGCGTGTGGGGGCAGCCCGGGAAGGTGCAGGTCCCAGGCCTGAGGGCTGCTGGGGGCAGCTGGGGAGTGTGATGCCCCTTCCCCTGCTCAGGTGAGGAAGAAAGGCATCCTGGGTGTCCCCCGCATGGTGCCCCTGAGTGGACAGGTGTTAGAGGTGCTGATTGAGAGGCGCTGGTGCTGTGAGGGGCTTGGCGGTCGTGGCTGAGTCAGTGATGTGGACGTCACTTCCAGACCTTTGTCACCAAAGCAAGGCCCTGCTCACCAGCTGATTAACTGGCAGGACGGGGAGTGCAGCTTTGAAAATCAACTCCCATTCCCATCACTGGCACCAGGCACTAGATGAGATGCCAGGTGGTGTGTTTGTAGAAGGTTGGCAAAGCATGTTTCGTATTTATCTGCAAAAACCTTAAAGTCTGTGTTGAGAAGGGATGAAGGATATCGGGACACATGAAACTGTATTTTATCCTCTTCCCTGTGATTTTACTGGGCTAGTGATCACAAAAGCGCTGCTCTGTAGGACCTGGATTTTAATTGCAGACTTAATCAGATCAGCGGGCACTTGGGAACACTTACTGAAGTGAAAAAAGACAATTCAAAGATTCATTGAGTATTTCCTGGGATATTTATAAATAAAGAAATAAAAAACTACTTTAACTCAAACGTTAAGAATCGAATTAACTCAATTTTGGCCAAGCATTCATGCAATGTTCCTTAGGAAGTTTTCTGCCACAGATGTTTATGATTTTAGTTTTAGGACCACAGAAAGCTTTCTGCCCAGATGTTTATGATTTTATTCTTGGGAATGAAATGAACAACCTACCGGAGTTTGAGTCACTTTCAAATTAAGCCGTGAACCTTGGGAGGCAGAAGTCCTGCAGGGTGATAGTTAGGCAAAGTTTTTCATTGTTTCCTCCCAAAGACCTGCAGAGAATCTGCTTCGCTCCTTTAGAATGTCCTGACCTCATTGTACCATTTTCCAGCTTCATGCCTGTCTGTGCCTGATGCTGCTGGGGGCTCTGTTTCTGCCTCTCACCACTCTGCCCACCCCTTTCCTTTGGGGAACACTTTCTCCCAGCCCAGTGATTCAAATGGAATTGCCAGTAGTGGACTCTGTTACGGCAGTCCCCGGGGAGCCTGTGCCGCAGGTCTGGCTGGTCCCACCGCTCTTCCCCACCCAAGGATCAGCCCAGGTGGGTGTGAAGCCCAGACTAGGCAGTCAGAGTCCTTTCCTGGAATCATGTGGAGCTACAGGAGAAGGGAGAAGCCTTATTTGTAGGTGTGTGCTTGTGTGTGTGTGAAAAAAACTTCCATGGAAATTGGAAGATAAAATTCTGAAGATCCTAGAGGCTATTTTCCTTTTAAAAGAGAGAAAGGTTATCTGAGTATAAAAGAATTGCTTTAGGCAGAGAGCAAGCGGTAAAAGCAACAGAAAACAACAGTGGGAATCCAGAAGACATCACTTCAGTTCCTGGATTCAGCTGGGCCTGCATCTGTCCTGACCAAGGATGCACTGGTCATGTGAAGACAGACCGTTTAATCTGGCTTACTCTACATGAAATCAGTTTCTTTCATTTACAACTGCAAAAGTCCTAACTCGAACAATTGCCTTACTCCTCAATAATAATGATAATGACGGCATTAAGTGTAAGAAAACTGCAGTGGCAGCTAATATTGAGGAGGTTCTCACTGGGTACCAGGCAGTGTGCTTCACGATTTACAGGTGAGCTTTCACTTACTCTTCATAACACACTTCACAGCTGAGAAAAATGAAGTTGGAGCTCTTGCCCAAGGCCACAGCACACATAAGCCGTAGTTCCAGAATCCGTCTGTTGCTGACCTTGTTTTTAATTGCTGTTTTATGTGTCTCCTTAAAGGCTGTGTTTACCCTTCTCATTTACTGATTTATACCAGCACCACCTGCCCCCCGACTCCCCCAATCCCACCATCGCCCAGAAGGTGATAAATAAGTGCTGATTGAATGGCTGTATTTGAACCTGCTGGTGACAGGGTTGGTAGATGTTTCCTGCCCATAAGATATTAATAACCAGCGCTAGGAATCCTTTCCTTTGTGTCGGGGGCTGTACTTACACCTCATTTCGTGCTCCTGGAAGGAGACAGCACTGCCTCCATTTGGGGTGGTCACAGACAGCTGGGCCCTGGAGGTCCAGAGTTAAGTGGCCAGCTGCTAGCAGAGAGCTGGGCCTCCTGCGCTGCCAAAGCGGGTGGTTTTCTTGTCACAGCATTGGAGGAGAGAAGAGACGTGAGTAGGATTCTGAGCGCTCTGCACACACCGAGTACTTTACGTGCTGTCTGTTTGTCAGAATGATCCCGAGAGTGAGTTTTCTGCTACCAACTTTATAGATGAGGACTCGGAGGCTGAGAGAGGCTGGGCACCGGGCCCATGTCCCGCACTAGTGGCAGGGGAGCTGGGATTTGCAGCCAGGGGTGGCTGGCCTGAGGCTCCCTGGTGTTATTCTATGCCCCAGAGTAGAGGCGGTGGGAAGGCCGTTGTGGGGGTGGTTGACTGTCATCCTGCTGCCCTTGGGAACATGAATGTTGAGAAGCTGCTAACTGTGCTCCAGCCGTGCGTGAGGAGAGAGGCTGCTGGCTGCCACCTGTGAGGCCTGATGGGCAGTCACGGCCCAGGGGGTTTTGCCAAGGCCTGGGGTTTGGCCTCACGCTGCAGGGGGAGCCCGGTTTCAGCGAGAGCCAAGCCCCTCTCAAGGGTTCTGCAGTGGAGGAGCCGTACCGATGAGGACTGTGGCTTGAGAATAGACTCAGCTCTGAGCGTTTCTCATCATCCTGGCTTCTGCCACCATCTAATCTAAGCACCATGGTTTCCCGCCTGGATGACAGCCCTCCCGGGCCTTCTGCCTCACTGCCCCTGCCTTGAAAGGAAATGAGATCACGTGAGCTCACACAGTGGTGGGACGCATATTCTCTGGGGTCTACAGCACCTTAACCCACTGGGAACAATTGTCTTCACATTGCCAATCTGACCGTGAGCTCTCGGAGGGCCGCGCTGCGTCTTCTACTTTTCAAATCCCCAGTTTCTAGAACAGTTGGCAATTATAGTAGGTGCGCAATAGCTGTGTGTGAATTCATGGAAAATGGTCAGACCTGTAGAGAGCTGAGTGACAGTGGCCAGCGACGGTGCTGTTCAGAGAGGTCATCATCACGTGGGTCTCCTTCCACTCAAGTGAAGAAATCCTTGGCCATGTTTCTAAGACTCAGGTTTATCATTTTAATAATTATTCTTTGGGTTACTTTGAGATTTTTTAATTAAAAAAGATGCCTTATGTAAGAGTTCAAACTCTTATTTTTGGGGGTAGGAATATTCACATTTTTATCCTGGTACTACTTCTGGTATACCTGGTATGGACATGCTAACTTACCATTGGATTCAGCGGCTCTAACTTATTAGTGGGTCAATTTCTTTGTAAGATTATTGACACTAGAGGTACGGATAATATAATATTTATTAAGCCACTATTTATGTTTATCAAATGCTCATTCTGGACAAGGCACTCTGCTGCATGTTGGATTAGCAGGGACTAGCAATTATACAGGACTCCATATACTATGGAAGATGCAGACCCCAAAGACATTCTCTGGGACCTGATGAGTGGACTCTTGAGGTGGGCGCCACACCAGCAGCAGGAGTGGCTGCAGAGAGGGGGTGTCTGGAGAGCAGGGCAGTCCCGAAATGGGGTTCCTCACCCTTGCTCTTCTGATGCAGGGCTGTATCCTTCTCCGTGTGTGTGTGTGTGTGTGTGTGTGTGTGTATGTGTTGGTAGGGGGTGGACCTGTGCCTTGCAGGACATGTGGCTGCATCCCTGACCTCCACCTACCCATCACGAAAACCACCAAGGCCTCCAGGCTGGCAAAATGTCCCATGGGGACGAAGTTGCCCTAAATCGAGAATCAGTGTCTGAAACATCCCTGGACACATTGTGCTGTGTTGCTGCTTCCTGCAGAAGCCAGAGCTTTGTTCTCAGACTTGTAGCTTTGAGAGAAGGATTTTCTTTTTATTTTTCTTTCTTTTTCTTATTTTTTTAGAGACAGGGTCTCACTCTGTTGTCCAGGCTGGAGTGCAGTCGTTCGATCTCAGCTCACTGCAGCCTCGACCTCCCAGGCTCAAGCAATCCTCCCACCTCAGCCTCCTGAGTAGCCAGGACTAGAGGCACACACCACCATGCCCAGCTAATGTTTTAATTTTTTATTTGTAGAGATGGGATTTTGCCAGAGAGAGGCATTTTCTTGCTTCATAAAGAAGGATGGACCATTCATCTGGTTCTAGTGAATAAGCTGTAATTCACCAGGGATCCTTCTGTTATCCAGCAGCCCAATTTATTGCTTTGCTGAGTGCAGGGCTGAGAAGCCGAAGGACACAAAGCTCTCATCTACGGGATTAGGATCAGATGCCTAAGTGTGAACTCTCCAAGCCTCATGTGTTGTTGCCATGGCAGTTCTACTCAAGAGACCTTTTCGGACAGAAAAGAAGAGTACTTGCTCTGGAGGGAACTTGAATCCTTGTGCCAGTTCCCCGAGGCCAGCGGCTGGTGCGGGAGGCCGCTTCTGAGTAGAGGAGAAAGTTGCCTGTTGAACATTCAGTCGGCACCAAGGCAGGCAGGTGGTTTTAAGAGAAAATCTTCTCAAAGGCAGATGAGCCCTTGTCTTTACAATCAACATATTTAATTTTAGTGGCAAATTTATCCTAATTACATTAATAATGGGCCCCTTTACTCTTGTAGGATATAAATTGGACATGATAGTATTGAGTTCATAGGGTTGTGATGGGAATTTAATGAGATTATGTGGGTTATACCTATCTACATTGACTTAGAAATTATTTTCTCAGAAATTAAAACAGGATAATTTATTAATATATTTAAAACCAATAATTATAAGCCTGTTGCATGTAAACAGTCATAATATCTATTTTTTATGGAAAATAATTATATCTTTTGAAACAAAATCAGTGATGAGTGACTATTATGTTTTTATGATGTCTAGCTTAACAGGAGACAGCTGGATTCTTGTAGCTGCCCCTGCCTTTAATCTGCCATGATCGTTCTGGCTGAAGTATATGGAGAAAATTCAACCCCATATAGATGAGTAGTTGGAAAAGGGAGAGTTAATAACCTTTTCCTGTGATTGTGGATGTTTTCCTTATCTGTACCAAAACTAGACAAGTGATAGCTTCTTAATGATTAATTGCAACATGAAATCTGAGACCACATTAACAAACTTTTAAAACTTTTATATTAAAATTCATTTGTCATTCTTACTCTTTGAATTCATCTTGTTTCCCTGCAATTATACAATTTATAACATCAAGCATTTGTCATTTAGAAAATTCATTCCACCAAATTGTGCAGATCTTCCAAATATTGACGAATATCATGAATTTTTATCATTAAAAATCACATTCCTTAATATCCCCATTGATTGTATCAGAAAACACTTTATCTGAAATCTGTCAAGTGCTCAGAGGCAGATAGACATTTTCCAAAATTCAGATTTTCACTCTAGACCTTGAGTTGTGTTCTTGGCAAGAGATGGTGTCAGTTGTGTTCCTTGAGGTGATGGGCTCCCTGCATTCATTTCTGAGAAAATACCAGCCATAAACTCAAGTCTGGATTCCCTTAGGTTGTCCATTATCCTACTTCCAGTAAAAACCGTCCCATTGGCCAGGCGTGGTGGCTCACGCCTGTAATCTCAGCACTTTGGGAGGCCAAGGCGGGCGGATCCCCTGAGGTCAGGAGTTCAAGACCAGCCTGGCCAACATGGTGAAACCCCATCTCTACGAAAATACAAAAATTAGGCGGGCATGATGGCGGGTGCCTGTAATCCCAGCTACTCGGGAGGCTGAGGCAGGAGAATCGCTTGAACCTGGGAGGTGGAGCTTGCGGTGACCCGAGATTGCGCCTCTGCACTCCAGCCTGAGCAACAGAGCAAGACTCTGTCTCAAAAACAAACAAACAAACAAAAAACCCAAACTGTCCCGTGAGTAAAGCTTTTCTCTGAGATGACCACAAACTTCCATCTGCAGCAGACGTGCTCTTTGTGCCCTTCCAGTTTGTGATAAAGAGTTTTGGAAAAACATGCATTGAAGAGATGAGGCTTAATACAATTCACAGTTTATGCTGCTTCTTCAGGGACAGTCTTTAAAGAAAGTGGCACTTCTTTCACAGGTAAGTCTGTGGGGGCCAAGAAGACAACAATCACTGCGGCAGGTCAGTGCCACGCTTCATATCATGCTAAAGAATGAGCAATTTTACCCGTCATTTCTTTGGAACCATTAGTACAAATATCAACACAATAAGAAGGATAAATAACACCTTAATATTCTGATGAAAATGGTTTTGATCTTGTGGACTCACAAGTCCCTTCCAGGGACTCTCGGATGTCTGTAGCCCACACTTTGAGAACTGATGGATTAGGGTAACAAAGAAGGAGGCAAAGAAATGATTCTGGGTGTGTTTGGGAGCCCATAGGACTTGCTGATGAACGTGAACGTGAGAGCAAGAGATGCATATATTTATGGACCATTTTCATCTAATTAAAATAGCATATGACTCTAATTCTCTTCCGGGTCTGTACATCTTCAGAGTAGAAACCTCTGAGATGTGAGCTTTCAGTAGAGCCCTCCAGACGCCAAGTGCGTGGATGCTAACTTCAAACTCTCTGTGAAGAAACCCTTTGGTAAGGATTTTAGATGAAATCTTCTCATTGTCTTTCATTTAAGCTGTGTCTGATTAGACCATCCTCGTCTCTGGGCAACACACTGGATTCTTGCACCACCACCACCTGTTCTCATAATAGCCGATTGCTATAAAACCGTGACAGCTGCGTAGGCCCGGGGCCCTTTCACGGTGCTGTAGCCGAGTGCTGGTGCTCCTAATTGCTGGAGAACTTGAGCACAGTTAAACTCTCTGCTGGTTGCATTTATAGTAAAAATCAGCAAGGAAAACAAATTACACTAAACCTAGGCAGTGTCTCATTTATTGTTCTGCTTATTTTGTTTATAATGTTCTCTTAAAAAATCCTTGCTTTTAGCTGGAAAGCAGTAGGATTTGGCAGAAACAAGGAGCTTTCCAGCCTCTAACAAGGCTCTCCACTTTGCCTCCTGCTCTGGCAGGCATTGCTCAGTGATCACTGGAGTGTCTACATCAGTCCCGGCCTTGGCTCAGCATTACAGAGGAGGGCCCTGTCAAATGAAACTCAAACTGTGCAAAAGTCATCCACAGAGGGCTACGTGTGGAGGCCAATGAACCACCTGGGAAGTTTTTCCAGTAAAACAGACCATGGACGTTGGTAGCTTGGCCCAGGGTAGGCCACAGTGAAATCTGGTCCATGAGGGACCTAGAGACATTGAAATTACCCCAAGGTGAGTTGCTAAGATTGTAAATCCAAGCTAAATGCACTTGAAATAAAGAATATATAAAATAAAAGTAAGCCTTCTGAGTCTAGTTATTGACTAATTTTAATTACTTACACAAAAGACAACAATTGCTGAGGTACTTCATTGTCTATGAGCTAAATGTGCCAAAAAAGAGATGCTTAACAGATGGCAATGTTAAGAAATTCCTGGTTTTAAATCTGTACAGATGTATTAGGTTTGAACAAGCACCACATTTTTCTGACCTTTCCAAGCTCTACACATCATAAAATGCCAGCTGATACTCAGGTACTAATTACAAAAACAATGCCATGTACGAAAAAACAGTGTGTGCAAAAAGCAGTCTTTTCTAATTTCCCAGGAATCTCGATGTTCTTCAACTACGTCTATTACCTTAACTTTACAACATGTGAAATATGGATAATACGTTTTTGTGGGACTTTTTAATCCTAGAAAAATCCTTCACCTTTATCGGTGCCATTGTGTGTAAGGTTAGATTCTTTAGCTTGATATTCATGTCTGTAAATCCACCAGCATTAGCAGAAACTCTGAGTACTCTGAACCATCACTGCAGACACCCAATTCTTATGAACCGCCTCTGCGGAATGTTTCCAGTTGGCCTGTCATAATTGATGTGGGTAAAGGTAGCCAGCATAAAAAAATTAGAGAGGAATTCAAGTCTTATATAGAAGTTAACCATCAATTATACCTATTACTGGAGAACCGTAACTGTGTACATATAAAAGTCCAGGAGATGGTCACCATTTATCCTGCCTGGGTACAGAGAGCATTTCTGGAAATCATTATCTTGAAGGCATGAGATAGTAATAAATTACCTCTAGTAGTATGGAAACCATTGCAGTGTTAAAAAGACTACAAGACTTGGTCTCATGCACTAAGCTGATTGGCATAAACATGATGGCCCTCTTCTTATGGTAAGAGACAGAAATGTATTTCAAACTTCTTGATAACAGAGTACAAGTCAAAATTGTTCTTAGTTCATTGAATGCCATTACAAACTTGGCCATCACAGGTTCTTTCTCAACTATCTACAAAATATGAATTTTTATGTAGCATTTTGTCTAACATGGAATTAAATTATTTTCAGTTGAATTTGAGAAATTTTTAAGCAAAACCATTATGGAATCATGATCAAACTTCCTTAGCCACAATCAAGCTGAATGAGAACTTGAAGAATAACCTGGAATAGATAGTTCTAGAAAACAATAATACTACTAATAATATAATAACAATGTTAATAATTAACATTGTTGTTATAAAATTACAAACAGATTTTTCATTGCTTATTATGTCATTTCATGGTCATTATTAAAATCCAGTTTTGTTGGTCTATTAGTGAGATAATGTTCCATTAATGAGATAATATTCTGCTATGGTTTGAGTTTGTCCCACCAAAACTCATGTTAATATGTATCCCTAATGTGGGATGGCGTTGGAGGTGGGGCCCAGTGGAAGGTGTTTTGGTCATGGGGGTGGATCCCTCATGAATGGCTCGGTGCTGCTCTCTTGGTAGTGAGTTCTGGTGAGGTTGATTAGTTGTGGTAGGAATAGATTAGTTCCCATGAAAGCAGGTTGTTATAGGGCCAGTATGCCCTTGGGATCTGTCTCTACATGTATCTGGCTCCTCTCTGGCCTTCTCTGCCTTGTAGGATTGTGTTAGTCTGTTCTCACACTGCTAATAAAGACATACCTGAGACTGGGTAATTTATAAAGGAAAGAGTTTTAATGAACTCACAGTTCCACATGGCTGGGGAGGCCTCACTATCACGGTGGAAGGCAAAGGAGAGGCAGAGTCACGTTTTACATGGTGGCAGGCAAGACTGCATGTGCAGGGGAACTCCTTTTTATAAAACCATCAGATCTCATGAGACTTATTCACTATCATGAGAACAGTGTGGGAGAAATCACCCCCACGATTCAATTATCTCCACCTGGACCTGCCCTTGACACGTTGGGATTATTACAATTCAAGGTGAGATTTTTTTCTTTAATGTTGGTTTTGTCATTTCATTTTTTTTTAATTCCAGAGGTTTTTGGGGAACAGGTGGTATTTGGTTACATGAGTAAGTTCTTTGAGTAGTGATTTGTGAGATTTTGGTGTACGCATCACCCAAGCAGTACACGCTGAACCCAATTTGTAGTCTTTTATCCCTCGCCCCCTTCCTACCCTTTCCCCTTGAGTCCCCAAAGTCCATTGTATCATTCTGATGCCTTTGTATCCTCTTAGCTTAGCTCCTTCTTATGAGAACATGTGATGTTTGGTTTTCCATTCTTGAGTTACTTCACTTAGAATAATGGTCTCCAGCCCCATCCATGTTGCTGCGAATGCCATGTCATTAATTCATTTCTTTTTATGGCTAAGTAGTATTCATATATATATATCCCAGTTTCTTTATCCATTCATTGATTGATGGGCATCTGGGCTGGATCCACATTTTTGCAATTGCAAATGATGCTGCTATAAATATGTATGTGCAAGTATCTTTTCACATAATAACTTATTTTCCTCTGGGTAGATACCCAGTAGTGGTTTCTGGATCAAATAGTAGTTCTTCTTTTTGGACAGGTGCCATGGCTCACACCTGTAGTCCCAGCACTTTGGTAGGCTGAGGCAGGCAGATCACTTGAGGTCAGGAGTTCAAGACCAGCCTGGCCAACATGGTGAAACCCTGTCTCTACCAAAAATACAAAAGTTAGCCAGGCGTGGTGGTGTATGCTTGTAGTCCCAGCTACTTGGAAGGCTGAGACAGGAGAATCACGTGAACCTGGGAGGTGGAGGCTGCAGTGATCTGAGATTGTGCCATTGCACTCCAGCCTGGGCAACAGAGCGAGAATCTGTCTCAAGCAAAACAAAACAAAACAAAAAACAAATAGTAGTTCCACTTTTAGTTCTTTGAGGCATCTCCACACTGTTTTCCATAGTGGCTGTACTAGTTTACATTCCCAGCCCCAGTGTAGAAGTGCAAAACCCCCTCTTTTCTTTGTGAATTACCCAGCCTCAGGTATTCCTTTATAGCAGCACAAAATGGACTAAGAAAATTGTCTTTTAGAGACAACTCGGCATGTAGTCATGAGTCATTTAACAACAGGCATAGTCCTGAGAAATGCATTGTTGTGTGATCTCATCTTTCTGCAAACACCATGGAGTATACTCACACAAGCCTACATGATACAGCCTACTACACATCCAGGCTGTATGGTATAGTCAATTGCTCCTAGGCTACAAACAGCATGTTACTATACTGAATACTGTAGGCACTTGTAACACAATGGTAAGTACTGGTGTATCTAAACATAGAAAAGGTACAGTAAAAATATGGTGTAAGAGATAAAAAATGATAGAGCTGTCTAGGGCATTTACCATGAATGAAGCTTGCAGGACTGGAAGTTGCTCTGGGTGGGTCAGTAAGTGAGGAGTGAGTGAATGTGAAGGCCTAGGACTTTATTATACATTACAGTAGCCTTTAAAAACACTGTACACTTAGGCTACACTAAATGTATTTAAAACAGCTTTTTTCTTCAATACTAAATGCACCTCATTTTTCTATAACTACTTTATACATTCTTTAATTTTTAAAAAACATTTGGCACTTTTGTAATAACATCACTTAAAACACAAACATATAGCTGTAAAAATATCTTTTCTTTATATTTTTATCCTATAAGTTTTTTACTATTTTTAATTTTTTTTTTACTTTTAAGCTTTTTTGTTGAAAGCTAAGACAAATACACACGTTAGCCTAGGCCTACATAGATCAGGATCATCAGTATCACTGTCTTCCACCTCCACAGCTTGTTCCATAGGAAGCTCTTCAGGGGCGATAACACACATGGAGCTGTCACGACAATGTCTTCTTCCAGACACCTCCTGAGGGACCTGCAGGAGGAGCTTCTTAAGGAGGTATCACTCTTTTCAGAACTATGTCCATGGCAAACCAACGTATGTTTGCTCCCCTCCTCCTTCCCCCTCCCCTCCCCTCCCATCCCCTCCCCTCCTCTTCTCTATGGAGTCTTGCTCTGTCACCCAGGCTGGAGAACAGTGGTGTGGTCTTGGTTCACTGCAACCTCCGCGTCCCAGGTTCAACCAATTTTCCTGCCTCAGCCTCCTGAGTAGCGGGGATTACAGGCGTGTGCCACCATGCCGGCTACTTTTGTATTTTTGGTAGAGAAGGGGTTTCACCATGTTGGCCAAGCTGGTCTTGAACTCTTGACCTCAGGTGATCCACCTGCCTCGGCCTCCTGAAGTGCTGGGATTACAGGCATGAGCTGCGGTGCCCAGACTGTTTCTTTATCATAGATTTGGATGTGCAATACATCGCACTATGATGTTATAATAGCTACGATGTCACCAGGCCATAGGTTTTCAGCTCTATTGTAATCTTATGGGACCACTGTTGTATGTGTGGTCCATCATTGACAAAAAGTCTTTATGGGGAGCATGACAATTTTGTTTTTAAGTTACTATGCATTAGATAGCAGATCTTTTTGACTCCTGTATAAATTCTTTGGAGGAAAGACTTCTAAATATGTATTATTGCATTGTTGTCCTTCGGCACTCAGCAAAATGCTCATGATCATAGGAAAATGACAACTCTTTTGCCGCTCCATTTCCTTATTTGAAAGAGGAAGAGGTCAAATCAGTGCTCACTCAGCACCCCCAGCCCGTGTCTAAAGCTGGAGAGAGTGTGGTTCTGCCAGGGACTTGTTAGTTGCTTATCTGATGAATCACGTTGAGGGAAAGCACGTGGTAATTACACGTTCCATTAGCAACATTAATGCTACTTATATGTCATTACTATCTAATGTTCTCTGTCTCCAATCTCTTTGAAATTCTTCACATTTTTAAAAAATTCGGATAAGATGTCATTGTTCTTTTATAACTCTCTACTTGACGAATTCTACTCACAAACATTGACTGAAAGAGGTCTTAAAAACTGTGCTAGTTTTTCAAATGCCTCTGCAGAAGTGCAGGTTCTCTGCTGACTTTAATTCATTAATGTAATTATAGTTCAGGAAAGCACAGTGGCTGGGTGATGCTGACGCATTTCTGTTCTGACTTCCGCTGCAGTGCTCCTCTGGACCCTACTCAATCTGCCCACTTTTATCACAGGCTTGCTTTTTCCAAACAATGCTATAGAGTAGTCAGTACAATCAATCATATACAATGGATTACAGAATTACATACCGTAAAATACATAATATTTTAATAAATTACCACAACAGATAATTCGGTGTATAAATAATATGCAATAGAATAGCAGCATTCAATAGCACCTGCAATCATACAGTGCATTCTGAATTATCTCAGATGCTAAGATTAGAAGTGGCTCTGGCAAGTTAAAAATCCAGTAGCATAAAAATTGGAGTCATCAGTAAGGGGCCACTCAAAAGCCTGATTTGGGGAGGTGGTGGTTGAAACTCCCATACAAAATACGAACCCTGTTTATCATTGCATCATGAATCTACTTTTTGGACTCCCCAGGAGTTTTAAATAAAACTCAAATTCCCTGGAGAGAAGTCTTACCTTCGGTGTCTACTGACTAATCCTAAATGGTCAGGGATTAGGCTCTTGGGTAGTTGACAGCTGAGAGCAAGAACCTGAGAATGACAATGAAGGGCCTGCTTTTCCTCGCACCCCAGATCCCGCACTCACCCAGGCCTGTGCAACGCGGTAAGGAGGGAAGGAGGCAGAAGGGGAGGCCTGCTGGGGGTGGCAGCAGGAGTGTCTGCACCTGACACCTGGCTGGGGCGCGCTTTCCCACTGACACTGTAACATCAATGGTGGTTAATTCTGCAGAGCAATTAGAATGAGAGGCCCTCTCCCATATTAGTTAGGTAGGGCTTGGTCAGATGGGCTTTTAAAGAAATAGTATTATCATCAGCAGTAGTCTGGCCTTAACAGAGAACAGGTGGAAAACTCCCCAGGTGCCCCTTCCTCCATTATTTGATATTATCTTAAGTCAGAAGAGCACTAGAGGCTAGATCTGAACAATGTTTCCTCCACCCTGTTCATTGCAGCTACTGTGGGTTTCTGGCGGCATCTGTGCTTTGAGCCAATTCCAGTCATTTGTGAACAAATGTATAAATTGAGCAGGGTTTATAAAAGGTAGGATTCCCAGATCTGCCACAGACTCTGAGTTTGTTCTTTTTGGGTTGTTAGAGGAAGAGACAAGGCCCCTGGACTAAGCAGTGACCCTCCTCCTCCCTGGTGCTAAGTGGATCTCCATGGTGTTGGCTCCCACAAACATGGAAAAGGCTCAGGAAAGCTACTGCGTCTCCAGAGCCTATATGACCAGGACTATGTCTTGTTTGGTGCCTGTGAGGGACACAGTACAGAGCCCCCAGTCCCCATGGCATTGAGAATTCATTGTCAGAATATCTTATTTAATAATTTCTGAAACTTTTGCCATTCAAATGGTCTCTGCTCACCCCTGGGTTCTCCTAGACCATCCTAGAAATGCAGAACCCACAGTGAGTGGGTGAATGGGTCCCGGCAGGTGTAGCAAGAAGGGAATATTGATGAATCTGTTTCCAGGAAAAAGACATTGCAAAATCTAAACAATAAACTTTTCAGCTTAAAAACAACAACAAAAGCTTTTTCCATTTTTGGAGGCTGCCTATGTATCTAGTTCTGAATTTACAGAAACTCCTAGATGCTTCCATTCCTTTTTACTGCCAAGATACTCATAGGAAGTAAATGAGAAAAAAGTTAAACCTTGAGGTGTATGCATTGCCTCAAAAGCTTCTACATGAACCCCACTGAGGCTGTAGACACAGGTCTTCACCCACGTCAACTGGACTACACGGTCCTAACGTTCCTGAGCTACAAACCTGTTTGCTTGTTTCTTATCAAAAAAGAGACAAATATTTTGACGATTTAGTGTTACCAGACAATGCTTGCACTCAGTGTCAGGTTTCAATAAGGCCCTCGGGATTCACGTGTTTATTATTTCTTGTTTTAGTCACTTAAGAACACTCAAAAGGTTGAAGACATATAGTAACTTGAATATTCCTAAGTGTTGCGATGCTCTCTGCTGTGCACAGAGCAGGTCCCTGAGCTAATGACGGAGCCTTGCCAATCCCTCGACACCTGTACCCAATGCCTGTCTGCTCTTAGATCAACTTCATGTTTATGAATCGGGGAATTCAAGATTCTTCAAGGGAATCACTGGACACTGGAAGTCAAGAATCGCATACAGACACTTCTTAATTGGAAAGAATTTGAGGGTTTTAGCTTCATCATTTAACACATTGAAGCCGAGAATCCTGACATTTCTGAGTTTTGCCAACATTACATCTGCAGTCAATCACACATTTTGAAAGCTCTGTGGCATTAAAAAGATGATACTGGGGCCTGTCGTGAGGTGGGGGGAGGGGGGAGGGATAGCATTAGGAGAAATACCTAATGTAAATGACGAGTTAATGGGTGCAGCACACCAACATGGCACATGGATGCATATGTAAAAAACCTGTATGTTGTGCACATGTACCTTAGAACTTACAGTATAATTAAAAAAAAAAAAAGATGATACCTTGACATGTTCCTTAATCTGCATGCTCCCCAGACTCATGGCTTATTTCCCATTCAGATAAGAAATTATTATGTTAATTGAGCTGCTGTATGCTGAGAATGGTACAGAGTTGTGATTTAGTCACTTTTTCATTTTAACTACTTGAGGCTTAAACCACGGCAATGACTTTCTTGCCTCTTCCCAGTGGCAATCTGGGCAGCTTCACATCTCCCACGTGATGAGAACCAGGGACATCAGTCAACACCCAGACTCTCATCTGCCACTAACAGAGTTTGTCTCCCTGTTCAATGCTGCCTGGGACCCAGGCACCAGGACTCCCTACCCCTCCGTGGGAGAGGCTCAGGCCAGTACAGCTTCACAACAAGAACATCTGAAACAGGGGCTACCCCTCTTTTCCAGGCTTACCTTTAGTAATTTCTGTAAGTTCCCTGTTGAAGTTAATTGCATTTGCAGCGTCTAGTGTCATTCTATGGTATTGCTTGACATCCCTCATTATAATCAGCTGTCAGTCTGCAATTCTGTCAGGTTAGTAATGTCTTTGTTGACACAGTCACTTGTTGCTGAACAGTTTGGCCAGTTTTATTATTGACGGGATCATAGTTTGAGGCAATAGTAAGAAATCACAAGTTCTTGTTTGAAAAAGTTAAAAAACGTACTAGAAATAATTGTTAGTATTGAAAATCAAATAATTACTTTCTACCTAAAGCATGGGTGCGTTTTTCAATACACAATCCATTGTGTCTTCTATTTTTAAAGGGCAGGTGAGAAGTTGTCCTCAGATGATAGTGAGTAATATATTACAAGCACCGATGCAGAAGTTTCTGTTATGACGTTAGGTCTTTTGGGAAGTTGAGTCTTTCTAGAAACGATTTAAATCACGTGACTTTGTAGCAGGGCAAAGTTCATGTGACCTCGAAACCCCTGGGCGTGTGCCAGCTCTGTGCAGCTGCCCCCGTGCAGGGGCACATGTGTCCAGCCTGCTATTATTACTTCTCTGCTTCCTCAACCACTTTTTTTTTTACATTTTAATTCTTTAATTCTTGTGGGTACATAGTAGGTGTATGCACTTATGGGGTACTTGAGATTTTTTGATACGGGCATGCAACATGTAATAAACACCTCCCAGAGAATGGGGTATCCATTCTCTAAGCAGTTATCCTTTGTGTTACAAACAATTCAGTTATACTCTTTTAGTTATGTTTAAATGTACAATTAAATTATTATTGACCGGAGTTGACCACTCTTATTAATTCTGTTACCAAGACAAGTAACTTGGATGTTAAAAGACAAATGGAGGCAATAGGCTGGGCGCAGTGGCTCACGCCTGTAATCCCAGCACTTTGGGAGGCCGAGGCGGGCGGTTCATGAGGTCAGGAGATCGAGACCATCCTGGCTAACACGGTGAAACCCCATCTCTACTAAAAGTAGAAAAAATTAGTGGTGGCGGGCGCCTGTTGTCCCAGCTACTGGGGAGGCTGAGGCAGGAGAATGGTGTGAACCCAGGAGGCGGAGCTTGCAGTGAGCCGAGATTGTGCCACTGCACTCCAGCCTGGGTGACAGAGCCAGACTCTGTCTCAAAAAAAAAAAAAAAAACAAACAAACAAAAGACAAATGGGGGCGATCGAGTTCTACACTTCAGCCTTTGCTTAGCATTCAGCTAAGGAAAAATACCCAGAGAACCCTTGTTTCCTGGTTCCACGTGACTTGAGATCTACCTTGATTGACAGAGCATCTCCTGGAGCAGCCGGTGAGCTGCAGTGAGTCTGTGTCTTCCTAGGAGTCCTCTCTATTTTTGCTCCACCTCCCTGCAAACCCCAAGGTCAATGAAAGAGAGTTGAATATAGATTTAAACGTTCTACAAGCATAGGCACACAAATGCATCCTTTCTCAGTCACCAAAGAAAGACAATAAGCATGTTTTTAATTTTTTTATTGTTTAAGTTCCAGGTTACATGTGCAGGACGTGCAGGTTTATTACATAGGTAAATGTGTGCCATGGTGGTTTGCTACACCTATCAACCCATCACCTAGGTATTAAGCCCTGCATGCATTAGCTCTTTTTTCTAATGTTCTCCCCCTCACCCTCCCCGGACAGGCCCCGGTGTGTGTTGTTCCCCTCCCTGTGTCCATGTGTTCTCATTGTTCAGCTCCCACTTATAAGTGAGAACATGTAGTATCTGATTTTCTGTTCCTTCATTAGTTTGCTGAGGATGATGGCTTCCAGCTTCCTCCATGTCCCTGCAAAGGACATGATCTCATTTCTTTTTATGGCTGCACAGTATTCCATAGTATATATGTACCATATTTTCTTTATCCAGTCTATGATTGATGGGCATTTGGGTTGATTCCATGTCTTTGGTATTATGAATAGTGCTGCAATGAACATATGCATGCATGTATCTTTATGATAGAATCATTTATATTCCTTTGGGTATATACCCAGTAATGGGATTACTGGGTCAAATGATATTTCCAGTTCTAAATCTCTGAGGAATCATCACACTGTCTTCCACAATGGTTGAACTAATTTACATTCCCAAATTCTTCAATTTTTAAATGCCCTTTCATCAACCGAGTTTTGCATGGGAAGGCGCTGTGGGACTCACTCTGAAGTGGCCGGTGTGGTGGCTGATGGACATACGAGTTGCCCCGGAGCAGTGCTGGTGCCTGAGTAGCCTCTTCACTTTTTTTTTTTTTTTTTTTGAGACGGAGTCTCGCTCTGTCGCCCAGGATGGAGTGCGGTGGCGCCATCTTGGCTCACTGCAGGCTCCGCCCCCTGGGTTCACACCATCATCCTGCCTCAGCCTCCCGAGTAGCTGGGACTACAGGCAGCCGCCACCACGCCCAGCTAATTTTTTGTATTTATAGTAGAGATGGGGTTTCACCGTGTTAGCCAGGATGGTCTCAATCTCCTGACATTGTGGATCCGCCTGCCTCGGCCTCCCAAAGTGCTGCGGTTACAGGCGTGAGTCACCGCGCCCGGCCTGCCTCTTCACTTTTAATGGAGATTAAAATTGACAACAAACATGTAAGTAATTGTTGTCAAGTATGTCCACTTTTGTGCGTAATGCATTCAATTATTTTTCTACCAAGATCTCGCAGAAGTGATGCTTGGGGATAGAGACAGCTCGAGGGGGAAGAACTTCAGGGTTCCTGGTGTTTGTTAGTTGTCATTTCATTATTCCATGTGATGGGGTGAAAAGGAAGGTAAGGTATGAGCAAACCTGAAAATGGTGAAGGCTGACATTTCACCCTTATAGAAGTCACAAAATAGAATTTTAACGCATGGTGTTGATTTAAAAATTAAACAATCTTCATGCTGAATACACTTAACAGATATATTGTGTGAAACTTGCCAAAGAATGCCAGTCTCATTTGGGGTCTGCTGTGTATTCCAATAATCATACAATAACACAGACCACCACACTAACCACCTGCAGACCTTCAAAACGTGGTTCAAATCCCATTACAGTTGTGGCCTTGTCTCATCTTGAGGCTAAGTCCTGTCCATTTTTAATTTTCTTTTCTTTCTCTCTCTCTCTCTCTTTTTTGAGACAGTGTCTTGGTCACCCAGGCTGGACTACAGTGGTGCAATCATGGCTCACTGAAGCCTCAACCCCCTGAACTCAAGCAATCCTCCCACCTCAGCCTCTGGAGTAGCTAAGACTACAGGTACGTACTACCACACCAAGCTAATTTTTTATTTTTTGTAGAGATGGGGTCTCACTATGTTTCCCAGGTTAGTCTCCAACTCCTGGGCTTAGGAGAACCTTCTTCCAAAGTGTTGAGGTTGAAGGTGTGAGCCATCAGGCCCAGTTCAATTTTTAATTTTCTATGATAAGAAAGAACAGTTAATGCCATTCAATTGTTTTGAAGTGATTTTTTGAAAAGCTGACATCGAATGCTCTCCAAGATCTTGCCTGTGTGCTTAGAGATTTATGAGCGTGGTCTCATGTAATCCTTGTGACTAGCCCATCTCAGCCAGGAGGAGAGTGGTGGCAACTTCCTCCTGTGTCTGAAAGCCTGTTAAATGGGGGAGTTGGATTTGAAAACTTGGGGGAAAGAATGTCAGGGCTGGCCCCGCCCTGGGTCCGGCAGTGGGGTGTTGGCATGGGCAATCCACTGTGTTTCCTTCCTTAATCAGATCAGCTCAGGGCTAGGCCTGTGGATTGTGAGGATGTCGGGAAACCTAGGTGTGACCTGCTCTGCCAGAGGCCGCCTGCCTGTGGAGCCTGTGGGAGCACACGGCCTCCTGACTCAAGGTTTCTAATCCCCTTATGAACCACCCTGAAACAGGCCTGAGGTCCTTGACCACACACAGAGATGGTGACGGGCAGGCCAGCCCTCTCACTTCCCATGCATGTAGGTCCCGGCGAGGTCAGAAAGGTCTGTGCAGGGGGCCCCTGCCCTGTGCTGTGCCCAGCCAATTTCTCTATCGGGGGAACCTGCCCCCGACAATTCAACGTTATTTCATGTAGGTTCTTTTCTATTTCCCTAAGTGTCGGCCAGTCTGAGAAATAAAGGGAAAGAGTACAAAAGAGAGAAAGTTTAAAGCTGGGTGTCTGGGGGAGACATCACATGTCAGCAGGTTCCGTGATGCCCCCTGAGCCATAAAAACAGCAAGTTTTTATTAGCAGTTTTCAAAGGGGAGGGAGGGTACGAATAGGGTGTGGGTCACAGAGATCACATGCTTCAAGGGCGACAAAACATCACAAGGCAGGAGGTCGGGGCGAAACTAGAACCACTAATGAACTTCCATGTCCCGCTGTGCACGCGCTGTCAGGGGTCAAGAGCAGAGAATCAGTCTGACTAGAATTCGCCAGCCTGGAATTTCCTAATTCTAGCAAGTCTGGGGGCGCTGCAGGAGACTAGGGCCTGTTTCATCCCTAGGTACATCAGCATAAGGCAGACACTCCCAGAGTGGCCATTTTAGAGGCCCCCCTGGGAATGCATTCTTTTCCCAGGGCTGTTAATGATTAATATTTCTTACTGGGGAAAGAATTCAGTGATATTTATCTTACCCATTTTCAGTAATAAGAGAAATATGGCTCTGTTCCGCCTGGCCCACAGGCAGCCAGACTTTAAGGTTATCTCCCTTGTTCCCTGAACATGGCTGTTATCCTGTTCTTTTTTCAAGGTGCCTAGATTTCATATTGTTTAAACAATTTGTGCAGTTAACACAATCATCACAGGGTCCTGAGGTGACATACATCCTCAGCTTACAAAGATGATGGGATTAAGAGATTAAAGTAAAGACAGGCATAGGAAATCACAAGAGTATTGATTGGGGAAGTGATAAATGTCCATGAAATCTTCACAATTTATGTTCAGAGATTGCAGTAAAGACAGGTGTAAGAAATTATAAAAGTATTAATTGGGGAACTAACAAATGCCCATGAAATCTTCACAATTTATGTTCTTCTGCTATGGCTTCAGCCGGTCCCTCCGTTTGGGGTCCCTGACTTCCCGCAACACTTCTCCATGCCATCTTGGGTGGAGCACTACCTTTTAGGGCTTGAATGAAGATTGCATGAGGTAACGTGTGTGAAGCATGAGGTAACATGTGTGAAGCATGAGGTAACGTGTGAAGCATGCCTGGCACAAAGAAGTGCCCGCTAATTGTTAGCCATTATGATTGTTAAGTGCAATGAGGCACACAAAACTCTTAGGACTGTGGCTGTGAAATAGACAGTGCTCTGCAGACGTCAGCTCCTTGTAGCTATTGGACGTTGTTTCTTCAGCCTCCCAAGTCAAGGAAAACCAGACAAAATAGCAAGATTGATGTTCAGGTTAATTGCAAAGGGAGTTGCTCATAGTCCATTGGTAAGCAGAGAGAATCCTCTGTCCTTAATAAAATTTAGTGGCTGGTGAAAAAGGGAGGTGTGTCCTTTACAGAAAAGGATGAAAGGCTTTCTTTCTCTTATTACATTCTAAATCATTTACTTAAAATTTTTATTCATCTAATTACAGATAAGCATAATTTTGCATAAGGATGTAAAGATAATTTTTTAATGTTTGGTATAGGTTCTTTTTTTACTAGAAATTTTTGCTGAAATAATTATAGACAAGCATGTAGTTTTAAGAAGGTATACAGAGACAGGCCTGTATATTTCACCTACTTTCCCCCAGTGGTAACATTTTTCAAAACTGTTGTATAATATCAGAACCAGGATATTGACACTGATAGTCTCAAACCATCTTATTCAGACTTCCACCGTGTTGCTTATACTTGTGTGTGTGTGAGTTTGTGTGTGTGTGTGTGTGTGTGTACTTAGTTATATCCAATTCTGTCACATCCACCCCACCATATCAAAATGCTCCAAAGGATCCTGCTGATGGCCCTTTTACAGTCACAGCCATGCCCCTCCCCCCACAACAAATCCATATCCCTGGCAACCACTATTTTGTTCTCCATTTCTAAAATTGTGTCATTTCAAAAATCGTATATGAAAGGAATCATACAGCATGTAATCTTTTCAGATTAGCTTTTTCTTTGAGTATAATTCTTAAGAGACTCATCCAGGTCTGCATGTCCTTTTTATTGTTGAGCAGTATTCCATGATAGGGGTGCATTGCAGCTTATTCGCTTCTTACCTGTTGAGATACAGCTGGGTTCTCAGTTTGGGGCTATTATGATCAAAACTACTGTGAACATTCATGTACAGTGACATGGTTAGACTTTGTGTCCCCACCCAAATTTCATCTTGAATTGTAATCCCCATAATCCCCATGTGTCAAGGGATAGACCAGGTGGAGGTAATTGAATCATGGGGGCAGTTTCTGCCATGCTGTTCTCATGATAGTGAGTGAGTTCTCATGAGATCTGATGGTTTTATAGGGGGCTCTTCCCACTTCGCTTGTCACTTCTCCTTCCTGCTGCCTTGTGAAGAAGGTGCCTTGCTTCCCCTTCACCTTCTGCCATGATTGCAAGTTTCCTGAGGCCTCTCCAGTCATGCTAAACTGTAAGTCAATTAAACCTCCTTCCTTTGTGAATTACGCAGTCTCAGGCAGTTCTGTGTAGCAGCATGAAAACAGACTAATACATACAGGTATTTGCATGAAGATAAGTTTTCATTTCTCTGGGTTAAATGCTCAAGAGTTCTAAGACATGGTGTGCATACTGAGTTTTTTATGAAATCAACAAACTGTATATAGAGTGGCTGAGCCCTGCTGCATTCTTACCAGCAGTATGCCAGTGACCCAGTTCCCCCACATCTTCAACAGCGTTTAGTTTTGTGACTTTTTAAATTTTAGCTTTCTGTTGGTGTAAAGTCATATCTTACTGTAGTTTTATTTGCGTTTTCTTGATGGCTAATGATGTTTGCCACCTGCATATCCTCTGGTGAAAGATCTGTTCATGTCTTTGCCTATTTTCTAGTTGAATTGTTTGTTTTTCCTGTTAAGGATTGAGAGATCTTAATATTTTCTAGAGACTAGTCCTTTGTTGGATAGGTGGTTTGCAGATATTTTCTTGCAGCCTGTAGTGTTTCTTTTCATCATTTCCAGATGGGCTTTCACAGAGCAAATGGTTTTATCTATTTTATTTTATTTTATTTATTTATTTAGTTTTGAGATGGAGTCTCGCTCTGTCACCCAGGCTGGACTGCAGTGGTGCGATCTCGGCTCACTGCAGTCTCCACCTCCTGGGTTCACACCTTTCTCCTGCCTCAGCCTCCCGAGTAGATGGGACTACAGGTGCCCACCGCCATGCCCGGCTGATTTTTTTTGTTTTGTATTTTTAGTAGAGATAGGGTTTCACTGTGTTAGCCAGGATGGTCTCAATCTCCTGACCTTGTGATCCACCTGCCTCAGCCTCCCAAAGTGCTGGGATTACAGGCGTGAGCCACCACGCCCGGCCAAATGGTTTTAATACTTACCAGGAGCCATTTATCAATATTTCCATTTACTGATTCTGCTTTTAATGTCAGATCCAAGAACTTTTCACCGTCTTATATCCTGAAGGTTTTTCTTTTTGTTTTCTGCAAGTTTAATGGTTCTCCATTTTACATTAAATTCATCATCCGTTTTGAGTTAATTTTGTGTGTTACGAGGTTTAGGTTGAGGCTCATGTTTGCTGCCTGTGGATGTCCAACTGCTCCAGCATTATATGTTGAAAAGTGCAATGGTCTTTTGGATGTTTCAACTTGGATACTCTACAGTCCTCAGTTATTTACTCAAACCTTAATTTAGTGCTATGAAGTTATTTATTTTTACTTGTGATTAAAGTCACTTGGCTTTAACTAAGGCATATTATCCTAGGTAATCTGGGTGGATCTGGTTCAGTCAGCTGAAAGGCTTTGAAAGCAGAGATGAGGGCTCCCTGGAGCAGAAGAAACCCCACTTACGGGCCAGCACCAGCTCATGCCTACCTATGGATTTGGGACACAACCAGCTAGCTCCCTAATCCCAACTCCTTGCAACAAATGCTTACTAAATATCTTCTACTCTTTCTGCCTCTTTGGTTGAACCCTGCCTGATACAAAAAGAATATTCTCCCTCTGTTGAATTGCTTTTGTACCTTCATCAAAAATCAATTAAGCATATTTTTGTGGGTGTTTTTCTAAGTTTTGTGTCCTGTTCCATGGATCTATTGTTTAGCCATCTGTTAACATCACAGTGTCTGGATCACTGTAGCTACATAGTCAGCCTTGATATTGGTAAAGTGATTCCTCCCACTGTGTTCTTCTTTTTCAACATGAGTGTAGCTATCCTGGGTGTCTCTGGATGGGGATGGGGTCTCAGGCCCAGGGAGAAGGAGAGTGCTTTCCATGGTCACTGTTTTCATGGCGATCAATCTCATTTGCAGGTGGCACTGGGCTCACTTGATGTTGTCAAGAGGAGCCCCTGATTGATCAGGGGAGGAATGTGCCTACTGGGGCTGCCTTTTTTGGGGGGCTGGTGGTTGGTGGGTGGGTGACAGAATCTGACTTCTGTTTCTTCGTCGAGTGGGGTCACAAGACACCTTGCCGCTGTGCTCTCCCAGAAGTACAAACTGCTGTGCTGTACTTCTTCCAGTCCCAGAAGTACAAACCACATCGCTTTCCTCTTACCATACATCACAGCTGTCCTTTGGTTGTCTATTGCTTTGTTTCCAGGGTTCATAGTTGTGCTTAGTGGGAAAGAGCAGGGAAACAGGTCTATACCACCTTTTTTAGGCTAGAAGTTGAAGCAGGCATTTTTAATACAATTTTTTTTTTACTTTTTCATTTGTCTCTCTTCCCAAACTCCTTCACCCACATCAGAACCTACTCAATTGCCTACGTTATGACTGAGTGTTCATTCTGTGTTTTGCTATACATGTATAGAATACTGTGTAAACATGCACACACATACAAACACACATGCAGACACATGTACATACACAGGCAAGTGCATTTGTACATATACAAAGAGGATTAGTCTGTTTTTGTTTTACAGGAACAGATCGATTAATCACATGTTTCAACAGCTTTCCACTTAACAATGTTTTATGCACATCTCTCTAGGGAATATGGTGTAGCTGTAATTTGTTTTTTGGGGGTTGCATAGTTTTTTATGGAGAGGTGTAGCCTAGTTTATTCAGTCAGCCTCCTATTGATGGATGGCCTCTTTATTTGCAGCTCTTGTCCATATAAACAATATTGTACACCTTGTACATTTGACATTCTTAGTGATGTAATTTCTATGGGATAGATTCCAAGAGTGGGATTTTGGGTTTGAATAATTTATGTATTTTGAATTAAACATCTGTTCCCAACTTGCTTATGAAAGAAACCACAAAACTTCACATTCCTTCACAATGTATGAGAGTAAACCTTCTCCAAGAAAGAGATTTCCTAAAGTCAGAACCTCCCCGTTACCCAGCCTTCCTTTTCTGGCTACAGCAAAATGCTTTTGTTTGCTGCATTGATAAATCCCCATGACTATCCAGGTACAGGATGGCACTGTAGCAACACAAAATTCCTCCAATGGTGGAGACATGTTTATTTCCTCTTGCTTTTGCTCAATCTCTTAATCCTCCTTTCCCTTTGAGCCCTGGAAATAGACCAGCTGTGGGTTACTAATCAGCTTTGCTCCTTATTGGGAGAACCACAGAAGTGAACTTATGATCTCATCTTTCACCCTCCATCACAAAGCACTAATTCCAACTCATTTATAAAAGTTCAATGCTAGTTTGTAAAACGTGTGTCCTGTAGACCACAGAATTCAGGCAGCTTGGTCTGACTTTGCTACCTCAGATTTTGGATGTAAAAAATCCACTGTGTCTCTTCTGCTGCCATTTATTGTCATCTAAGGTTAGAATTCTTGCAATTATTTTACGTTTTCATTTCTAAAGTGATGTTCAAGCTTTGAAAGTAAAGAAAAAAGAAAAGAACAAAAAGTCTACTTGAGTTCCCTACTAAAATGGCACAATATTAGGAATAACAGATTTTAAAATTCTCTGGGTAGTGAGCTGTATGAATCTCTTTTTGAAATAACAGATGAAGCCTGTAAGTTCAATTTATTCCGTCTTGGAAAAACAAAGCATGATATTAAAAACAAAACAAACAAGATGGCTTCAAAAGGAGCAGTGACTGTAAAGAATTGAGTCAACAATTGAGAAAAAAAATCACCCAAATCACAGCTAGTTTATATTCTAGAATGGATGAAGAAAGGCTTACTAGAAAATGTTGTGTTTGAAGAAGAGCCAGGAAGCACAGTATGGGCCTATTTAGGGGACGGATGGGCCCAGCATGGAACACTTAGACAGAAGACAGCTTGGACAAAGTCTCCAACAGGTGGAAGAGCAGCTCCAAGGTACTGTAAGTGATTTGGCCACTTGAGGCCCAGGGAAGAGAAGAGATGCAAAGACTGGCAAGAGATAAGCCATGGAGCAGTAGTTCATTCACTCATCTGTCCATTCCTTAATTCATTCAGCAGTTGCTTGTTGATAGCCTACTCTGTGCAAAAAGCTCTTCCCAAGGCTGGGAATAGAGTGGTGAGAACAAAAGTATAGTATATAGTTATGCTTTAGTATATGAATTTAAGCATCTTAACTATTTTTTCCTAGAAAAAAATCTTCAAATACTCAAAATGCAAAAATTAAAAAAGATAAAGATGGACATAAGTATTTTTAGAGTATTTACCAGATAGAGTGATGTTTGTTACCTACAGCATATTCATCTTTAGCTATTTTGAATAATTTTTGGTAACTTGTCTTATAGTCCATTGGCCAGTGAATGAGATTTTGGGTAGATAAAAAGGACTCAAAGAGGAGTGTGTGGGAAAGAAAGATATAAGCCTTGTCTAGACATGACTTTTTGGACCCCAATTCAGTTTATTTGTTGGTCTTCTTTTTTGGACTTCCTAAAATGGGGCACCCACATTTGAACTCTGGCCTGGGAGTGTCTAACCAATGTCAGAGTTTAAGATGACGATTAACTGTCTTGTTTTAAAGATAACCTTTCTCTGAAGGTGGCCCCCACTGTGCTGGGTGAGTTTTATAGATAATTTACCTGTAGGAATTTTTCCCATGAGTTCTCTTAAGCCAGGAATTTTCTCCGTCTATCTCTATACTGGCAATCTAAAATTCAGGCATTTTCAGTTCTTCTAGGGACATGTGTCTTGTTGATTTCTGCCTGTCATCCTAACTTGTTGGATCATTTTTAATCTTGATTTGCCCATCCAGCAGACCAGCTGTCTTCTCCAGCCCTGCCATCCATAGATACATCTGCTAGGTGTGATTACAGTGCATTGACCTACTATAGGACTAGCAGTGATCAACTGGCAGAACCCTGTGGTCTCCATGAGAGTGCCCTCCAGAAGGGCATCAGATTCATGCACAGGCCCAGGGAATATGATTATATTACTCAGAGAGCCACCTCACTGTGGAAACCTGCTGCCATTATTTATTCTTGATTTATTGAAGGTGCTACAAGAGACTTATCCTATGCGTTGTGGCAATCCAGTTACATCATGCTCATGAAATTCCTGGAGCTACCAGCTTGGAAATAATGTCCAGAGGGTACATGCCATTAGTTTAGCAAATACTGTTCTTGAGAAGCCATCATCCTCATCATCATCTTTTTAAACTATTCATCAACTGTATCTTTCATAAATCATTTTTGAATGTTGCTAATGATAAGCTATGATAATTCATCTGGAGCTTGCAATCAATCTTTTAAAATTTCTGTTTGAAAAAAAAAATCATGACCCGTCTGCTATTTCTTTTTTTTTTCTTTTAGGATCAGGGGTACATGTGCAGGTTTGTTATATGGGTAAGTTGCATGTCACGGGGGTTTGGTGTACAGATTATTTCACTTCCCAGGTAATAAGCATAGTACCTGATAGGTAATTTCTCAACCCCTCCCTCTTCCCCCCAACCCCTTCAGTAGGCCTTGGTGTCTGTTGTCCCTTTTTTTTGTCTACGTGTATTCAATGTTTAATTCTCACTTATGAGTGAGTATTTGGTTTGCGGTTCCTGCGTTCGTTTGTATAGGATAATGGCTTCCAGCTTGAAAAACATTGCACGAAAAACATTATCTCACTCCTTTTTATGACACCATAGTATTCTGTGGTGTCTATATTCCATATTTTCTTTATCTAATCTACTGTTAATAGGCATTTAGGTTGATTCCATGTCTTTGCTATTGTAGATAGTGCTGTGATGAATATATGCACGCATGTACCTACATGGTAGAACTATTTATATTTCTTTGGGTATATCACCACTAATGGGATTGCTGAATTGAATGGTAATTCTGCTTTGAGTTCTTTGAGAAACCGCCTAACTGCTTTCCACAATGGCTGTACCAATTTACATTCCCATCAACTGTGTATAAGCGTTCCCTTTTCTCTGCAACTTCGCCCCTGTTCTTTATTGACTTTTTAATAGCCATTCTGGCTGGTGTGAATGCTATCCCACTGTGGTTTTGATTTGCATTTCTCTAATGATTAGTGAAGTTGAGTATTTTTTCATGTGCTTGTTGGCTGTGTGTATATTTTCTTTTGAAAAGTGTCTGTTCATGTTCTTTGCCCACTTTCTAATGGGGTTGATTGATTTTTGCTTGTTGTTCTGTTTTAGTTCCTTATACATTCTGGATATTAGGCCTTTGTCAGATGCATAGTTTGAAAATCTTTTCTTCCATTCTGTAGGTTGTCTGTTTATTCTGTTGATAGTTTCTTTTGCTGTGCAGAAGCTCTTTAGTTTAACTGGTCCCATTTGTCAATTTTTGTTTTTGTTACAATTACTTTTGGCATCTTCGTCATGAAATTTTTTGCCAGGGTCTATGTCCAGAATGGTATTTTCAAGGTTATCTCCTAGGGTTTTTATAGTTTTAGGTTTTACATATAAGTCTTTAATCCATCTTGAGTTGATTTTTTTATGGTATAAGAAAGGGGTCCAATTTTAATCTTCTGCATATGGCTAGCCAGTTATTCCAACATCATTTATTGAATAGGGATTCATTTCCCCGTTGCTTGTTTTGGTTGACTTTGTCAAAGATCAGATGGTTGTAGGTGTGTGGCTTTATTTCTGGGTTCTATATTCTGATCCATTAGTCTGTGTATGTGTTTTTGTACCAATACCATGCTGTTTTGGTTACCGTAGTCTTGTAGTACATTTTGAACTTGGGTAACATGATTCTTACAGCTTTGTTCTTTTTACTTAGGATTACCTTGGCCATTCAAGCTCTTTTATGGTTCCAGATAAATTTTAAAGTAGTTTTTTTCTAATTCTATGAAGAATGCCACTGGTAGTTTGATAGAAATGTCATTGAACTTGTAAATTGCTTTGGGCAATTTGGCCATTTTAATGATACTGATTCTTCCTAACTATAAGCAGGGGATGTTTTTCCATTTGTTTGTGTCACCTCTGATTTATTTGAGCATAATTCTCATTGTAGAGATCTTTCACCTCCCTGGTTAAAAATATTCCTAGGTATTTTGTTATTATTATTTTGGTGGCAATTGTGAATGTGATTCTGTTCGTGATTTGGTTCTCAGCTTGGATGTTGTTGGTGTATAGGAGTGCTGCTGATTTTTGTACATTGATTTTGCACCCCGAAACTTTGCTGAAGTTGTTTCTCAGATCAAGGAGCTTTTGGGCAGAGACTATGAGGATTTTTAGCTATAGAATCATATTGTCTGCAAACAGGGATAGTTTGACTTCCTCTCTTTCTATTTAGATGCCTTCTATTTCTTTCTCTTGCCTGATTGCTCTGGCCAGGATTTCCAGTACTATGGTGAAGAGGAGTGGTGAGAGAGGGCATCCTAGTCTTGTGCCAGTTTTCAAGGGGAATGCTTCCAGCTTTTGCCCATTCAGTATGATGTTGGCTGTGAGTCTGTCACAGATGGCTCTTATTATTTTGAGGAATGTTCCTTCGATGCTTAGCTTGTTGACAGTTTTTAACATGAATGGATGTTAAATTTTATCAAAAGCCTTTTCTGCATATATTGAGATAATCATGTGGGTTTTGTTTTTAGTTCTGTTTATGGGATGAATTACCTTTATTGATTTGCATATGTTAAACCAAACTTACATCCCAGGGATAATGTCTACTTGATCATGATGGATTAGCTTTTTGATGTGCTGCTGGATTTGATTGGCAAGTATTTTTTTTTTTTTGAGGATTTTTGCATTGATGTTCATCAAGGACACTGGCCTGAAGTTTTCTGTTTTGGTTGTGTCTCTTCCAGGTTTTGGTATCAGTATGATGCCAACCTCATAGAGTGAGTTAAGGAGGAGTCCCTCCTCCTCAATTTCTTGAATAGTTTCAGTTAGAAATGGTACCAGTTGTTCTTTACATTCCTGGTAGGATTTGGCTGTGAATCCATCTGGTCCTGGGCTTTTTCTGGTTAGTAGGCTTTTTATTACTAATTCAATTTTGGAACTCATTATTGGTGTGTTCGGGGAGCCAATTTATTCCTGATTCAATCTTGGGAGGATGTATGTTCCCAGGAATTTACTCATTTCTTCTGGGTGTTCCAACTTTTGTGCACAGAGGTGTTAACAGCAGTCTCTGAGGGTTATTTGTATTTATGCGGGGTTCGTGGTAACGTCCCTTTGTCATTTTTGATTGTGTTTATTTGGATATTCTTTCTTATTTTATTAGTCTAGCTAGCGTTCTATCTTGCTTATTCTTTCAAATAATAAACTTCTGGATTCATTGATTTTTTTGCATGGTTTTTCCTCTTGAGTTCAGCCTGAAAATTCAAAGATTCATGTTTATGGAATAGTTTATGTTCATGGATTCTTTCATTTCCTCCAGTGCAGTTGCTCCTTCTCTGCTGTTTTAATGGTCTAAGCAGACTTTGTAAGGAGAAGCTTCCCTAGGCTCTTTCTAGGAGTTTCCAAGCATAGAAAATATCATACCAATTAAGCAGGCCTTTTCACTTTCATAGACTGTGATACAATTATTTGCATGTTTCCAATTGCTTTTAGTAGGCACATCTTCAAAATGATGGCAACTATGATTTATATACTAAATTCAGCATAACAATGGTGGCTTCCCATGGCGATAATGTTTGGATTAAATTATTTAATCAATCTAGCCAAGTGCTTGGGACCTAGAAATGAAGGAGGACAGGGTTTGGACCCTAGAATCTCTTTGGTTTTAAAGAAGGTGGGGAAGGGAGGGGTGTGGCCAGGGATAAAGGAGAGGCCAGAAAAGTCCCTGTCACGTCCCCTGCTGGCTGGCTGGGGTGGTTTTGTTGATGGATTCTATTTTGTGTTTCAGGAGGGGATCTAATGTTCTCCTCTTTATATAATCACCTCTATTTCTCTTCTCAAGCAGCTTGAATCTTTCACTTACCATGAAAGACTAAATATAAAAATAATACTAATACTTTTTAAACTTTCATACCCTGCAAGCTGTGGAGCTGGGGAAGCCAGGTGCAGCAGGGAGGAGCTGCCAGGTGGGGCCTGGGAAATCTGCTCAGGAGCTGGCTTGCAGATGCCGCCTCAAAACCAGGAATTCGCTCTTGGTCACTGTGTGGCACATTTATTTTCCTTCTGCATCAATTTTTTCCTAAGATTATGACTGTTTTAGTGAAACAGGCTTTATGACAGAGGAGTTTGAGCCTTAAAAATCTGGAATAACACTGAAATCATAATTACACGGAAAATACTTTATATAGACATCTGAGATCCTGCTACATAGAAAACATCTTCTCTCAAAAAATAATATTACAGATGTGAACTAATCGCTTTTTTTTGTGGTCAATCCATGCTAGAAATACCGATGACAATGGCAATCATTGTAACAAACACTCTCATTCTTACCACCTTATAAGGACTCTCATTCTTACCACCTTATAAAGGACTCTCATTCTTACCACCTTATAAAGGACTCTCATTCTTACCACCTTAGTGGTTGCTCTTGAGTTTATACCTGAATCAGTTAAGGAGCTGCACAATTATGCTTCCTTCTCCCAGGTGTGCAGAGAGGAAAGGGTGAAGCTTGGACTAAACCAGGTCTATTAATTTCTCAAAGGAAATTACAAAAATTAAAATTTGGGCTGGGGTTATACACACATGAACGATTAACAGGTAGAAAAACATTCTTCAATAATCAGATACTACGAAGTCTTAGTAGCTTACTTAGTTCACAAGAATAAATTTCTCATTTTAATACTTTTTTTGCATGAAATTTCTAGGCACTATTTCTATTTTAACTTATTCATTCTAGAATCTTTCTAGTTTCCAGAATCAAAGTTTCTCTTTCTAGAATTCCTTCTAGGATAAAGCTTATTGCATTCTAAAGACAGTGTTAGAGCTATTAGAATTTAATTTTTAAAGAAATTAGCAATAGAATTAAAAAGTTACAAAACAAAAACAAAATAAAAACACGATTTACCTCTGGTTGATCTTACCAGCAATATAGTTCCTCTTTTAATTTTATTTTGCTTTGGATATTTCTCATTTATAATTCTGTTCTAGTTTTATTCTTAAATATCCTTGTTTACGCTGAAAATGTCATATATCCAGAATATCTGGCTCAGTTATTATTATTTTTTTCTACTGGGATTCTTGTTAAAAAGGGAAATGCATGACAAGCGGTAAAAATGGCAGTTCGATGGAACTGTCATTAGAATGTCCTGGTTCTGTGCTTGATGCCACCAGGACACTGTGACCAAGGAGGCTGCTCAGGGAGCCTTGACAACCCAGAGAAGCCAACGTCACCCTGTCAGCTCAGCGCACGGTTCCAGGACAGCAACGTCCACGCCCCTGGGCCACCCCGTCAGCTCAGCGCACGGTCCCAGGACAGCAACGTCCATGCCCCTGGGCCACCCTGTCAGCTCAGCGCACGGTCCCAGGACAGCAACGTCCATGTCCCTGGGGAGCTTGTTGGCAATGCGGAATCCCAGGTCTCCCCCTAGACTCTTGGTGTCATGGGATTCCCGGTGGTCCGTGTGGACTCTGAGTTGTGAGGAGACTGCCCTTCACTCACTGCCCGCTGGAAGATCCCTCTGCCTCCTCACATACAAATGTGTCTGTCTACACCCACCACTCTTTCTTCTTCCATCTCTGAAAAGAAGGCCCATTGTTACTTGTTTTTCATTCTTCCTAAGTCTCCCTTCTAAGGCTTCTTTTAGTTAGAGCATCATATTTGATAATAGCAACAATTTCTGCAACGTGAAGGTGATGAAAAAATCTGTCTCCCTTTCTTCATACTACGTGTGTCACATAACCAATACTGACAGCTTCATCAACGCCTTTCCACTTCTCCCTGGAGTTTTCGTGTGGTTTTTTCTCACCCCACTGACTCACCTTCAATTGTTCTCTGTCCCCTAATGGCTTTGAAACGAATACCTGTCTCTGCAGCTCCAAAGCCAAGACTTTAGGTCACTAGCAGATATTTCTTTTGGATGTTCTTTGGGCAACTTAAATGCCCATAACTAATGATAGCACTTCATGACCACCCAGGCAGACAGCTAAACACTTCTTGAAAACTACGAATGACTTGGACAGTCCTTAAAGTGACTCCTACAGGATGCGGCAGTAAAATCTCATAAACTGTGTTTTACGGCCTAATTTGACCTAATGAGATTCTGCAAGCCGCATGCAATTGGAGAATTCTTCCCTCTCTATTTTACTGATAAACTACAAATTTTGTGTTGCTAGGCTGAGTATCTGGGGGCCCCAAGCTTCTGAGGGGCATGGCCAGGGAGTGACAGTGTCTCTCCAAATCATCAGCTTGGGCTGACTTTTCCCAGTTGCCTGAACATCTCAATATCATAGATTTCCCAATACATTTGAAAATTGTGTGCTCTAAGTCTACATTGGCACATTAAACCATGTGTTGAAACTACAAGGCTGTTCAGGGCTTTAGATATTACTCATGCTTAAAAGAAAGGAGTTCATGGTGAATTGGTTTTTCCATTTTAGCTTTTATTTAGCCTTTTATTTAGTCTGATTCAGAAACAGACACAACATAATATCCATGGGAACAAGGCAGAGCTTTTTTTTCCCCTTTGTGTTCATTTTCTATTTCTTGCTTCTTAGCCCATATATCATAGAATTAGCTCCAAAGTTCGTAGGTATAAATCAGGGCATCTCAGCAGCAACACTGTTGGTATTTTGGCTCGATCGTTCCTTGCTGGGCAGCTTGATCGTCCTCGTGTCTGTGCACTGTGGGATGCTGGGAGGCATCCCTGGCCTCTACCCACTGGATGCTGGTAGTGGCTCCCCACACCTCTAGGTTGTGACAATAAAAAATGCTGCACAATTTCCAAGTGTCCCCTTGGAGGAAACTATTGCTTCCAGTTGAGAACCACTCTCATCTAATGATCTTCTCAACCGTTGGAACAGAAAAAAATCAGCAACTCTTCCCAATTAGGCATGTCTTAAGATCCTGAAACATGGCAAATGGCATCTCTGTACTGTGAACCTGTCCTATCTGTTACCCCATTGCTGGTGCCATTTCCATGTGGCCGCTCTTGCTAAATCTTTTCTGTGCATATAATTCCCATGTTTGGGCGAGTGGGAGGGGGTTAGTCACCTGAGCATGTTGGGAGTGGATGAGGACCTGCCCCAACTCTACTGCCTACCCCACATCCCAGTGCACTCCAAATCCCGGGCCCTTTACGTCTGCCCTTTCTCTATCATCTAAGTAATTTACCATTTTTGCACCCATTTTTTTGTCTTCATATTTTGTGATTTGTAAGAACAGATGTCTCCTAGCTTTGTGAAAAGTGAAGTTTGGGTTTATTTTCTTGCCCTGATTGTACTGAGATAATTTTGGAAAAGACAAGGAAAAAAAATGTTGTTACTATGCCAGATTAAATGGAAGGGCCTGGGACATTCTTGCTGTTGAATTCAGGGAGAACAGCAAGACTCAGGAGACAGGATCCCTCACACCTGGAGCTCCTTTCAACCCATTAGGGACATGCATGTGCGCTTCTAGATGAATTTATCATTTAAAATGAGAACCTCTGTTTTCCATTAGCTTAAGAGGTTTTACTCAGCACCATATAGGAGTCAATTTAAGGGGTGCCCAGATCACTCATAATCTTAGAGAAATAACTTTTAATTAAATTTCAATTAGTTGAACTTAAGTTGTGTTTGCTTGTTTAGAAGGTGTCTTTCCAAAATGAAAATAACGTATTGAAACTCAAACTGGTAAATATTATTCCTTAATATCATTTGTTCAAATTACAAAATCTCAAAGTTAGAGTTTGTTATATCTGGAAGGAATGGGTTAGAGGTCTGTTTCTGTGTTTATTGTAGTTTTGAGGTGAGACAAATTAAATACACATGGTTGGAAGCAGCGCCATTCGGAATTCAGCACTAGGTTGTATTTGTTGTGGGTGTGGATTACTTGCAGCTCTGAAGCTTTTGCTCAGAGACAAAGGCCTCTTCCTGGTTTCTTTAAGAGTAGGCACTGTTGAACTGTTTCCTCTCTCACCCTTCCCGCTCTTCCCTGTGTGAGGGTCTTCACAAACATCTGGCCTTGTAGGGTGTGATGACCTGTCTCTATTGGAGAAATTGGGGCCCCAAGTCTGGAACGGGGCTGGTGGGGACAGTGAGAGACCCTGCAGGCTTGCATCCAGATCAGGATGGGATTTCATACACTTACTGCATTGCCATGCAGAGTGGGGCCTCCTCTGCTGGGCCTCAAATGAGTCAGGATGAACTCATCATTGTAATCAAGGGTCATTTCTGACAGTCACCTCGGAAACACAGGAGGAGACAGGTCTCCCGGGTGGGGAAGAGCAATGGCCAGGTGTGACTACAGCACCAATCTCTCTCCATCCTCCTTATGACGGGCACAGGGGCTGAGCCCCCAACAGGCTCTGGGGTACAGAAACCTCACAAGAGGAACAGAGACACCTGTCTTTTTAAGGCTGATCAAGATATGATTTGTATCCTGAGGAAAACAGTAATGGAAGCCACTTTGTTGTAAGACCCTTCTAAGTTCTCTTGGTCTCTTGGGGTTGGATTCTGTTACCGGGGTTTCTCCACCTCAGCACTGTCAGCACCTGGAGCTGATTGTCCCTGAGGGTCTGTCCCAGGCATTGGAGGGTCCCCAGCAGCTTCTCTGGCCTCCACCCATGCGACACCAGTAGCATCCAGGCATCATTGACAACCCAAATGGTTCCAGACATCGCCAGTGTCCCCCAGGACAGCATTACCCTGTCCATTACCCTGGGTTTAGAACCGCAAGGTCACTCACTGGCTCAGAAAGATAACTATTATTTAAATTAGAGTGGCAAAAGGAGCGTGTCTCCTGATATTTTACCAAGAATAGCTCTAAAACAATACTTGATATACGTATTTTTAAATCAAAGATTGGCAGCTGGGAGTCCCTGAGCCATGCTGCTGATGGAGGTCTGTTGTGGCTTCATTTTTTCTCTTGTGTGTGTGTGTGTGTGACTGTCACTGTTTCTGTTTTGCTCATGGTCTGCATGCTTGTGAACACAGCTCATGCTCTGGCTGGAGAGAAGCGGTTGCCTCATGACCGGGCAGGGGTCTTCCTCCGGGAGATCCCATCCTCCCACCCACAGCCATGGTGGCCCTGCACCTGCAGGTCAGGGCCGCCTCCTTCTCTGACTGTCCCTTGTTCCTCCTGCTGGCTTCTGCATCTCATTTTGCTGATATGAGACCCTGCTGCGCTGATCTGCTGTGACAGCCTCCTGCACGGGTTTCTCCAGCTTCCTCACAGCTCTCAGGCCAGAGAGAGCACCCCGACCCCCACAGCCTCCCATGACAGGGCCCTGGAGCTGGTGGAGCTGCTGGAGCTGTCGTCCCTGCGGCTGGTTGCTTTCTGGTGGCCGAAGGCTTTCTTCATCTTCAGCTCCATGAGAAACTGGAAGTGGTTGTCAGTAACAATCTTACAAGAGTTGTCATCTTTTTGGATCTTTCTAGATGTTTCTGGCCTTCTCTTTCCGGAGCCTCCTTCCATTCCCAGCAGGTCTTACATCTTCCTGTAAAAGTCTCTCACCTCTAGAAGGACCTTCCTGTCTGGCCCCTTGCCCCCTGCCGTCTGTACCTTCCACAATGAATGACATCTTCTCCTCCCAGTCAAAGCTTTCAACGCGGGACTTACCTGCATTGGTGTCTTCTTCAGAAGGTGGCGAGTGATTTATTCCAGAAGAAACACTGTGGAGATCTTTCCCAGCAGCGGGCTGTCCTCAGAGAGGGCCTCCACGTGGCTCTGTCCACAGCCCCAGGTGCTGATGCCTTTCTGGAGCCTCGAGCCTCTGTTTCGCTCCAGCCTGCAGCAGACACCCTTGGATGCCACTGCAGCTTGATGTGGCCACCGCTCGGCTTGCCAAGGGGCCTGCATGAGTCCTGGCCTCAGTCCTCATTGTCTGATCACTAAGATCAGGGCCACTGCTTGCATTTTTCAAACGATTCGAGGCCGAGAGGATGGGCCTGTGGAATGGGGGTGGTGGAACCTCTCGATGTGAGCTTGCCTTTGAGGGCGAATGTGATCAATCCCTCCCTTCTGGCTTCTTTATCCCATGACTGGCGGGGATTCTGGAGGTAGTTATGACCAATATTTACTTCCACTCTCTGTATCGTATCAGAGCAACATAGCACAATAAAACCTTTCACTGTCTCGGAGCCCGTGCGCTTGCTGTTGTGAGCGTGTATTGGTGGTGCAGACCGGCCTGTCGGCTCCGCAGGCCAACCCAGACATCGAGCTTCTGAGTTCAGGAACAGCACGTGCAGGAGGGGATGTTCGGTCCTGCCCTGCACTCCGTTATGTCTGCTTCATTAAATGTATTTGCTACATGTTTGCTTCATTAAATTTGTTTACTTAGTGAATGAATTCTAACCAAATGCCTTCATAACTTTCTCAGTAATTCCTGACTTGCCTCATTTGGAAGGGAAAGATGGATATAAACCCAGGCTGTTCATGTCGCTTTATTTGACAGGAATGGCCACTCATGGTGGGGCTGCCAAGGCTGCACGGCATCTCTCCTGTCTGAGGAACTCAGGCTGAGGACAAGGAGGGCCCGGCTCCCACTTCAACCCAGCACAGCCGCAGCTGCAGAGCAGTGACCTGTGTCAAGTGCATTTTGCAACACTAGTGCTTTTCTGTCCTTTAAGAAAAATGTGAGCCCTATTGCATACTGGGACTCCAATTTATACTTCTGAAGCCAAAATGATATCTGTGACCCATTTTAAAGTTAAATAAGTAAGTTGATAGATGGGAAGATGCATGACCATAAGAGCTGATAATTTCCTGCGGCTTCCCTAAGCCTGCCAGCTCTGGTTTAGAGAACTCACAGGCGCACACATGCAGCCAGGGAGGCTGAGGGTCCACCTGGCTCAGCCTCCACTGGCCATGGCCGTGCCTGGCCTCTGGAGGGCAACGACTCCCTCGATGTGAGTGAATGAATGAATGACACAGTGTGTGCCTGGCCTGTGATGGGCTTTTATTGTGTGAGTGGAAACTTGGATGAACAGGGCGTTCCCAGCACAACAACATCCATCTGGGCTTCTGAGGGTATGGGAAGCAGCAGAGAATTCATCCCAGCAGAAGACGCTGGTTTGGAAACAATCCAGTCCCAGACATGCCCTAGCCTTTTTTTAGCTGTGATGGCAGCATCCATCTTTCCCCTCCCGGAAGTGCCTGTTACCATCTGTAGCCTGGACACCTGCAATAGCCGCCTATCTCTCCTCTCAGTCCATTCTTCTGGTTGGTTTTCTGTACTGTAGACAGGTGATTTTTCAAAATCACAAACCTTGTGGGCCCTTTCTCTGCTCACCACCTTCTAGTGGGCTCTCATTGTTCTGAGGGTAAAGAGGGAAACCCCAACAGGACCTGGACGGCCCGCCAGAGCTGGCCACCCCTTCCCCCCCAACCTCATGTTGTGAGATTCTCACAGATACACACTGTTCTCCGAAGCCCTATGCTCCTTCCCGCTGCTCCGTGCTCCCTCCCGCTGCCCCGTGCTCCCTCCCGCTGCCATGTGCGGCGTCTTCTGCTGGGAGTAATTCTCTGCTGCTTCCCATCTTCCTCTCCCTCTGCACTCCTCTCTCTCTCTCTTTCTTTCTCTCCTGTCTGTTGGTTTCTGTCACTCTGTTTTTCTGTCTCCATTTCTTTCTCCTTCCCTCTCTGCCTCTCTCCCTCTGTCTCTCCCCCTTTTCTCTTTGTCTCTCTGTCCTCTTTCTTCTCTCTCCTCTTTCTCCATTTCTGTTTCTCTGTCTCCACTTCTCTTGCTCTCTTCCCCTCCTTTCTCTCTCTTCACCTTTCCTTCTCTTTGGTTCTGTGTTCAGCTCATGGCTGTTCTGGTTTCGGCCTCAACACCATTTCCTTGGAGACAGTCTCCGTGAGGCCCAAGGTACTTGCTTATATTCCTTCATGAAACTATGCACTCTTTTTTCTCTTCTTTTCTTTCAGTGGGGTCTTGCTCTGTCACCCAGGCTGGAGTTCAGTGGTGCGATCATAGCTCACTGCAGACTTGAATTCCTGGGCTCTAGCGATTCTCCTATCTCGGCGTCCTGAGTAGCTGGGCCCACAGGTGAGCACCATCATGCCTGGCTAATTTTTAATTTTAATTTGTAGAGATGGGATCTCCCTATATTGCTCAGGCTGGTCTCAAACTCCTATGCTCAAGTGATCCTCCTGCCTCAGCCTCCCAAAGTGCCGGGATTATAGACGTGGGCCAACGCACTTGGCCATCATGCACTTTTCAATAGCCAAGTTATAATTTGTAATTACAGATTTATTTTGTCATTATTTGACCAATACCTATCCCTCCCCATAGGGCAGAGGCTGCTCACTCTTTTAACAACAAATATTTATTGAGCTTCTGCTTGTATCAGGCACGTCTGTGTTGTCCACCAGACACGGTTGGCTATTGAAATTGAGTGAAAGCGAAACAAAGTTAAAAAAACTCAGTTCCTCACTCACACTGGCCACATTTCAAGAATTCAATACCCACGTGGGACTAGTAGATACTGTGTTGGATAGTGCAAAGTTATATAACATTTCTATCAGGTGATATTGGTCTAGATTCTGAAGAGTCCACAGTGAATAAGACAAAACCCTGTGTCTGCAGAGTGACCTCTCTGGGTGACCGTCTATTCGTGTCAAGCCTCATAAGGTCTGCCCAGAGCCATGTGCACCAAGTATTAGTGGAAGAAATTAATTACTAAGAGGTTTCCTGAAAGGGCAATACTAGGGTTATCAAGGACACCCATGTAGAGAATTCATCCTATACATCACGTACATGTAAATGATGTGTGTGAGTATTTAACAAGACTGTCTCACAATATTTACATGCCTGTCTCCCTTCCGTGTTAAGTAGAACAACAAACAGGGAGAATCGGAGGTGGTTCAGCAGCCTCCCCACGCTTCCTGATGTTCAGAAGTCTTTCCTTTTTTCTATAAGTGAAGGTTCATCTCAAGCTTCGATAAATACTATAAAGAATTCTTTGATGAAAGGCAAAGGTGAGAATGGAAAATATATGTAGGAAAAGTAAGCAGTAGTCTTTGCTTACTGTTTGATGGTACTTTTTCTTTTCATCATTGCAAATTTGTTTCATGTTTTTAGTGTTTTAAAAGAGAATTGCAGCCACTACTCATATTTTTTCTATGTGTTTCTTTTTGCTTCACTGATATGAAGAAGTAGAGAAAGCAATGATAGTGTAATTAAATCTATTAACATATATAACCTAAAAATGTGGAGATGAGATAGAAAACTTCTTACGAAGTTAATAATTCAGTTGAGTTCTGTGTAGACAAACAGTCGGCTTGTCTATTCCTTTTAGCCCTGTAGCTTAGGGGAGGATACAGTTCTGTTGCTGATTCATCCCGTTCAGCCTGCACAAGCTGTCCCAGAACCACCAGAGAACTTGGACGCCTTTGCCTCCCCCACAGCCAAGGGCCCTGCTGGGAGAAGTGGAGTCGAGTTGGTGTAGAATGTTTCCCCTGGGTGCTCAGGGCATCTATTGAATGGGTTGTGGGCTAGAGGGAGGAAAATTCACTCTGGTAAGCTCAGGCCCAGAGGTGTGCAGAGATTTTCCTGTCCATCTCTGGGTTCAGAGGGACAGGAAAGAGCCACAGGGGCTTTGCCCGGGACACTTTTGGATGCTCCTGGCTGGAAGGACCAGGCAGGCAGGGGGAGGGGTGTGAGCAGATGGATGGGAGTGGCCATGGCATGGCCTTCTCTGTGATTTATCCCTCCCTCTCTAACGTTTTTATAAAAAAGAAAAATCAGTTTGGCAAAACTAGATGAGCTGAATGCTCCTAACTATTGCTGTTTGTTGAAATGACCTGCGGTGATAGCTGGTCCGCGTGGGATGAAACCTGCATGGACTGACAGGCTTAGTGATGTATGCCACCAGAAAATGTCCCCAGTTCTTTTGGAAATATTAATGCTGAAAAGTGAGAAATAAAACAATACCATTTGTGAAATAGTAAAAACGAGAAACCCTAGGCTTATTTTCAGTCCTGCCCTGGAAACCCTGTAATAATTAAGATTTTTCTAGAAAACTCTTGAGAGGTGAAAAGCCCTGGGTGGAAGGACACGCCCTGCTGTATGCTACATGACCTCGGAAGATACTCGTGATTCTCTTGATCCTTCTCTGTAAAATGGGGCACACCACACATCTCCACCAGGGGCACTACACAGGGCTCAGGATGAAGCCCTCACACGGCAGGAATTTCAGAAATCTCAGCTGGCAGCAAATTTAGAAGCCCTGAATTATTGATAGCATATTTTCTCTCCTGCCTGAATCCAAAGGCTTTGTGAGGTCAGGACCACGCTGGCTGAGTGCCCAGGGTGCTCCAGGGTCGGGGCACGTGCTCAGACACATGCAGAGAACGACTGAAAGTTGAAAGGGGTTCAGTTAACTCCAAGTCCACGCATTCAGCAGATTATGTCCCACGAGAAACACACCAGAGAGATGCCGACCAAAGACAGCCCTTGCTTCTGCAGTCACTAGTGTTTATTATTATTATTATTTTTAGAAAGAGACGGGGTTTCAGTATGTTGCCCAGGCTGGTCTTGAACTCCTGGGCTCAAGTGATCCTCCCATTTTGGCCTCCCAAAGTGCTGGGATTCCAGGCGTGAGCCACTGTGCCCGGAGGCTGGTTGTTTTTAATGTCCTTACTGAAGTATAAAAACACTGTTTAGTGTTTCTTTATTTTGTTTTTCCTGGCTTTCCTGTACTTGAACTTTTTTTTTTTTTAAGAATTCCATTTTGATTTATCTAGTGTTTTGGGGTTTATCCTTTTTTATAGTTTTTAAAAATGGTAGCTGTAGGTACTTCATTATTTATACACATCCTACATGGTCTAGTGGTGCTAGATTTTGTTAGTTCTAATACAATATGGTCACCTAAACTCTCGTTTCATACTTTCCCTCCCCCATATTATATTATAGTTTACAATATTATGTTATAGTTTATAATATGACTATCATCTTTAATACTTTCTTTACATACATTGAGAACATCAGACAGCATTATCATTTTTGCTTCCAACCATGGAACATAATTTAGAAAACTCAAGAGGAGAAGGAGTCTATTTATTTACCCATATTTTTTACTTTTGCTGTTGTTCTCACTTTCTTCCCAATATTCCAATATTGCTTCTTTTATAATTTCCCTTCTGTTTAGGAAACTTCCTCGAGCCATGCTTTGAGTAACCCTGCTGATGGCAGATTCTCTTAGTGCTCCTTCACTGGAGAATATCTCTATTTATACCCGTCCATGAGGGACATTTTCCCTGCCATAGACTTTTGGTTGACTGGCCTTTTCTCTTGGTATTTGAGACGCTTGCTACTTCCTTTTGGGTTCCATGGTTTCAAACGGAAAATTTGCACGTCCTACAAGCAATGTGTTTCTCTCTGGCTACTTTGCAGCTATTTTTCTTTGTCTTTAGTTTTTCAGACCTTTGATTATGATGTATCTTGGTATAAATTTCTTTGGGTTTACCACATTTGGAATTTTCTCAGATCCTTGAATCTTTAGTATATTTCACTAAACTTGGGAAGTTTACAGCCATTTAAAAAATATACCTTCCAGTTTCACTTTCTCTTTCCTCTGAGGATGACACAGGCTCCTGAGAGTCTGTTCTTTCTCCTCAGCCCACTTCCTCAATGCTGCTCTGAGTTGGTGACTTCTGGCCCTCGTCCAGTCTTTTGTCCTCTCGCTGTCCTGGTTGAGTCCACGCATTGAGGTTTTAGGTTTGTTTGTCTTTTGGTTATTGTGTTTTCTTGCTTTATAATTTCTTTTTTTTTTTTTCAGACCGAGTCTCACTCTGTCACCCAGCTGGAGTGAGGTGGCATGATCTCTGCTCACTGCAACCTCTGGCTCCTGGGTTCAAGTGATTCTCCTCTCTCAGCCTCTCGAGTAGCTGGGACTACAAGTGCCCACCATCGTGCCAGGCTAATTTTTGTATTTTTAGTTGAGGTGGGGTTTCACCATGTTGGTCAGGCTGGTCTCGACCTCCTGACCTCAGGTGATCCACCTGCCTTGGCCTCCCAAAGTGCTGGGATTACAGGCGTAAGCCACCATGCCCGGCCTCCTTTGGTTCTTCTTTATTCTTTTGCTAAAATTGTCTAATTTTCCATTTATTCCACGGGAATTCATACATGCTGAAGTGTATTTATGATGGTTATGTGAAGATCCTGCTCAGCTAATGATAGCCTCTGACTCATCTCCGTGTTGTCATCCATCGGTTTATTTCTCCTTCCAGTTGTGATTATCCTAGTTCTTGGTATGCTGAGTGACTTTGGATCGGAGCCCGTACATTTAGGATATCTTATGAGACTCCCGAGCTGCTGGCGTCTTCGTCTGCAGCAGGTGCTGTCCGCTGGGCTGGGTACACGTGGCACTACAGCCGCAGCAGAGCCCTGACCGTGCTGGGTGGCTGCAGGCAGGTGGGGTGATGATAACCTTCCCCTGGCCCTTCTAGTATCTTCAGGTGGATGTGGGGCTTCGGCTACACTCAGCTTCCTTGGGCCCTGCTGACCCCAGGGAGGCTGTGGGGAAGCCGGTGCCACGGCCTGCCTCCCACTGCCAGCTTTAGCCTCAGTGATGCTACACAGGGAGGGGGCTCCCTCCTCAGCCCGGTTGATACTGAGGGGAAAAAGTGGACTCAACCTGCCCCCTACCCCTTATCCTTTCTTATGGTGAGGGGCTTGCCAGGGAGGGCACAGGGCAGTGAGCAGCCCCATGTCACACTGCTTTGCTCAGGGTTGTTGCTGCCGGGTGGGGTGGAGTGGGGCTCAGCTCCACAACGGACCCACTGACATTGCCCTGGATAGGTCAGGGTGCTGCCTGCTTGTGCAGGGGGTGGGATGGAGCCAACTGATGCTCAGCGCAGCCCGAGGCCCTGGCAGGAGTGGGGGTGGGGAGGTGGAAGGTCCAGCCCTCATCGGCCCTGCTAAGAGCCTGGGGATGGGCCATGTGTGTGTCTCATGAGTCTTGCTGCAGGGGTTTCCTGTGGTTGGGCTGCTCTGTTCGTGGTCCTCTGGCTGGGGGGTGGGGGTGAATGCACGGTTTTCCTGGAGCTCCTTTTGTGTGTGTCTGTGGGTGGTCCCAGGGTTGGAGCTTCTGCAGAGCCATGTGGAATCCATGAGGGGTGGTAGGAAGCCCAGGAGCTCAGGTCCACATCCTCCCTGGAGCCTGGCTCTCCGGGCACCCTGCCTTCTTCTTCACACCCTGCAGGCTGTGCTTGCACCCATTGGCTGTGCTGTGTCTGGGATTCTTGGTCATGAGAGACAGGACTGGGGAGGAAGGGGGCAGCTACCTGTGATGGGACTGGAAGTCTTTTCCTAAATATGTGTTGAATATAGAAGTCATTTAAATCCCACCCACTGGTGTCTGGAGGGACTGCTGGTCCTGTGATGGGCTCTCCTTCCCAGGCAGTGAGGAGGCATCGTCCTGGGGAGCAGGGCTGCTGAGTGCTCCTCTCCACCAAGTTGAAATGGAAGAAGGTGTGCTCTCCTACTCACCAGAGGCCTTTTTGGTTGACAGCTTGCACCATCTCTACCCCATCTTCATGTAACTCGGAGGCCTGTAGCCCTTGGTATCTGGCTGCAGCCTCCTGACATTAGTTCAACAGAACACAGGCAGATGTTCTGAGCTTCAGGTTTGTCCTTGCCAGTTCCCTTGATTGGAAGTTGGTCTCTGTTGCTGTGCCATGCGAGTTACTGCAGTATACATTTAATAATCACATTCACAAGCTCCCTCATTGCCAGTCCTCAACACACAAAAGTACTCACTTGGCTAACTTTGAACAATGCACATTTTCCTTACTTGCACTTTGGATCACAGGATAAGAAGGCGGCAATGGTAAAAACAAAAACTCACAAAAGAAATGAAACATTTATTTCTGGGATCAAGGACCCTTCACGGAAGGGGGACCTGGTGGTCTGCAGGTTACAGCTGGAAGTCACTGCCTGCTTTGCTGTGGTGGTACCTTCTAGGATTTGGTCTTTGTGGAAGCCTCCAACTTAAAACAAAGGAGAAGAGGTGAATGTTCCGGACTGCATGCCCAAATGGAGAATCTGAGGGGAGGAGAAGAATGAAAAACTTCGAATGGGAAATTGGTTTGAAATCTATTTCCCCAAATCCACTTAACCTTAGGCCAGGAGAATATTGTATATCACAAACTAATTTTGCAAATGACATTTCAAAGATCCCTTTTTAACCTAATTTAAGTGCATTCCATTGTGATTCTCTACTAGCTGCTTGTGAATAAAAATCTAATTACTGTAGCTAGACAAATTAAAATTCTTCTGGATGGAGCAACCTTTCCTTCCTTCTTTCCTTCCTTCCTGGGAATGCCAAGGAACATTGCTTGATCTTTTAGCAAGCGAAGGCCAAGGTACACAATTATTTTGGAGGGCCTGAAAAAGTATTTCTGTTCTTGTACATTTCTGTAGAGCTGTATCTGAATTCATGGGGCTGCTGCCTCTGTAACAGCTCTGGAAAAGTTTTAACACTACAGCGGCCAGTGACTGCGCCTGCATTTCAACCATGCTGCCATCAAGTGGTCATTAAGAGACATTCTTAATGGATCTGGGCTCTTTAGTCAAGCTGGTGGGAGAAATTTCCAAGTCCTTCATTAAGAAATGTATATGTTTGGCCGGGTGTGGTGGCTCATGTCTGTAATCTCAGCACTTTGGGAGGCCAAGGTGGGTGGATCACCTGAGGTCCGGAGTTTGAGACCAGCCTGGACAACATGGTGAAACCCCGTCTCTACTATAAATACAAAATTAGCTGGGCATAGTGGCAGATGCCTATAATCTCAGCTATTTGGGAGGCTGAGGCAGGAGAATCGCTTGAACCCAGGTGGCAGAGGTTGCAGTGAGCCAAGATTGTGCCACTGCACTCCAGCCTGGGTGACAGAGCGAGACTCCATTTCAAAAAAAAAAAAAAGAAAGAAATTTATATGTTTATTAAAAAATTAAACTGTAACTGGGCATGCTGCATCTTTAATGTATCAGAATTCAAGTTAAATAAACCCCATTCCAAGCCTTTAAAATCTGCATAAAAATCTAGCCAGAGTTTCTTGTCTCCCCCTCCCTGTATGGCTTATTTGCTGCTTGTTTCTTTCCCTCAGGGACCATATTTTCCTGTGACTGGCCGTTGGCTTGGCCCAGTCACTAATTCTTTGCCTCAGTGTCTTGCTCTATTTCTCTTGGTCCTCATTATTTGGTTTACTCAAATTCTTGGTACCTTGTTTATGGGAAAACCATGAGGAAAGGTTCCAAGACCTCAAGTTTAATTTAGCTCAAAAGTGAAGAGGTTGTTGTGTGTTTCCTTTCCTGTTAAAAGAACAGTCCTGTGGCATCCTCTCTCCTCACATATGACTTCTACAGAGATTGAAAGGCTAGGCGCAGTGGCTGAAGTCTGTAATCCCAGCACTTTGGGAGGCTGAGGTGGGCAGATTGTTTGAGGTCAGGAGTTTGAGACCAGCCTGGCCAACATGGCGAAACCCCATCTCTACTAAAAAGACGAAAATTAGCTGGGCGTGGTAGCGTGTGTCTGTAGTCCCAGCTACTCAAGAGACTGAGACACAAGAATTGCTTGAACCCAGGAGAGGGAGGTTGCAGTGAGCCGAGATCACGCCACTCCAGCCTGGGAGACAGAGCGAGACTCTGTCTCAAAAAAAAAAAAAAAAAAAAAAAAAGATTCAATCATCTGTCTTTCTTTTCAAGTTTGTCCTCCAAACTAATCGGAAGATTAGTATTTGAAAGGCAATAGAAAATCAGACTGAATTTTCAAATATGTAAAAAGGAGTTGTTCCCATTGTCTATTTAAGTGTGAAAGCGCCATAAAGGTAAACGTCACGGTGGAAAAAAAGTCCAGAGACTACAAGGGAACAAGGCCTCCTGCTCGGCGAGCCTCACTCCCGCGTGTCGAACTTTTCAGGTTAGTTGCTGCGATGCTTTCTCGTATTTCCAGACGTTTCCCAGACATACACAAAGATAGTTATGTAATAATTTCTTCCTCCTTTTTAAAAAATCCGAGGCATCAAATTGTGTGCTCTCTTCTGCAACTTGGTTTCTTAACGTATTTCTTGGAAATCTTTGTAAGCTGTTATTATAGTTCTACTTCATTCTATTGTAATTATTTAAAATTATTAAAATTAAAATACTTGGTAAAAATAAACATGCACTTGAGAACAGAAAGTCACAGTCATGCCACGCCTCCTCAACAACCTACTGGTAACCAGAGGCCATTGCTTCGAGCTCTTTCTATTTTCAATTCTATTGGCAGGAACCTGCAAAACTCTAGCTAATACATTTATATCTATTTTTTAAAATTTGCAGCTTCAGATAACATTCTTTAATTCTTTTATATGAAAGATGAATATTTAGCTTGCTTACACTTTTCATATCCTAATATCGATTACATTTCTTTATTAATTAAGATTTTAACTTAAAATATCTTTATTATTTTATGTTCTATCAGTTTATTTGCTGTTGTTGTCATTTTTGTTGAGATGGAGTCTCACTCTGTCATGCAGGCTGGAGTGCAATGGTGCAATCTCGGCTCACTGCAACCTCTGCCTCCCAGGTTCAAGTGATTCTTCTGCCTCAGCCACCTGACTAGCTGGGACTACAGGCGTGCGCCACCACACCTGGCTAATTTTTGTATTTTTTGTGGAGATGGGGTTTCACCATGTTGGCCAGGTTGGTCTGGAACTCCTGACCTCAGGTGATCCGCCCACCTGGGCCTCCCAAAGGGCTGGGATTACAGGCATGAGCCACCATGCCCAGCCCCATCGGTTTTGTGTAACAGGTGTTTTGAGGTATAGTTGACATAACATAAAATTCACCCTTTTAAAGGTTACAATTCAGTAGTGTTTAGTCTATTCACAGAGTTGTGCAACCATCACCACGACGCATTTCCAGGACACTTTCACTACGCCCGAAAGAAACGGTGCACCTGAGGCTTCTCTCTTCATCCTGCCTTGCCCAGCCTCTGGCAACCAATAATCATCTTTCTATCTCTATGGACTGGCTTATTCTAGACATTTTTGTATAAAGGAAATCATCGTGTGTGTGGTGTTTTGTGCTTTCAGGTTCGTTATGTTGCATGTCTCAGTGCTTCATTTCCCCTTTATTGCCAAACAACATTCCATTTTATAAATATACAATATTTTGTTGATGCCTTCATCAGTTCATAGATACTTGGTGTTTTCCATTTTGGGGTATTTTAAATAATGCTGGTATAAATATTAATGTATAGGTTTTGTGTGGACATATGTTTTCAATTCTGAATATACATAAGAGTAGAATTGCTGGGTCATGTGGAAACTCTGCATTTAACCTTTCGAATTAAACTTGAATCACCAAAACAGTTTGGAAAACTGCGAAACTCTCTTCCAAAATGGCTGCACCATTTTCCCTTCCGACCACAGCGTATGAAGATTTCAGTTCCTCGTATCTTTGTCAACACTTGCTCTCTGCCTTTCTGATTTTAGCCATCCAAGAGCATGAAGTGGTGCCTCACCACGGTTTTGATTTGCGGTTCCCTGATGGCTGATGACTTTGAGCTTCTTTTTATGCCATTATTGGCTTTTTGTGTATTTTCTTTGAAAAAATGTCTATTTAGAACTTTTCCCTATTTTAAAAATTGTGGTATCGTATTACTGTTAATTTGCAGGAGTTCTTTATATATTCTCCATACTTGGTATTTATCCGGCGTACAATTTGCAAATATTTTCTCCCATTAAATGGGTTCTTTTTTCACTTTCTTGGTGTTATCCTTTAAAGCAAAAGTGTCTTTAATCTTGATAAAGTTAAGTTTATCTAATTTTTTCTTTCGGTGTCATTTCTAAGAAACCATTGACTAATACAAGATCATTAAGATTTATTTATCCCTATGTTTTCTCCTAATATTTGTAGAGTTTTATTTATTTATTTTTAAATTTTATTTATTTATTTTGAGATGGGGTTTTGTTCCTGTTGCCCAGGCTGGAGTGCAATGGCGTGATCTTAGCTTACCTCAACATCCGCCTCCCAGGTTCAAGTGATTCTCCTACCTCAGCCTCCCAAGTAGCTGGGATTACAGGCATGCACCACCACGCCCGGCCAATTTTGTATTTTTAGTAGAGACAGGGTTTCTCCAAGTTAGTCAGGCTGGTCTCGAGCTCCTGACTTCAGGTGATCCACCCACCTCGGCATCCCAAAGTGCTGGGATTACAGGTGTGAGCCACCGTGCCCGGCCAGTTTTATTTTTACATTTGAGTCTTAGACCTATTTTAAGTTAAGTTTGTATATGCTGTGAGGTAAGGGTCCAATTTCATTTTTTTTTTTTGCATGTGGATATCCGGTTGTCCCAGCACCATTTGTTGAAAAGACTATTTTCTTCCCATTGAATTATCTTGGCATTTTTGTTAAAAATCAAATGTATGAATTTATTTCTGGAATCTCAGTGCTATTCCATTGATCTATATGCCTCTTCTTATGCTATTTTACTTAATATATTTTGGAACTATTAATATATCAGGACAGAGAGAGTGTCTTCATTTTCTTTGTAGCTGCATAGAATGTATAGACCTTTACTGAACTATGTAATTTTACCTCAGCCCGTTTTTGATTGGAAAATTGTTTACAATCCTTTTACTGCAATGACTATATATGCACCTTTAAAATTGTGTGTATGTGCCCATTTATCTGTAAGATAAAATTCTCATAAGTAGAATTGCTTATCCAATTATGTTTACAAAACAGATTTGGTTGAGTTTTCTAGAAAGCTAGTATGGGTTCAAGGACCACTGTGGGAATTAGTTTCCGAAGGATGAATAGAAGACCTTTTTTCCTTAATCATCCTCAAACAAAATGAGATCTGCTCAGAAAGGGAATAAGATTGGTTTCTGTCCTCCTTTGCCTTTCCCACCTGATGCTGCTAAAGGAAGTCTGTGCATACAGCGGTCTCTCCAATTCCAAGTTCACATTTGATTTTTACATTGGACTTCTAATATGGTTTGGCTCTTTGTCCCCACCCAAATCTCATCTTGTAGTTCCCCTAAATTCCCACGTTTGTGGGAGGGACCCATTGGGAGATGATTTAATCTTGGAGGTGGGTCTTTCCTGCGCTATTCTTGTGATAGTGAATGGGTCTCATGAGATCTGATGGTTTTAAAAACGGGAGTTTCCCTGCATAAGTTCTCTCTCTCTGCCGCCATGTGAGACGTGCCTTTCACCTTCCACCATGATTGTGAGGCCTCCCCACCCATGTGGAACTGTAAGTCCAATAAACCTCTTTCTTTTATAAATTGCCCAGTCTTGGGTATGTCTTTATCAGCAGTGTGAAATCAGATTAATACAACTTCTGTTATGGACTGACTGATGTCATTTTCTAATAACATAATCTGCTTTTTTCCCCCCATCAATGAATTAGTGGAGCAGCAGACTGATTAAACATCTTCCCTGAGTTTCGCAATTCCCCTGTGCGATTCTCCATTGTTGCCCAGACCTGCAGCCCTGCCATCAGCATTCTCCCCTCTCTCACCCCAACGCGCTGAGCATTTTACGTGTTCTCCCGCATTTAGTTCTTGTAACCATCCCATGATTTTGGTTCTGTTCTCATCTCCAGTTTACAGATGAAGAAACCCAAGTTTGGTGAGGTTCAGTATGTGTTGGAAAAGCAAAGAAGCAGGTGTGTCTGATTCCAGAGTGCACACGTGTTGCACTGTTCCCGCGTGGGTGGCAGGCAGCTGTCCCACGCTCTCTCAGCCTTCTTGCTGTGGACTTTCAGGGGCAGCTGCACCTTGTGTGCTCCCCAGCTAGGGTGCACCCTGTGTTCTGCTGTTTTTTTATTCCACACTCTGCACTTACCTGTCTTCCTTCCCTGTTGAAACACAGTTTCTCTTAATGGAGAAAATAAAAGTTCAGGACAATGTATTTGCCAATTGGCCTCAATGTATTTGCCAGAGAACTTCAAGAAAAGCCTTAAGTTTATTGAGTTATAGTCAGCTCTCCAGGCAGCTTGTAAATGAGCTGGGTCCTTGGTGCAGTTTTCTTCCTTCTCGCTTATTACTTTTGGTTCATTAGCTTAAATCCTAGCCTAGTAATATGTTGTAAGAAATAAAAAAATGTAAATTTTTAATGAATCTCAATGTCCTCTTAACTCCTGGCCAAATGCTGTAAAGTTTTTAAAGGGGATACAGAAAGATCAAAGAGTTTTTTGCTTAGGGTTACAAATTAAGGATTTTTATAGTGACTGTTCAAAAGTTCTTATTTACCAAAATGAACAACATCGTCCAAGTTACTTTATAGATCAGAATGATGAGCATAAGAAAATAGCAAATCCAGTCAGAAGAGAATGAAAAGCTGCTATCACAAAGATCATTAGCAAGAGGCCTGTTTTGACATTTAATATACGAGTATTATATGTATATTAAATATCCTGAAATATTAAGACAGCCTTCATTAAGGAGGGGGAAGAAGACAGACTGCAAAATTAGAAAAATAAAAAAGAGAGAAATCTTCCCAAGCAGGCACCATGTGTAGTAAGACATTGTGAATTTGTGGCAAGATAGGTAATTTCAAAGTGAATAAATGAGAACCAATATGATTTATTAATTCAAACCCTATGAATTTGCCAATATTCAAACTTTTTAAACCATAGAAATTATACTTTTATACAATTTGATCTAACAGACTCTGGTACAAATATAGCCACATGAAAAAATAACTTTGTGAGCACTTACCAACTCAAAGTATGAGAAAGTCAAAGTGATTTTCCTCTTGGAGCTCCGTTTTAGTCCTAATTATTATTTATTTATATTTATATTTATATTTTTTTGAGATTTTCTTGTTGCCCAGGCTTGAGTGCAATGGCACAACCTTGGCTCACCGCAACCTCCGCCTCCTGGGTTCAAGCGATTCCCCTGCCTCAGCCTCCCAAGTAGCTGGGACTACAGGAATACACTACCATGCCTGGCTAATTTTGTATTTTTAGTAGAGACAGGGTTTCTCCATGTTGGTCAGGCTGGTCTCGAACTCCCAACCTCAGGTGATCCGCCAGCCTTGGCCTCCCAAAGTGATGGGATTACAGGCGTGAGCTACCGTGCCGGCCTACTCCTAATTTTGAAAGGTAAGAGCTTCACTGCCCAAAGGAGTCAGTTATGCTTCCAAAGGCTTGCAGAGGTGAGGGAGACCTATGGAGGCCAAGCTACTCAATGGTGGCCCTGGTCTGGACAGCCGTGCTGTGATCTTCTCTTTGGGGCCCAGCTCAATGCTCGATACCTTGCTGCTCTGGTCCCCACACAGGCTGTGGTGATGCTTCCTGTTGGCTTCCTATGGTGAAACCTCCTCTGTTCACCCTGACAGACCTTCCCTTCCTCCCAAAGCCTGGCAGTCCTGCTGTGGTGGTTGCAGCCTTCACTGCTGGCCACGTGCTCTGAATCAACAGCCCCCATGGGCTCATTCACACTGAGCTGTGTCTGGGTCGCTGTATGGGGTCCTCCTGGCAGCCCTGGTGCACTTTCCTACTGACAGATCTCAGTAAAGATCTGTGAATGCTGCAATTCTAAAGGAAGGTATTGGAGGACTCTTAATACTCATCTTAGTATTAATGAAAATTAATGAAGACATTGTGATAATGGTGAAGGATGGTCATAACGATGCATGGAACAGAACAGGTTCAGGGATAGACTATACATCTATTGATTATTTGATAATGGTAACAAGGTTACTCAAAAAAGAAATGATAGAGTTTTTAACAAGTGATGCTGGAACAGTTGGGATTTCATATATAAAAAAAGAACCTCAGCTTATATCTTGTACAATACACAAATATTTACTTGACATAAATCATAATTCTTACTATAAAGCCACAGACTAAAAAGCTCTAGAAAAAAACATGTAAGAAAATCTTTGTGACCTTTGGCCAAGCAAGTATTTCTTAGATAAGATACAATAAACATAAACTATAACAGAAAAGCACTGATAAGTTGAATGACCTTCATCAGAATTTAAAAACTTCTGCTCTTTGTAAGGCACTGTTAAGGCAACAAAAGGATAAACAATAGGCTGGGAGAAAACATTTGCAAAACACGCATGTGATGAAAAAGACTCCAGTAATCAGAAGATGTATGGAACTTTCACAAAATAATACAAAAACAAACAAAAAAATGGGACAGCGGCAAAGATTCGGACAGTTCACCAAATAAAAAGCATCAATGCTGAATGAACACATCAAAAGATGCTCAAAGCCATTAATCATTAGACAAATTCAAGTTCGAACCAAAAGGAGATAACACTACACATAAATGAGAATGGCTTAAAAAAATGCCAGTACAAAATGGCAGTGCTGATGAGGACGTGGGGCCACTGAAAGCCTCATCTGTTACTGGTGAGAATGCAGCATGGTGCAGTCACTCTGGACGAGTTTGGCAGTTTCTTATAAAGTTAGTCATATGGATACCACTTAACCCCATAATACAACTCCTAGGTATTTACCTAAGATAAATAAAAACATACATCTACACCAAGACCCACGTACAAATGTCTATAGTCCCTATTTTTATAATCAGTTCAAACCAGAGTATCTCAAACATCCACCAGCCTGTGAACAGGTAAACAAATTGTGGTACATCTACACAGTGGGATGCTACATAGCAATAAAAATGAATGAATCGCAGACACAGGCAACAGTGTGGATGAAAAAGTCATTATGCTGAGGGAAGCTAGGTGCAAAGGCTGCATACTGTATGATTCTATTTATATGATATTCTAGAAAGATAAAACTGTATAATCCAAATCAGATTAGCACCTGCCAAGAGCTGGAACTGGTGGGAGTGGCTATTTGTGGATTTAAGGGGACTTTTCTGTGATGGAAATTGTCCATGTTGGTTATGGTGGTCTCACAACTGCATCCTTTTGTCAAAGCTTATAAAACTCTACACATAAAAAGGGCGAATTTTTCTACATATAAATTATATGTAGAAATGGCTGGGCACAGTGGCTCAAGCCTGTAATCCCAGCACTTTGGGAGGCTGAGGCAGGGGGATCACCTGGGGTCAGGAGTTCAGGACCAGGCTGGACAACATGGCAAAACTCTGTCTCTACTAAAAAATACAAAAATTAGCCAGGCGTGGTGGTGGGCGCCTGTAATTCCAGCTTCTCGGGAGGCTGAGGCAGGAGAATCGCTTGAACCCGGGAGGCAGAGGTTGTGGTGAGCTGAGATCACGCCACTGTACTCCAGCCTGGGGGACAGAGCGAGACTCCATATATTAAAAAAAAAAATTGTACCTTAGTAAGCCTAATATTAAAAAATAAAAGAGGGGAGAGATTTATTTATTGGCTTCTTTCTTCTATTCTATACAAACGTACCCACCTTTCCCTTAGCAGCCAGGTTTTCACAGTGAATAATGTGGGAGGGTCACAGAGAGAACTGTTACTTCCTGCCCTCAAACCAATGGTTGTTGACTAAACTCAATTTATATTTGCACAAGTAAGAAGCACCACTAGAGGCTTCCCCAGGACACAGCTTCCCAGCTACAGTGCCTGTGAGCAAGAAACAACCAAAGCAATTAGGTGGTCTGGCCAGTTCCTCTGGCAAGAACAGCTGAGGTGTCTTATAAAAGTGATCATAGTTTCACGTGTGCCAGAACATGAGCAGTTAGGAGGTACAGTAAGATCTTTGTAGGATGCTGTAACATTTTGCAGATTCTTCATATACTTGAATTTCATCCATCCATCAATGCATCCACCATCTGCATATTTATTCATCTGCAAATCCATCCACATATTCATTTATTCATTCATCTGTCATACACCCACCCACCCACCACCCACCTATCCATCCACCCATCCATGCATTCCATCCATCCATTCATCCATCCATCCATCCATCCATCCATCCATCCATCCTTCTGCATATCCATTTATTTATCTGCAAATCCATCCACATATCCATTTATCCATTCACCCATCATCCACCCACCCACCACCCACCCATCTATCCACCCATCCATGCATTCCATCCGTCCATCCATCCATCCATCCATCTGCATATCCATTTATTCATCTGCAAATCCATCCATATATCCATTTATCCATTCATCTATCATCCTTCCACCCACCACTCACCCAATCCATCCATCCATCCATCCATCCATCCAGCATATAGTCAATGAGCACTTAGAGTGCCAGATATTCTGTTAGACACTGAACAAAGCAGTAAATAAGTTTAGAAATGTCTTATTCTCAATCTAGAGGAGCATTTCAACAAATATGCCGGAAATCCAGTGTCGTAGGTTCTTTGATGGAAAAAGTAGAGATGGTATGGAAGAATATGATTTGAGTACTTAACTCAGACCCAGGCTAAGAGAATGCTTCCTGAAGTCATGTCTTATAAACCAAGATTTGAAGGATCACTGGAAATGAGTAAGGCAAGGACACAGTCTATGCAAAATCTGGAAGGTTAAAAAGTGTATGATAAGTTGGAAAAACAGAAAGAAAAATATGGCACATCAGCGCTGTTTGTGTGGGGTATGTCTGGGGGTTAAGGTTGATGGAGGCAAGCTGAAAGTTGAGGCCTGGGGACTAAGATGAACTTCATCTTGAGGACAAGAAGGCTTAATGCAAGAGAATGTTCTATGTTTTTAGGAAAATCACTCTTACCTTGGGGGAGGAATTGAATTAGAAAGGGGATAAAACTGGAAACGAGAAAATAAATTTAGAGCCATATTTGAAAGTAATGAAACAGAGTTTCTTTGAAAATGGTTTGCACATCATTTTTAAAAACCAATTCAAAGTGTATTAATCAATTATGTATATTTACCATGGACAATCTATAATAAAATATTAGGTCTGTAACAAAATCTTCAGTCTCTGTAACGTTGGAGTTGGCTTTTAGTGTCCCTGAGATAGCATTACTTACAGCTACTTCTGGGCAGGCATTACTTTGCAAGGATTTGTAGATAAGTCCAGTGCCACAGTTTATTAGGGTTAGACCATGGTGAAAGGCTGAAGAAACAAATCTTAATTTATCAGAGGTAGAAATATCTTCAGATTATTTATATGCTCACCTTAGAAGGGGACAAATTGAATATTCCCCTTTAGTGGTAGTACTTCTCAAAGCTATTGCAGAAGCGTTAGTTGCTTTGGTTAGAAGGCGTGTTGCCAGCACAGCAGATGGGTGGCAGTGTCTGGATTTAGCTTTCCTCCCCTTACCTAGCATGAGCAAACAGCACTGTGACGTCAAAGGAATCAGAGTATTGTTAGAGAGTCAGATATGTTTAATATTGCAAATGTCATTTAGAAGGTATGTAATGAAATTTAATTTTAATTGTATTATACACTTTGACCTATCCCAGTTATAACAATTACAATTTTATCTTAAAAACATTACACTTGGGATAATTGTGGAGTCATATAGTCATACTTAGAATATGTTAGAACATATTAGATATTGGCTAATATCCTAGATATTAAATAACATTAAAATAACTTCATAATTACTAGGTCATTGTTTCTTCTTAAGAATTTCTTTGTGGTAGTTAGATTTAACAAACCGATTCAATTGTGTAAGCTGTGGTCAGATGGAATAAAATGGAAAGGGATATTCAAGAAATTAACTCTCTTAAAAAAGGAATGAGGTAAAATAGCTCCTTTGATCATTGGCTCTACAAGTTTGGTCCCTGGACCAGCAGCGTCACAATCCCCCAGAAACACACTAGAAATGCCCATTGCGAATCTGCTGAAGTGCTCCCCCACCCCGACAACCCCAACCTGCTGAATCAGAGCCTCTGGGGGTGGCCCAGCAATCTACATGTTAGCAGGCCTTCCAGGAAGTCCTTAGAGACTCAGTGCCTAGGTTTTTACCTGGGCTGATCATGGGGGCAGCCTCTGCCTGGCATGGACTGAAATTCCAGACTCAAAAGCAGGTGTTTAGCATACATCATGTTGTTTGCAGAAGCAGTTTAGGTACAGTGAACACCACCTTCGTCCGTTAATAGCGGTGGGGACCCTCCCCAAACCCAAGTTCCCAGATGCCAGACAAGAACCAACCCAGTAAGCGGGTCTTTCCAACCACAGCAGTCAGGCCTGAAATGTTAACTCTTTTCCACACAGTCATACAGGTGTCATAAAATGAGCTGGCAGGATTTCTTCCTTTTCTATTTTGGAAATAATTTGTGAAGAATTGTTATTATTTCTTTTCATATTTTGGGAGAATTCAAAAATTCAGGACTGGGATTTTCTTTGTGGGTAGTTTTAATTATTAAATGTAATTACTAATAAACTTAATTACTCTCTCTTTGTTATAGGTCTAATCAGATTTTCTGTTTCTCCCTGAGTCAGATTTGGTGGTTTTTGCCTTTGTAGGAATTTCTTCATTTCATATGAGTCATCTAATTTCTTGTCACACAGTTGTTTATAGCATTCTCTTAGATCCACCCCCCCCTCCCCCCGCCTTTTTTTTTTTTTTTGCAATGTTGTCTTCCAGAAGAAGTTTGGAGCTGTAATTGCAACAAAATTTGATTGGATCTGTGTTGAGGTTATAGATTAAATTTGGGATAATTACTACAGCGTATTTACAACTTTGGTCTTCATTGCTGCCTATTGTCTGTTTACACAACCTGTCTATATACTTTGTATAAACAGGAAGCATCTACTTAATCTTTGATTAACTCATAGGAAAGTTATTTATTTTTTATGTTAACCTTATGCTGAACTAACATTATGAAGTCTTTAATTTTTATAAATATTTAGTGTTTTCCTCTAAAACTTTAGACAATAACTCCATATACATAAAAATGACAGTTTTCTTCTCCTTTCCAGTGTATTGTAGCTTTTCTCTTAACTTCTTGCTATATTCTACTAATGGCAATGAGAGTGTTTCATTAATTGTCTTCTTTTTTTGTCCAGAGGTCATTTTTGCCTTCCTTTATCTGGTAGAAGTATTTCAGGAAGTTTTGTATTTCTCTTTGCTCCAAAAGAGTTTAAATTATAAAAGAAAAAAAAAATGGTGAGTTCCCTGTGAGCATGATACCTTGTCTGATGTTTTAGCGTCATGCAGAGTGTGCACAGAGCATTTCATTTTCTCCTTGTTGTGATGTGCTTGCTCATATGTTCCCTCTCTTTCCAAGTAAAGAAAGGCTGGAAAACTGCATTTTCCTATTACCTCTATTTTTTCAGCATGATAGGTATAAAGTTGTAAATTCTGCCTTAGAATTCCCATACCACCTTAAAATTTCCTTCTTATTTGTTAATTTCATTACTCACTTGCTTTTGTATCTTATTTTTTTTCACATAATATTGAGGATATTTATTTCAGACCTTAAAAAGACTAAACCGTATTCCATTTTATTAAACTGCTCTTTAAAAAATTCACAGCAAATAAATGGATTAGTTTGTAATTTTCACCATACTAATTAGATCTTTGATAAACATTATTTTTTTTTTTTTTGAGACAGAGTCTGGCTCTGTTGCCCAGGCTGGAGTGCAGTGGTGCAATCTCGGCTCACTGCAACCTCCGCCTCCCAGGTTCAAGCAATTCTCCTGCCTCAGCCTCCTGAGTAGCTGGGACTACAGGTGCGTGCCACCATGCCCGGCTAATTTTTTGTGTTTTTAGTAGCGATGGGGTTTCACCATGTTCGCCAGGCTGGTCTCGATTTCCTAACCTTGTGATCCACCTGCCTCGGCCTCCCAAAGTGTTGGGATTACAGGTGTGAGCCACTGCACCTAGCCTTTTTTTTTTTTTTTTAGAGCAAGAGTTTTTATTGTTGTTGTTGTTTTCTTTTTTTTAACTTTTAAGTTCAGGGGTACATGCATGGGTTTGTTATATAGGTAAACTTGTGTCATGGGGGTTTGTTGTACAGATTATTTCATTACCCAGGTGTTAAGCCTAGTACCTATTCATTATTTTTCCTGATCTTCTCACTCCTCCCACCCTCCACCCTCCTATGGGCCCCAGTGTGTGTTGCTCCCTTCTGTGTGTCCATGCGTTCTCATCACTTAGCTCTCACTTATACGTGAGAACATGCGTTATTTGCTGGTGAGGCTATAGAGAAAAAAATGCTTATACACTGTTGGTGGGAGTGTAAATTAGTTAAACCATTGTGGAAGACCATGTGGCAATTCCCCAAAGACCTAAAGACAGAAATACTGTTCAACCCAGCAATCTCATTACTGGGTATATACCCAGAGGAATATAAATTGTTCCATTACAAAGACACATGTACGTGCTATGTTCATTGCAGCACTATTCACAATAGCAAAGAAAATGCTGTCAATGATAGACTGGATAAAGAAAATGTGGTACATATACACCATGAAATACTATGCAGCCATTAAAAAGAACAAGATCATGTCCTTTGCAGGGACATCGATGGAGCTGGAGGCCATTATCCTTTGCAAACTAAGACAGGAACAGATAAACATGCTTAATAATAAATCTTTGTGTGTATTATTGACTTTTATCCTTAGAATTAATTGCTGTAATTGTAATTGCTGTGCTAAAAAGGAGTAATCGTATAACTTTTGGTATATTTTGACAATTTGACTTCCAGAACACTTGCTCCATTTTGCTCTCCTAGCAATTTTAGAGCTCCTATTTATCTAAATTACTGACAAATTTGGTTTTTTTCTTTCCTGGTAAATTTGATGGTGAAAATTTGTGTTATGTTATTTTTCTGTGTAATAACACACAAAATAATGTTTGGTAATACTGCTTGTGGTACATTTCTGATTTCAATGAGAATATCTTGTGTTTGGCTATGTAGTATAATGTCTCTTGCTCTTACATATGTTCTTTATCATGCTAAGGAATGTTATTAGGTCTTTTAAAATAAGAAATGGAGATTTATTTTTACTACAACCTTTAAAAAATCTTAGTCATTATATTATTTTTATTGATGTAATGAATTAGATTAAACTGTTTCTAGTTATTAAACAAACCATTCTTGGATTACAGTAATAAGCCTAACTTACTGTGGTTGATCAATAAGCATTTGTTTGACAAACATTTTTGAACAAATCATCGTTTTCTATAACACAGGATTGCATTTGCTTCTAAGTTACTAAGGTTTGCTGTATTAATGTTATGTAGGGAGGCCGAGCGAACGTTTTGATGTTGTCTTTGTACGTTTTGGTGGTGGAGCAACACCATGACTTAGATGCTGCTATTTTCATCCCCATTTTGCCAATGAAGAAACTGATGGATATGGGGTTTAAATGACTTCCTCGAGGTCTCTCAGATGTAAAGGGCAGAGCTGGGGTGGAATCTAAATGGTCAGAGTCCGGGTTCCATGCTTTTATCCTCTGCATTGTAAGAGCAGAGACAAATGGTCTGTAGGGAAGACGAGCCTTCTCTGTGCACTACGGTAGGCAAGCTGCGTTACTAAAAAGACAACGCTCCAAGAATTCACCACGCAAGTTCTTTCCCTTAGACATATTTTCCATCAATTGTTTAAAATTATGCCATGGTAGAGTTTTAATTTTCTCCTGTAAATTTCTGGTTGTGTTTTTTCTCTTTTATTGACAAGAAAAAAATATATATCTCACACATCCTCACATGTGTCCAGAATCGAACTTGTAGTAGCTTGGCATTATATCCCTGTTTCATGAATAATACACTGTAGCCCTTTATAACATCCTCAGTTAGTTTTACAAGAAAGGGTGCAGTTTCTGCATTATTCCGTAGTTGAAGGTGTCTTTATTTAAGACTTACTGTGATTGATAGCTTGTTTGGGCGTAGAGTAGGTTCAAATCAGTCCCGTGTGTTGCTGGAACCACGGTCAAGGCGGGTCGTTTTCTCGGTCACACACCGGAGGCGTCTTCTTCTCCCCGGAAGCTGCCATTTTCTCTCCCTGTTCTCAAATTTCTTCAGAATGTTTCTGGATGTGAATCTTTTAAAATTTATCTTGTCTCTAAGTGAATGTTTTGATTCTCAAAACTTCCGTTCATCTTTAGATCTGTGGAGGAAGTCTCTTCTATTATTATTTTTTTTTGAGACAGGGTCTCGCTCTATCTCCCACGCTGGAGTGCATGTCGCCATCTCTGCTCACTGCAGCCTCAGCTTCCCAGGCTCAAGGGATTCTCCTCCTTCTATTATTTCTTTGGCAATTTCTTCATCTCTTTTTTTCTCTTCCGAGGTCTGCTGTTAGTCAGTTGGGGGATGACACAGATGGTGCCTTCACGCTATGTCTCTTGTCTTTCTTATTCTTCTTGTCTTTTTTTTCTCTTCCATTCTGGGATACCTCCCTCACTCTATTTTTTAGAAAAGTTATAAGCATATTTTAGACTCCAAAACCCTTTTTGTCCTCTGATTATTCCATTTTAGAGCATATTGATTTTATTTTGTGAAAGTAATATCTTCCTGAGTATCTTAGAATGTTAACTAATATTATTTTCTTTCTGTTCCCTGAGTTATCTCTGTCTTTTTTTCCTGTCAGTTTTTATTCATCTTTCTCTTCCATATTACCCCGTTGTCTTTACATGGCTGATGATCTTTGATGACGCGTTTACACTGGATTGCTTCTTCGAGACTGTTTGATGAGTGTAGGGAGTGCCAATTTCTCAATCTCATTATACTTGTTTTTTCTTTACTCAAACTCAAGTTGAGACGAGCTTGGCCAGTGCATGTGAGGCTCTAGGCCCCTTATCTCTGTCCCTGTTGTGATAATATGTTTTTTCTGGCATATCCACATAGGTCCTCAGAGCTTTTAATCTGGTTCTGAATTTATCTTAAGTTTTCCCTATGGCATTTATTGGGATGCATCATATTCTAACCATAATTTATGTTTCTTTCATACTTTGAGTTTATGAAGATTTTGACAATGAAAAATCCCAGCTTGCTTTTCTACCAAGTTATTTCAAACATTTTCACCAACCCACGAACTTTACCTGTGGAGGCTACACCATGCATGTTCATCATATCACATCCTTCTCTTTTTGTCTCAATCTGCTCCTATTCATTTTCTAGATTTTAAAAGTCTGGAATCTGCTGTGAGTGAATAAGACAGATGGTGTTTAATGGCTAAAAGTAGTGAGAAGAGGGAGTACTGTTTTAAAGTACTATGGGGAATATCTGTCCATGTTTCTAGTTTGATTTACCTTTGTTTCTTTACATGAGGTGGGGCTGGGATTTATGAAGGCTCTGCCAACTCCACTTCCTTTTTAAGGTAGTTTCTATTTTTTGAGGCTGTTTTATAAAATCTTTAGGTTTATCTGCTTATTTTTATTTCCTTCAAATTTCTGAGATTAATTTGACTTGCCAGTCTTTATATCCAGTGCTGCTGAAAGTCTTACATTTTATAGCAATTTGGGAGAGACTTATTAGAGGCTGCAAATGAGATGCATCTTCTTTAATACTTTAAAAATTATTAGCTATTTGCTAGAAACACACAATCTTGAATGTCAAAATTGATCATGCTATTTATTCATCTAAGTTATTATACTGGAATTTGTTCTGAAATAGAAATGCTCCTGTTGCCTCTGTAAACTGGCTTGTAAAACCTATGAAGAAGAAATGAAGGGGGAAGATTTAGAGAGCAGATTCTGATAAACTGAGCAGAAAGAAACTAAAAGAATATAGTAATTATCTTCAGAACTCAAATCCCTTATAATTATTGGGATTTGGCTTTGACTATATAATTTAGTTTGGGAATTATTAATAAATCATTTCTGTTTAACTTGAAAGAGTTTAACTTTTTAATAATGGTAGAATAAAGAGGCAATATTGACATAAATATTTAAAATTGATTGAAAACTTTATTTTTCCTAGTGACATGTTATCTTTTATCTATTGGACTAAAACTAACATCACAGAATGAAAATGGAGAACTTTGAATAATATGAACATCTTTGAACTATTTCTCAATCAAGTACTTGGAAAAGTAGCGTTTGTCATAGGGTGCAGCTGGTAAAACCACAGGTGATGTATGTGAAGCCTTCGAAAGATACCTTATCCCCATGTTCTTGTTCTGTTCCTTTCACTAAGGTCTAGAGTATCGTGAGAGGAATGAATTACTTCCAGTGACTTTACCACTTTTAAAAAAACCACCCATATTATTATTGGTCAAATTTAATACTGACTTAATGCTAGATTAGTCACTACTATTGTTATCATTTAAAAACTGCTTTGCATTATACGGGTTATATATTATTAGGTCATATCTTCACAGTCATAAACAATGTCAATTCCACATCAACATTATTAAGGTGGGACTATTACCTTCATCTTAGTCTCATTATTATTTAAAAATTTCCACAAGTGTCCCTTGGAAATATCTATCATTTGTCCTATATCATATGGACATATGGATAAGGAATTGATCTAAATATCCAGGAGACTAGAGTAGATTAAATAAATTATAATAATTTATATAATGAGCAGTTATACAGATGAAAAAATAATAAGGTATGGCTCCATTTGTTGATGGTCAAGAAATATTACTAAGTGAAAAAGAAGCAAAATCCACATCTTTGTATAAGCTATCATCTGATTCATGCAAATAAAAAATATATATATGCTACATATTTATATATAAGGGACTATATGCATGTAATTTTTTCTCAAATGATACTTGTCAAACAATCTTAGTGATTGTTTTTTCGGGAAAGGTAAAGACTAGAGGAGGGAAACTTTTATCCCCAATTTTAAAATATAAGTTGCCTTTTTTTGAACAGTTCTTCACTGCTGATGGGAATGTAAACTAGTGTAATCACTGTGGAAAACAGTGTGGAGATCCTTAAGGAACTAAAAGGAGAACTACCATTTGATCCAGCAACCCCACTTCCAGGTATCTGCCCAGAGGAAAAGAAGTCATTATATGAAAAAGATACTTGCACAGGCATGTTTATAGCAGCAAAATTGACAATTGCAAAAATATGGAACCAGCCCAAATGCCTATCAATCAACCAGTGGTTGAGGAAATTGTGGTATATACATATATATATGATGGAATACTACTCAGCCATAACAGGAACAAATGAATGCCATTCGCAGCAACCTGGATGGAACTGGAGACCATTATCCTAAGTGAAGAAACTCAGGCATGGAAAGTCAAACATCACATGTTCTCACTCATAAGGGGGAGCTAAGCTGTGAAGATGCAAAGGCATATGATTGATATAATGGACTTTAGGGACTTGGGGAAAATGGTGGGAGGGGGTGAGGAATAAAAGGGATAAAAGACTACAAATTGGGTTCAGTGTATATTGCTCAGATGATGGGTGCACCAAATTCTCACAAATCACCACTAAAGAACTTTACTCATGTAACCAAATACCAACTGTTCCCCAAAAACCTGTGGAAATAAAAAATTTTTAAAAAGTGAAAAAAGTTGCCTTTTTTTTCAGTGACGTAATGTACATTCATGATGTTGTGTAATCATCCCACTGTCTATCTCTGGAACTTTTTCATCTTCCCAGACTGAACCTCTCTATCCCTTAAACAATGACTCTTCACTCCTATCTCTCCCCAGACCCTGGTAACCTGTGTTCTGCTTTCTGTCCCTATGAATTTGCCTATTCTAGACACATTCAGTTTTATACCTTCCATTATTATCTGAATTTTCTGATCATGTGCATGTGTTACTTTCATTTGTTACAAAATGTCAACATGGGTTATCAGGTAAAAGGATTATGGGCCGTTTTTATTTCCCACTTAGAGTTTTCTGTTTTAAAATAACCCTAATAAATGTTCTTGTATATGATCTCATGGAGGAAGAGGTAACTGATATGCCTGGGGGAGAAAGAGCTGAGGTACCATTTCTTTTAAGATACAGGAAACCTTCATTTGTATGTAATTCCCAATGATACTCTGTTGCCCTATTAAACAGTTACTGGCAACAGCATGAAGAGAGGTTATTATTGCATTAATATGCATGAATTAATTAAGTTGAACTTTATTGTAGCAAGCTGGTTAGAACGTTAGGTCATGATACATTTATTTAATAGCTTTTGATAAAATTGTTAAACTATTTTAATAAGTAAAAAGATTTGATATATTAAATTAGCAGAAAATAATAGAAATTGTCATTTAATTTTTGATGGCATAATTGCCATGGGCTATAAAAACCATTTATAAAATTATTACACTTCTAAAGATATTTATCCTAAGGAGATAAACTATCACAAGAAAAAATTTCCATAAGAATAAATGTTGTGACCTTGCTTCCAATATTTTATGATTGTAAGTGATCTAAATATTTAACAATAGGAAAACGACTAAGTATGTTAACATATATCACTCAATAGATTAAAAATGATAGCTAACAAGAATATACAGTGATATCAGAAATTCTTCTTGGATTAAGCAAACAAAAGTAGGACAGTAATTTTATGGATACTATGTAATTATTCAAAAAGTCCACTGAAGTTGACATTTATTTAATCAACAATTACTTAATTGCCTGCTTCAGTAGTGTAATTTCATTTTCATCCTTCCCGGCCTGTTGGGAGCACTCAAGGTCATTGCCAACTGCCTGAGTGTGGAAGTTCTCTCCTCTGTCTCTGTCCCTGTCCACTCTTTCTCTTCCTTGCTCTCTTCCTGTGTGTATGACTGTCCCTTCTCAAGTCACTATTTTGGTTTCCCATGCTTTTGTGCCTGAAATCTTTCCTCCTCAAGGTTTTGCCATGAATCCTCATTCTCGCCATTCTACACAATGAGTGATCTTCTCCTCTTCCAAGAGGTATTATAAAAACGAGGATATGCTTGGCTGCAGTAACAAATAGACCCAATATTTCCATGGCTCATTCAGGCAGAAATTTATTTATTGCTCATAGAATAATCTGAGTCTTTGCTCCAGGCTATGGGAGTGGACCTTCTCTTTAGGATCATCAGGGACCCAGGCAGCCATTTTAGGGGAGGGACGGGACATGATTCCATGGGTAAAGTTTGACTAAAACCGAGGCTCTGAAGCTCACATTACCCCTCTGAGAAGGACGGTGCTGGCTGACGTCTTTCACAGGAGACACAGGGGAGCACTTGGAAGTGGAAAGGACGGGAGAGGATGGAACACTGGGTCCCAAGCTGGGGTCAGATGTGGGCCCTAAGTTTCTGTTTCATGCGCCCCAAGCTGGGGCCCTGGAAGGGCATGCAGGTGAGGGAGCACAATGGCTGACAGCAACTCCCAACACACATTGCTGGACACCAGAGTGCCACTGTTTACCGCGGGACCTAAAGTCTTGGTCTGATAAATTTTAAATGGCTTTTTGTTTGAATGATTTTGACTTATCTTCTTATCAAAGGGGAATTTCTACCTGTGTTTTCACTTTATGAGTTCTATAACATGCAACAAGAACAATTTTCTGAAAGAGACTTGAAAGATTTCCTCATTCTTTTGGAGTAGAGAGTATACCTGTGCAGTTCCTTCCTGAATATTTGAGAATCTGGGTTTGAAATGATGACTATAGGAAAAATAAAATAACCAGGGCATCAAATGTCGGCACAAATGCACAAACCTCTTTCTTGGCTGAATTCCTCTGGGATATCTCGATATTCCCATATTAGGTTTGTTACACTGTAAACAATGAATTTTAGGTTCAATTTCTTTTATGGGACTGTGTGTTTTTAATGCCGTGCATCATTCAAGTCTCTGCTGCACATTCAACTCAGGATAGGGGGATGGGGTGCCTGCTAGCGGCTCAGAGCTTGCACAATGAGAAGTGGGCCAAATTAGTCTCCCATGCCATACTTCTTCCCCACATTTTAAAAAAAGCATTTTATTTCAGAACAGTTTTTGGTTTGCAGAAAGTTGTGCAGATGCCACAGAGTCCCAGGATCCCTGCACTGTCTTCCCGGTTACCATCTTATGTTATCATGTTACGTTTAGCATAGCTAATAAGCCAATATTGATAGGTTATTATTAACTATAAACTAAACTCCACTATTAATTTGGGCTTCACTAGCTTTTCCCTAATGTCTTATTTTAGTTCCAGGATGTCATCCAAGACACCACCTTACATCTAATTGTCATATGTCTTTAGGCTTCTCTGGGCATTGACAGCTTCTCAGACTATCCTGGTTTTGATGAACTTGAGAATTGTGAGCAGCACTGATCAGGCATTCTGGAGGATGGCTCTCAATCCGGGTTTTTTCTGAGGATGGCTCTCAATCCGGGTTTTTTCTGATATTTCTCCCACGCTTATGCTGGGGTTATGGGTTTTTGTGAGGAAGACCACAGAGGTGAAGTGCCATTTTCATCAAAATTCAATAAATAATTCATAAATGAATGTACACGTGGCTATGGATGTTGACCTTGATCACCCAGCTGGGGCAGTGTCTATCAGGTTTCCTCTCTGTACAGTTACTCTCTCTCCCGCTTTCCATATTGTACTTAATGTTTACTCTCAATAAAGCATCCCCTCCCCTCCTCCTCCTCACCCTCCTCCTCCTCACCCTCCTCCTCCTCCTCCTCCTTTTTTTCTTCTCTTTCATTACCTCTCTCTCTTTCTCCATTTCCCTTCCCTGCTCTGCCAAAAAGCTGTGTTTTAAAATGAATCAAGACCTCAAAGCCAATAGAGTGAAGTTAATGGTTAATATTTCAAGCAACATTGAATAATGGGCACGTTTTAGGGGCAAAAAGGCTGTCAGGTTCGACAGAAATTTTGTACCACCTTAGCAGTTACTCTTTATTCATGCATAAGTTTTGCTTTGGTGGGCTAAAGTTGAGTTTTCAACAGGTTTGTTGCTGAGAGTTTTAGTAACAGTAAACAGACTCACTTTCTGGCTAATGCTTTATTTGATTGAACAGCTCTGGGGACAGTAAAACAGGAAACATCTGATGCAGTTGTTCTGAAGGATCACCTTGGTGAAGCCCAATTTCTGCAGATCCTGTGTACAAAGGTCAAGAAACATGCCCAGATCTCCGTATATACTTATTCTGGGTAATTAATTTCAGCAAGTGACATCTGGCAAGTAGATCAGGTCTGTCTTCTCTTAATAAGTGGAATATGTCTATTAATTTTGCTATTCCGGACTCCTATAGAAAATTATATTTTAATTTACATACAAATTCTAATTTTTAGTCCTCTTTGGAAACCATGGTCTCATATTTACAGGTTATGAAATTGAAATTTAGGTTTCCATATGCATTTCTTCTACTAGGAAACTCGTGTGAGGTGAGTTCTGTGTCTCACCCACTCTTCCAGCCAACATGTTTCTCATGATGCCCCCACAAAGGACGCACCTCCTGACCTGCGGGCACCGCTGCAGCTGCCCTCACACTCTTGCGGGCGTTGCTCCTGCTGCTCCCCCTGTGCTAAATGCTGCTGCAAATCCGCTCTGTGCATGACCATGTGCCATGTCCAGCATGTTTCATAGGTGCTATCTCTCATAATAACTAAAGCAAACCTATTTTACAGATGAATTAAGTGAGGCCTAGAAACACGGAGGAGGTTGCCCTAGGCCACACAGCAGGAAGCTGGGGCATGAGTCCAGGTGTGCCTGACACAAATCCATGCTCTTTATTACTGCACGGCTTTAGCACTTTCAGTTTGCGATTAGCATCTGCACAGCTGCCTTTGTAAGTTGTCATCGGCAGTCATGCTCACAGGTGCACTGCTTACACACGATGACTGCAGTGACAGTTCTGCAGAAGCACACAGTGGCTGCAGGCCCGTGACCGGACTCCACCAGTGGTGCTCCACGAGGGCGGCATGCCTGTGGCCTCAGTCTTTTCATTCCTCCTCTCCCACTCCTAAATGCCTAATAGGAAGCCATGCATACCATGGTAACTTGATACCCTAAAACAGAAGGGAATGAATCAATGCTTAGGTGATGAGTTATGATGTCAAGTAACAGATTCAGAGTCCTGCCTTGTGGGGCTTCTCATATTCATTGACAACACCTTCAAGAAAACAATCATTCTCATCCAGATGCCTTTATTTTGCCATCTGTTATTTCAGGTCTCCATTGCTTTATAGAAGGCAACTATTTCACAGCTAGAGAGGCCTGCAGTGGATTGTATCAGCCAGCAGATATTTGCTCTTGGCTTCCCACACGCATGGAAGGAGCAGCCTTCCTCAAAGAGTTTCCTGAGGCTTGTTTGTGTGACTTGCTTTGGCCAATCCTGTGTGAGCAGAATGGACACACACTGGATCCAAACAAATTAAATGTGCTTTCGGGCTCAGCCTCTTCGTCTCCTCCCCACCCAGCTGATTGTGTTCTCAGCTGGACTCTAGAATGTGGATGTGGAACCGACTTGCAGCCAAGCCCACGTGGCAAGCAGACGTGGAAGACAGACGTATGTGCTTCTTGCTGACAGCCTCTGAGTCTCAATGTTTTGCCATCTCCAGTATTGCTGCAGCAAAAAGCTGGCTGGGGACAATGTCCATAGTGGTGAAAAATGCCACACACAAAGAAATTGGCATTACACCTTAGTGCTGTCTGATCGATTGTGACTGGGGAGTCGCTGGGCGACTGACCTACACCATAGTGATTAAAGTGGGCTGGGCAATGGATGCAGTAAATTAGGGAGCTTGGAGCCCACCTTCTGCTCTTTCTGCACCTGGCTGCTCTTCCTTCCTGGCAATCAGTGGCTGGAAGGAGAAACAATGGCTGGTAGTAAGTGGGGTGGGCTTCAATGATAACCAAACAACTGTAGGGTTGGGTTAAGCAGCTTTTGATGGGGGGCTAGGGAAGGAACTTCTTAATGATTGTTGGAAGCCTTGAACTGGCAGACAGGTCTGAGAGCAGGAAGTGCTAAAGGTCAGCATCTTGACTGTTCCACAGAAGAGGCGGTGGTGCTGATAGTTCCAGGCATTACAGAACAGGTGTGGTTCTTTCAAAGACAGATGCGTGCCAGAGACCTTGGTGCTTTGACCTCCTTCAGTGGAAATGCCTAAGGAATGAGTATTCTGTGATGGATCTCCTATTTAAGACAAGTATCCTTTGAAATGAGATGAGACAACTTGGTGGACCCTTTGTCACCATCACTTCCCAACTGTTATCACCTGCTCCAGTGTTTCTTCTTTGCTAGATATTGTACCTAAATCCTTCCACTTAGAGATACATACTCAATTAGTACTTTCTCAAGATGAACAAAGACCATCATAACAGGTTGCAGTTCCAACTTAGCACACCAGCCAATAATATCAACCCAGAATCCCTGCTGGCTCTTGCATGGTTTTTGTTTTAGCAGTCGTTAGCATAAGCGTCCATTGTTAAGTTTTGACCATTTTGGGTCTGAATTATGTTGCCCTCCTCAATTATACCATTCTAACCTGGATGATTGACTAGGTGAGAATATATAGAAGGATGCAGTTTTGGAAAAATTATCAATAAAGTTAAAGGCTGTAGGTGTATTGCCTTCCTCAGCATTTGTTGATTATGAATCAGTAACCATTGCTAAGTTTTGGGTTTTAACTGTCTGTAAAGTACATATTGTCACTATTTTACATGCAGTGTCATTATATTCTTATGTTGACCACACCACAGCCTTCACATTTGATCTATCCATACAATATGGTCTGGCTGCATCCCCACCCAAAATCTCATCTTGAATTGTAATAATCCCCACATGTCAAGGGTGGGACCAGGTGGAGATAATTGAACCATGGGAGTGGTTTTCCCCATACTCTTCTCATGATAATGAGTTCTCACAAGATCTAATGATTTTATAAGAGGCTTCCCCCTTCACTTTGTCTCTCATTCTCTCTCCTGCTGCCATATGAAGATGGAGGTATTTGCTTTCCCTTCCACCATGATTGTAAGTTTCCTGAGGCCTCCTCAGCCATGCTGAACTGTGAGTCAATTAAACCTCTTTTCATTACAAATTACCCAGTCTCAGGTATGTCTTTATTAGCAGCCTGAGAATGGACTAATACACCATATTTCATGAGAAACATTCTTAATAACATTTACTAAATATACCTAACATTTAACAAATAATATTATAATATAACCATCTCTATGGTAAGCCTCTTAGTTATAGCTTTGTAGTTTCTAGGGTTAATGATCTTCATTTTGCATTTGGGGAAATAAGGTTTAGGGCAATTTCCACTATATAAAGTGGAGATTAAAATGACCTCATAAAATTCTTTTGAAGATTAAGAGAATATTAGATACACTATCTACATTAATCTATCATTTATTCAAACTCTTTATATTTCTGTGAATAAACTTGTCCAAAGTTATAGAGTTACAATGTGAGCAAATACATTCTAAACCAGACTTTTCTGATTCCATAATTCATAATCTTTCTACTAAGCTACAGTGTTTTATAAATTCTCTTAAATATATAATTTGGAATTTTCATGCATTCTTAAGTATGTTTTAGTTTGACCCCAGGAAGTATGTTTCAGTGAAATAAATATCCAACATTGTAATAAGTTCAAAGCACATATATTCCACCCAACAGAATATTATTCAACAAATATAATGTGGTAGCATGAGCCACCACACCCGTCCTAAAGTAAAATATTAATATGTCAGTTTTTTTGTTTTGTTTTGTTTTTTGAGATGGAGTCTCACTCTGTTGCCCAGGCTGGACTGCAGTGGCGCAATCTCGGCTCACTGCAAGCTCTGCCTCCTAGGTTCACGCCATTCTCCTGCCTCAGCCTCCTGAGTAGCTGGGACTACAGGCACCTGCCACCATGCTCAGCTAAATTTTTTTCCTATTTTTAGTAGAGATGGGGTTTCACCATGTTAGCCAGGATGGTCTCGATCTCCTGATCTCATGATCCACCTGCCTTGGCCTCCCAAAGTGCTGGGATTACAGCTGTGAGCCACCGCGCCTGGGCTATGTGTCAGTTTTTTTGAATGATCAGCAATTGGCATTGTTTTTACTATTGGTCCATTACATTAACAGATAGTTGATTACATCATAAATATGGAGAGATGTGATAAAGTTCTGTCATGAGGAATGCAAGTATCTTAAATAATAGAATCAGCTGAACTACAGAGAGAAGGAATAAAATACTAAAATAGTAGCATGTTAGAAGCAAGTATGTTAAAATGCAAACATTCACAAGCTGAATGGATGGATAACTTAAAAGTAGCATTTTTTCTTGCTTATTTTATGCCGTCACTTTTCTTGGAACTTTACATCTATTAGTTCATTTAATTTTCAGAACAACTCCATGGGGGAGGGACTATTATTATTTCTGTTTTACCAATAAAGCGTCTGAGGCAAAAGAAAGGAGGCAACTAGCGTAAATCCCCCAAATCGGAACAGTAGCTCAGCTGGGGTTACCCTGGGTTAGAGAGAGGACAGAAGAAGAAATTGGTTGTTTACTGCCAGCTCCATTAATCTATAATGTCTAAAAAATTTAAAAATCATTTTGCTATTTATTTTAGCATCTCACATTACACATTACTTCCTATAAGTAACATATGTGTTTCTCCTTATGATAAACAAATGTGATCATATGGAATGTGGAACAGTGTTTACCCTCAGCTCCTCCCCACTGTCAGGGCCTTGGAGCGAGGAAGCCAAGGGCTCAGGAGGCTTGGCAAGGGCAAAAATGCAGGAAGGAAGAAGGGAAGTTCCTGTGGCAGATGTGTGTTTCTGCAGGGGTTGGACACTGTTGGGAAAAGCTGGGTATTGGGAGAAGCTGAGGCAGGGCTTGCATGTCTGACATAATGTAAAAGAGTCTTGGAACATGAACAAGGTCCAGGGTCGAAAACCCCTCGTGGCGTTTGGAACACCAAGCTCTGTGCTAAAGGGTAGAAGGCTACCCTGACACACCACAGTCTAAGCCCAGGGCATAAAACCCCTCGTGGCTTGGATAGAATCCAGGGCTTGTGGCTCTGGAGTGTGTCTAGACTTGCTGCTTCCTTGCTCCTTGCTCTCCCAGGATCGATTGTATCTTGAGTTAAAAGAACCTGCTCCCCGTTATCTCAAGTAGCAGAGCAGATGCTAAACCATCACAGCTGTAAATCATGTGCTTAATGCAACCCTTCCTTTCAACCCCACATTCTCACCACCTGTTTCTTTGTTTGATCACCAATAAATAGTCTGGGCTTCCAGAGCTTGGGGCCTTTGCAGCTTCCACACTCGCAATAGCCCCCTGGTCCCACTTTCTCTCTCAAACTGTCTTTTCTCATTCTTTTGACTCTGCCGGACTTCGTCACCCCCATAACCTAGTTTTGGGTCTGATCACCCCAACAGACCCAAGGGGAACCTGTACAGCTGTAGCCTGGGCCCGTCCCCCAGGGGCTGCTGCTGTAGCCTCCCTGACCCTGTGGGGTTGCTGCTCTGCTGCCTCCCTGACCCTGTGGGCTGGCCATTCCTTCCTCACTCTGCTCCTCATTTCTCTTAACTTCTGAAGGGCCCCTGAGTCTCAAGGACTGCATATCACCTTTTGGTGAGGCCAAAGTTGGATGTATTAGTCATCTGAAACTGCTGGGAGTAAAATGTATACAGCAAAACAATAGATGGGAACTATATTTTAAAACTCAACAGATGGCTGGCCATGAGGTTCTCACCTTAAATTTGTCAGAAAACCGTCTCACTGTAGTCTTTGTAAGTTATTATTCTATTTTATTTGATTGAGATGGGTTCTTCTCTGTTGCTCAGGCGGGAGTACAGTGACATGATCATAGCTCACTGCAGCCTCCAACTCCTGGGGTCAAATGATCCTCCCACCTCATCCTCCCAGGTAGCTGGGGCCACAGGCACGCACCACCATGCTTGGCTAATTTTTGTATTTTTTGTAGAGATGGGGGTCTCACCATGTTTCCTAGGTTAACTCATTCTTTACATCTATTCTGTAGTTTAAGAAAATAAAACCTGGAGTGCAGTGGTGTGATCTCGGCTCACTACAACCTCCGCCTCCTGGGTTCAAGCGATTTTCCCACCTCAGCTTCCCAAGTAGCTGGGATTACAGGCACCCACCATCATGCCTGGCTAATTTTTTGTATTTTTGGTAGAGACGGGGTTTTGCCATGTTTGCCAGGCTAGTCTTGAACTCCTGACCTCAGCTGAACTGCCCACCTTGGCCTCCCAAAGTGCTGGAATTACAGGCCTGAGCCACCACGCCCAGCCCCCTTCTAGTTATTTTGATGCAAAACTTAGAAATGGAATAGAGGGATAGGTAGGAAATAAACTTATAAATAGACTTGGATAGATGAAATTGATAACTCCTTTAAATATTGGAATCCAAATGGACTTTAAAGAAGGGAAATAAGAAGTCAAATGTGTTGTTCAGAATGGACAAGTTCCAGTATTATATTGACATATAAAACATCAGCTATGTAAGTGGAAGATAGGCCATTTCTTCAGCTTAATTAGCCAGAAAACATTTACGAGCTGCAGTAGGTGACAAGCCGCGTGGGATTATCCATAATGTGCTGAATAATGTAAGCCAGACCCCCACCTCTAGGATTTATTAGTAGTCAGAAGTTAGGAACCAGTTCACGAAAGACACTCCCAGCTGCTCCAGTTCTTACAAGCATACTTCAGTGGGTTTTGAGGAGATTGATGAGGAGCTTCCGGAGGGCAGCCCTCGTTATTCAGAGATGCCCTGTTTCTGTTTTACACAGCTTTTGTGTTAGGGGACACAGTCCCTTTCTGGGAATGCAGAGGACTCTAATTGTAAGGCCCCTGCTTTCTGCATCTTCGATTTTCTTGCAGCATCCCCACCCCCAAACACACACTGACCTGCATTTTATGGAAGGTGTGTAAATGCAGCTTTCTTGAAGCACTGAAGAACTTTTGAAGATCTGCCACTCTGTAGACTTCCGATTCATGCACCTTTTTGTGCATTTATCATGCAAGTGAGTAAGATATGCTTGTTTAGGAAAAGCTGCACAGGGTAATCCTTTCTTAGTGGAAATTTCCTACATTTCATGCGTAGAGGAAGGAATTGTATTATGATTTAAATTTAAGTCTATTCCTTTGATGATTGAATGAATGAATGGAATGAGTTAATACAGAAAAAATCTTTAAAGCAATGACCTCTCTCAAATGCATGACCCCTTACTATTCTTTAAACTTTATTTTCTTAGTGACGTTAAGGGAAACAGTGATTACCTTAAATCTAAGTAAGAAGAAACTGGGTATGGTACCTCACACCTGTAATCCCAGCACTTTGGGAGGCCCAGGGAGGTGAATTGCTTAAACCCAGGAATTCGAGACCAGCCTAGGTAACATGGTGAAACCCGTCTCTACAAAAAATACAAAAATTAGGCTGGCATCGTGGTGAACACCTGTGGTCCCAGCTACATGGGAGGCTGAAGTGGGAGGATGGTTGAGCCCAGGAGGTAGAGGTTGGAGATTGCAGTGAGCTGAGATTGAACCACTGCACTCCAGCCTGGATGACAGAGAAAGACTCTGTCTCAAAAATAAATAAATAAATAAGCAAAGAGATAAAAAATTAAAATATTTAAAGTATTAAATCTGGAAAATAGACCAGAAGTATCTGGTTTCAAGTACCTATTTAATTTTTATCATTTTGCATTCTTTTTTCTTTCCTATGTATTTTATTTCTCAAATTGAGCACAAATAAATAGCTAAGATGCATTATGTATATTTCTCATGAAGCAGTGCTACATCAGGCCTTTTGTTGGTTGCAGAAACTTAACTAAAATGCACTTGTGAAGAGCAGGAGCTTATCTCATGACACTGGCAAGTCTAGGCGGGGCACTGGCTTCAGGCACAGCTGGATCCAGCAGATATAGTGACATCCTCTGGGCTTCTTGATTTCCATTTTTCACTTGGCTTCCCTCCACATGATTGGTGGCCTCAAGGGGCCTACTTCACACAGTGACAAAAGCAGCCGCCAACAATTCTAACTTTTTGTAGATGTGGCAGTTTGGAATATCAGGGGAAGATTAACCTGTGGGGTATTTGGATTGGCTAGGCCTGGGTAGATGCTGATTTCTAAAGCTAAGATGCATTATGTATATACAATATGTATATATTGTATATGATGAAGCAGTGCTACATCAAGCCTTTTTTTGGTTGCAGAAATTTAACTAAAGTTCACTTGTGAAGAGCGGGAGGTTATTATCTCATGGGACTGGCATGAGATAATATTCTAGTCCCATGAGATATGCCCCTCCACCCCATGAGTAGGGGGACATCTGGGGATGAATCTGCTTTACCATAGAGTGGTGAAACAATGTTTCTCGAAGGTAGGGATGCTGGACAGATAAATATGTACTTGCTTCAGGTATTTTCTACACAGGGAATGAATCTCCATGAATTTGTTTCAGAGGATACCATCTCTCACTATACTTTGACTGACATAGGTATATACTAAATATTCTACAACAGTATAAAGATTAAGAATATTGTATGTGGATTGAAATTGATCCAGCTTTAAATCCCATCACCACAAACAAAAATGTGCATGAGTCCTAAGGTTGGTTTAACCTTTCCAAGACTTGGCTGTTTGCTTGTAAAATGGTGAAAATAACACCAACTTTATAGAGTTGTTATGAGAATTCAAAGAGATAGTGAACATATTTCCTACAGTATAGCACATAAGACACTCTTTCAAAATTATTGCTAATTATTAATGACTTGGTTAATGCTGGTTTATTACTATTCATTCATTAGCATGCTCACATGCTAGCTTAGGATGCAAAGATGAGGAATGTGTCTGCTGTGTTTCAGAGTATGGAGGTGGTTAAATGAATGTGGCCAGATAATACTTTAAATGCTTCCTTTTCCATTTTGTTCTAGATATTTTATTTCTGTTCTACACCCTGTATATCACTAAAACCTAACTATTAGACAGGATTATGTCCCTCAGGGGGAAAATTACAACAGTCCCCAATGCCAGAGGTAGGGGTAAGGGAATGGCGTCCAACTTCTGCTGTGAGTTCCAAAACCTGCTGTTTAAAGCTACAGAGAGAGAGTGGCCTTGCTGGAACAGTGGTCCCTGTGTGGAGCCTGGAACATCCTAGAGACCCGAGAGTGGGGAGGGGTGCAGCGGACACCGAGGCTGGTGCTTGTGCCGTACCCTTGGGGCTGGATGCAGGGCAGGAGGGCCCAGCAGGGACTGGCTGGGAAGCCAGGGGGCTGGGTCAGTGGCAGAGGGGATGGTGGCCCCCTGCCCCCCCAAATCCCCAGGAGTTTGTGACTCCAGCAGTGCCTGTGCAGCTGCCCTCAGACCCCAGGAGTGTGCTTCATCCACCCAGTGGGCTGCCTGCATCTCCAAGGTGACCGGAGCAGCCAGGTCCCCAGGCTGGCCCTGCCCCTGTTGTCACAGACACACAGGGCCCATGGGCAAGCAGGGAGGATGCCGATGGCATCCATCCCCAAAAGTCCTTCCCTGGCCAGTGCCTGGCTGTGTGGAAGACCTCCAGAGACCCAGAGCAGCTGCCTGGAGCCGACCCCAATGTGCTCTGGAGAGACTCCCGGGTTAAAGGACTGCGAGATGCTTGCCCGCGACATGCGAAGTTACAAAGCATTGTGAGGGTGCTTTGGGAAGCCAGGACAGAGTTTTCTGCGAGTATAGAGGGAGGAGTGATGCGCCCTAACAGGGACAGCCAAAAAGACTCTGGAAATGAGATAACATTGCAGCTGGGACTTGAACGATGAGTCAAAACATCCTAGGTGTAATACAATGAAAATTGACATTCAGATAGGTGGTCTGTCTGTCATGTAGGAAGAAAAAAAAATTAAGGAAGAGCAGAGTATGTTAGGACGCTTACTAAGAGTCCACTTGGCTGGAACAGCTATGGGGAGGGTTCTTCCATGTGGCTTGGAAGCTTCTCTTTCTTTTCTATTTGATTGGACATAACTGATTCTGCAGACCTGCAAAACATCAATGGGGCTGAGAAGTGCAGTCTTCCAGGAGCCTGGAAGGGGAGAACTGAAAATGTGGTGAACACACATAACATCTGTCACAGATTATTATTATTATTTTTTAGAGATGAGGTCTTACTCTCTCACCTAGGCTGGAATGCAGTGGTATGATCATAGCTTACTGCAGCCTCCAACTCCTGGGCTCAAGCAATCCTTCTGCCTCAGCTTCTCAAGTAGCTGGACTATAGCAGGTGCCAGCATGACCAGCTAATGTTATTTTTATTTTTATTGTAGAAATGGGATTTTGCTTTGTTGCCCAGGCTGGTCTCAAACTCCTAGCTTCAAGCAATTCTCCCTCTTTGGCCTCCCAAAGTGATAAGATTATAGACATGAGCCACTGTGCCTTGCTGAGTTTTAAAATTTCCATTAGGAGAGACTAGGTCGTCTTGAATTCAACTCTAAGAGAATTGGAATAAGACAGAATAAGACAGATAATTGAGACCCTTGTAAAAATGCAGGATCCTTGAAAGGCTACACTGTTAGTGAAGGATTCACCTATAAAAAGTTTCCTGGCAAAGAAGTGCTGTAGTCAGCTTTTGCTGCATTAAGCTGCAGTAACAAGTAGCTCACAGCCACAAAGGCTAATTTCTTGCTAAGGGGACATTTTAACTGGGGTCAACTGAAATCCTGTGGCACGTATTCATGGAGAACACAGCCCAAAGCAGCAGCCTGCACTGGGATGCACAGTCTTCGTACCTGAGGGGGATGCTCAGTGTTCGTACCCGAGGAATGAATCCCATGGTATTGCTTAGACCTTGAGCTCAGGATGACCTCACAGCTGTTGCACTCACATTGTCTCAGCCAAAGCCTGAAGGAAATGGGTAAGACTCATTTCTGCCCTGAGAGGAGCACAGAAATTCACCTGGGAGAGGCAGGATTACAGAATCTTCCAATAGGGAGCGCAGTAAATGAGTGGGAACAACAAAGCAATCTGCCCACAAACACTTCTAGAAAACTCCGTGGCAGCCTTAGGGCCAGGTGGGAGGGAAAGACCTGAGAATTCACTCCCCCATTACCTCTCTTATGTAGGTTTTGGGGTTTGAATTTACCCTTGTGTGTCCTGATGCATATCATGCTGAGAAATTAACTTAAAAATGTCCTGAGTTGATGGTACCATTGGGCCAATGGCAGAGCAAATAAAAACACTTTTATAGGAGTATGCACTTAACTCAAGTCTATCAAATCATCACAGGTATGTTCTGGCTTAACAGAAATCTAAAGGACAAAAACAAAACAAAACAAAACTGGAAACAAGCTACGAGAATAGGAACTTGGTAGAAGTAATAAAAGCATAATTAGACTCCAAGGACTTCAGATATTAGAATTTTCAGAATATAAAATCAGCACATTTAAAATATTCAGATAAATAGGAGAGGTAATTAGAAACATCAGCAATGAGGAAGAAAATATTAAAAAATAGGCCTGGCACATTTGAAAAAATTCTGTGAGAACTTAAGGAGAGTAGTTAAATCAAGGGTGTACAGCTGAAGAAATACCAATAAATTGGCACAGATGAAGAGATGAAAAGTATGAAAAAGTGAGTCAGTGATAGGAAGGAGATAGTGGAAAGGCCTAAGCTATGTCTCTCAGAATTCCAGGAGGAGAGAGTGCCAAGAATGGGGAAAGTAAAAGAGATAATGGCTGAAAATTTTTCCAGAACTGATGAAAAATATATTAATCTTTAGCTTCAGAAGCTCAACAAGAAGGGCTAAAAAATGAAAATCATCACAAACCTATCAAAGTGAAATTATAAAACATCAATGATAAAGAGAAGATATTAGAAATAGAGAAAAAAGTCAGATTATCTCTAAAGGAGTGACAGAAAGCACATCAGCTGATTTCTCAAGAGCAGGAGCAAAATCCAGAAGGTGGAAAAATATCCTCAGTGTACTGGGAGAAAAGAACTGTCCATCTGGCCAACTCCCATTCAATAATAAGAGCCAATGAGCAATTTTTATCATTGACTATCACTAAAGGAAAACTTAAAATATATTCTCTAAAAACAAGGAAAAGGCTTAAGATGAATAGAGGAAGGTGCAGAAAGCCATGGGTAAGAATGTGGGTCACCAAACTGGATATTGCCTGTATCACACAACAAATATGCCGAATTGGGGGGAAATTAAAAGAACTAAACAACTGGGCAACAAAACCAGGTAGAATGACAAAAAGTGACTGGAGTTAGAAGGCTTCCTGAAACTTGTATGGCTTGGGAGAAGGGGAGTGATAACAATTAATTTTAAATTCTATTTAATATTAATAGAATTTTAGTAACTTCTGAATCCATGTCTCCAGCTCTGGTCTCTCTCATTAACTCAAGACTAATCCACCCAACTGCAGTCTTGTCAGTCCCATGTCTAGCAAGCACCTAAAATTTAACTTGATGCTCCACACCTCCAAACCTGTTCCTTCCACTCTTTGTGTCAACTCAGTAAATGGTGATTTCCCATCCAGGCTGTCAGACTAAAACCGTGGTAGTCAACCTTGCTCTCCCTTTTCTCCCACCTTAAATCCATCCACCAACGAATCTCATTTGCTACAACATTGAGATATCCAGAATCCAGGTCCTTCCCACCACACCTAGAACGATCTGTTGTCTGGGTTCCTGCAAGCTTACTGGTTGGTCTTCTGCTCTTTTCTTTGCTCTTCTAATCTGTACTCCAGAATCATCATTCTGAATCGCAGGTCAGAGCATAACATCTCTCTGCTTGAAACTCCCTATAGGACTTCCTCCGAAGTCCAGAATGAAGTCCCAGGCCCCTTCCTTGCTCTCCAAGGTCTGAGGTCATCCATCCCCATTTTCCTGAACCAATGTTTTCTGACCTCGTGGCTGACAAATCTTCTTCCCAGCTGTTTCCATGACAGCAAAACTGTACTCCTCGTTCTTCACACAGCTTCCTCTGCTGCACTGTTTCCCGGGAATGTGTCATGCCACGTGTTTAAAAGGTTTCCTTCTGTACTTCCTTCAGGTTCCTACTCAAATGTCAGTTTTTCAGATGTTTCTCCCTATTGCCCTGTATATAGTTATACTCTCTAACTGCTCTCTATCCCTTATCCTGCATTCTTCTCTTTTAGGGTTGTATTAGGCCATTCTTGCATTGCTATAAAGAAACACCTGAGGCTGGGTACTTTATAAAGAAAAGAGGTTTCATTGGCTCACAGTTCTGCAGGCTGTACAGGAAGCATGGTGCTGGCATCTGCTCAGCTTCTGGGGAGGTCTCAGGAAGCTTCTAATCATGGCAGAAGGTGAAGGGGGAGCAGATACATCTTACATGGCAGGAGCGGAAGCAAGAGAGGGAAGGGAGGAGGTGCCACACACTTTCAAACAACCAGATCTTCAGACTCACTGTCCCGAGGACAGCACCAAGCCATGAGGGATCCACCCCATTGATCCAAACCCTCCCACTGGGCTCCACCTCCAACATTAGGGATTATAATTCAATAAGAGATTTGGCGAGGACAGATATCTAAAGTATATCAGTAGTGTTTACCACATGTGACATTATCATTTTATTTATTTTTAAATGTCGTGTCCATAATGAAATGTAAAATCCATAAAAGAAAGTACTTTGTTGTGTTAATTGCTCTATCTCCAGAACCTACAATAGTTCCTGGCACATAGTAGGCACTCAAGGGTAACCAGTAAAACAATAAATATACACTATATTTCTTCCTTTTCCAAGAATGTGGAGGGAGGGAGAAAACACTTTAAAATGCAATTCAAAAGATGTCATGAAAAGAGAGAGAGAGAGAGAGAGAAAAAGCACAGAAATAGAAAACAAATAAAAAGTACAAAATAAAATGTTAAAAATAAATCCATATAGGTTAGTAATAACAATAAATATAAATGACCTAAACTCACCAGTTAAAAACTAGAGATTTTAAAATTGTGTTTTAAAATAATTCAGTTATGTGCTATATTAAAGAGATACCTTTAAATTGCAGGACATAACATAGGAAGGCTGTAAAAGATGTAACAGGCAAATACAAAGCAAAGAATGTTGTTGTACTTATAGCAATAACAGACAAATTATACTTTAAGGCAAAAACAAACAAAACATGTACCATAATACCAACCACATAATGTTAAAGCAAAAAAAAAAAAAAAAAAAAAAAAAATCACCACAATATATTAAGATCATATGCGTATGCCAAAAATGTATAAAGAAATGACTAATAGACAACAAATTTAGGTTACTTGGAGATAGTGGGAGAGGTGGAGGTTGTGACTGGAAAATATATAAAAGTGACTTCAACTCTAGTGATAATATTTAAAAATTATTCTAAGCTAGATGGTGGGTGCATTGGTATTCAATGTAATTTTATCATATCTGTTTCATGTGAAAATAGTTCATAATTTAAAAACTCTCCCAAATCATATTACTACTAACTTTCAATGCAACAGAGCTGTCAAATACAACATGATACTTTGAAAGCCTGGGTCGGAGAGCGTCTCAGGGAAGAAAAGCAATACGGATTGGCAAGATCACCTGAGGAAGTTTCAAGGCATTCTCTCAGGTCGGGGCAGGTAAGAGCATTCTTGGCTTTAGCAGGATACCCAAATAGGCAAGTTGCTTACACTCAATTTTGTCTTCCAGAAAATGTGTGTGAATAGAACAATTCCCTTGCAAGGAACTCCCTAGCAATGAATGTAGATAAAATACATAGATGTTCAATGAACTGCATCAAGATTTATCTGGAAATGAGGCAGAACAGAGCTAGCAAGGTAGAAAAACAAGATCCTACTTCCTTAACTCCTCAAGGCAAAGAGCCCCTGCCCTCTTTGGTCTTTGGATTACCCATCCCCTCAGGCACTGCGTCCGCGCATAATGGACAGTCACCAGATGGTGAATGCTGGAAACGCATCGGTGTTTTTGAAAGTGAAAACAGACAAATCACCGCAAATAAAGGAATCAGTGTCAGCTCTCTAGCTGGGAACCACCAAGGTTACAAAGCTAACGTGACTGGCCCTGCTATACCGAAACGGCTTAATTTCTTTCTGGCAAATCCACATTTACGGCAGTAAGATACTAAACACTTTCTTTCACTTTAAAAATATTTCGTTTGTCACTGCTGCAGTTTATGTCCCTCAGATGAGTAATACAAGGCAAAAATGAAGTGAGGTTGGGTGGTGTGAACAGCCTTCCCCTTCCATGTCAGCCACGTCTATAGAGAAGCTCACGCGGCCCTTTCCCTTTGCACTTCTCTCCTCTGTAGCAGGCCGCGGGGTGAGGGTGGGATTAGGCGGCCAATTTTACAAAACTCCAGGGAGCGTCGCCAGCCTCGATTTCCTGGGGTTATTCCTGGGAGAGAGGCGTTCTCACGGACAGCCACCCTGGGGAGGAGGAGGAGGAAAGGCACTAATGGATGAGGAGGCCCGCGCACCCCTCCGCCTCCCACCCCGGCGCGCCCTGGAACGCCCTGGAGCGCGCCCGGCTTCCCTCGCCCGCCTGGCCCGCGGCATCCGGCAGCCCCGCCTTCAGCCCGCCGGGCAGGTCCGCACTCC